>NC_000002.12:107186587-107489618 GCF_000001405.40 Homo sapiens
ATAAATACCAAAATATCTACACTTAGTCATCTCATATTTGCTGTAGAAAAAAACCAAAGACAAAAAAAAACTTCCAAGAAGTCAGAGGGAAAAAAATAGCTTGTCTACAAGATGAAGAAGGATAAGAATTATATAGACTTCTCTTTAGAAAACATGCAAGCAAGAAGACAGTGAAATTAAATATTTTAAGTGTTGGAAGAAAAACCCCCCACCAGCCTATAATTCTGTACACAGCAAAATTATCCTTCAAAAGTAAAGGAGGAATAAAGACTTTCTTGAACAAACAAAATTTAAAATTATGGGAATTTGTTGTCTTAAATGTGACTTGCAAAAAATGTTAAAAAGAACTTCAAAATTTGTGCAAGATGGCCAACTAGACACAACTAGAAGCCAGGTGAAACAGCTGCCACTGAGGGATGAGGAAGACAGACACACTCCTAACACATCTTCAGAGGGAAAGAACTGAGAGAGGATGGAGGGAAGACACAGAAGCTGGGCTGAAGGAGGAGGAGGAAGCTGGAAACCTTGCATGGGGCTACTGCACACTGGGGCTCATTCCTGTCCCCCTATGACTTTGGGGGAATGGGTGATTGGAATTGGCAAGAAGAAATCCACTCTCCCCAGGGGCCTCTGCAATCCTGGCAGGAGAGAGACCCCTCAACCGCCATGGACACTTGAGTTGGTAGGGAGAGATGCTTAGAGAAGTGGCAAGGGCAGCAAGCCAGCTGATTAGGAGCCCAGAGGGTTTGATGTGGGAGTGTCTATTGTGGAGCCTAGCAAGAGAGGCCCATCCCGCTAGGCTCAACTTGCTCCCATAGGAGATTGTAGCCCTAGGGGAACTGCTGCACCTGAACTCTGCAGGGGAGTCTTGCCCATTAGATGAGGCTGGTCGGATCTGAGCACCTCTTGGTCTGCTGGCTTCTTCTGGGGCCCCAGCCTGGCCATGTCTGCTTGCAGGCATGCCTTGGGTGCCCTTGGGGGCCCACATGAAGTTCCTGTGCTGGTGGACCATGACTGACAGGTGGAGAACTCCAGCAGTGTGGCCGCTGCAGATGGACATATATCAGTCCACCTGCTTCCTCCCCAACTGCAGCTTCCCATGGGCCCATGGCCACTTCCCACATTGTTTTGCCAGAATGTGTGTGCCTGGGTGGATTTTGCCTGCCCTGCCTTTCCAGAACACTTTTGCATGTGCACCCTGTCCTGCCACTGCTGCTGACAGGAGAGCACTCCATCCTCCCCCACTCGACCTGCCATACTGCCATTGCAGTTGGAGCCTTGGCAGGCACAGAGCCCACCAGCCCTGCTCTTGTCAACATCCTGCCCCTGTGCCAACACTGCTGCAAGAGCAAAACTAGGCATGGAGAACAGCAGACCTTCCCTTGCCTTGAGCAACCAACCCAGCCTGTGTGAATGCACATAGAGGGTACACTCCGACCTGGAGCCACCAGGGCCCACCCCTGTGCTAACACCATCACCAGCATGACCATGCACCCAGTCACCAGTTGGGGGCCCCTACCCATCCCCCAGCCATACCACAGTTACCGCTACTGTGAATGTCTACACATAGGCAGGCACCTCAGCATCTGCCAGCACCCTGCTGCTGCTGATGAGCATGCACCCTGCCGTGCTGTTACTGCTGCTGCTGCTGCTGCTGGCACATGTGAGCAAGGACAGACCCCATTGCCACCATCCTATGAAATGCTTTGGTTGGCACCACACATCAGAATGTAGAGATCAGTGGTCTAGGAGCACCTCCCCCTCCCCAGTACAGTGGGTTCCTAAGTTTGAGGAACCAGAGAACAAAGTTAGGACCTGATGCAAGTCCCTCAAAGTTAGAGCATGCAGTCAGGAGTTGGGAGCTGAGTCTTGACCCCCTAAAAGCTTCCAGAATTGAAGCTAGTTAATGAACCTACCTTATACCACAATCAAATCCTCAATGGCATCAAATGGAATACAAGAAAGAGAAAATCAGAAGACAGTAACTTCAAAGACTGAAGGAACATCAGCCCACAAAGATGAGGAAGAATCAGCGCAAGAACTCAAAAAGCCAGAGCACCTTAATTCCTCAAAATGACCACAGTATCTCTCCAGCAAGAGTTCTGAACTGGGTTGAGATGGCTGAAATGACAGAAATAGAATTTAAAATATGGATTGAGATGCAGGAGTACATTTAAATCCAATCTAAGGAAGCTGAGAATCACAATAAAACAATACAGAATAGCGAGTATATAGAAGAACATAACCAGACGATAAAGCCAAAAAACAACAGTACGAGAATGTCGTAATGCAATCACAAGTATTAACAGCAGAATAGACCTAGAAGAGGAAAGAATCTCAGAGCTTGAAGACTGACTTTCTGAAATAAGATAGTTAGACAACAATACAGAAGAAAGGATGAAAAGGAATGAACAAAACCTCCAAGAAATATGGGATAATGTAAAGAGATTGAAAACTGTAATTCATTTGTGCCCCTGAAAGAGACTGTGCCCCTGAAAGAGAGTTCAGGCCCTGAATAACTTTTTAATTTTCTCCCTTGATGATCTGTCTAATATTGTCAGTGGGTGTTAAAGTCTCCCACTGTTATTGTTGGGAGTCTAAGTCTTATTGAAAGTCTCAAAACAGAGATATAGATCAATGGAACAGAACAGAGCCCTCAGAAATAATGCCGCATATCTACAACTATCTGATCTTTGACAAACCTGACAAAAACAAGAAATGGGGAAAGGATTCCCTATTTAATAAATGGTGCTGGGAAAACTGGCTAGCCATATGTAGAAAGCTGAAACTGGATCCCTTCCTTAAACCTTACACAAAAATTAATTCAACATGGATTAAAGACTTACATGTTAGACCTAAAACCATAAAAACCCTAGAAGAAAACCTAGGCAATACCATTCAGGACATAGGCATGGGCAAGGACTTCATGTCTAAAACACCAAAAGCAATGGCAACAAAAGCCAAAATTGACAAATGGGATCTAATTAAACTCAAGAGCTTCTGCACAGCAAAAGAAACTACCATCAGAGTGAACAGGCAACCTACAAAATGGGAGAAAATTTTTGCAACCTACTCATCTGACAAAGGGCTAATATCCAGAATCTACAATGAACTCAAACAAATTTACAAGAAAAAAACAAACAACCCCATCAAAAAGTGGGCAAAGGATATGAACAGACACTTCTCAAAAGAAGACATTTATGCAGCCAAAAAACACATGAAAAAATGCTCATCATCACTGGCCATCAGAGAAATGCAAATCAAAACCACAATGAGATACCATCTCACACCAGTTAGAATAGTGATCATTAAAAAGTCAGGAATCAACAGGTGCTGGAGAGGATGTGGAGAAATAGGAACACTTTTACACTGTTGGTGGGACTGTAAACTAGTTCAACCATTGTGGAAGTCAGTGTGGCGATTCCTCAGGGATCTAGAACTAGAAATACCATCTGACCCAGCCATCCCATTACTGGGTATATACCCAAAGGATTATAAATCATGCTGCTATAAAGACACATGCACACGTATGTTTATTGTGGCACTATTCACAATAGCAAAGACTTGGAACCAACCCAAATGTCCAACAATGATAGACTGGATTAAGAAAATGTGGCACATATACACCATAGAATACTATGCAGCCATAAAAAATGATGAGTTCATGTCCTTTGTAGGGACACGGATGAAGCTGGAAACCATCATTCTCAGCAAACTATCGCAAGGACAAAAAACCAAACACCAGATGTTCTCACTCATAGGTGGGAATTGAACAATGAGAACACATGGACACAAGAAGGGGAACATCACACACTGGGGACTGTTGTGGGCTGGGGGGAGGGGGAGGGATAGCATTAGGAGACATACCTAACGCTAAATGATGAGTTAATGGGTGCAGCACACCAACATGGCACATGTATACATATGTAACTAACCTGCACATTGTGCACATGTACCCTAAAACTTAAAGTATACTACTAATAAAAAAAGCAACAAATAACAATTGCAATGAATATATGACAGTTACACATGTGGTAGATGTTAATTCAACTATGTCAATAATCATTTTAAATGTGAATCACCTAAATAGTTTAAGCAAACGAGAGGGACTTACAGAGTGCTTAAAAAACAGAACCCTACTATATGCTTTTTATAAAAACTCTCACTAAATGGAATGGCACGGACAGATGAAAAGTTAAGGGATGGAGAAAAATATGTTATGATAGAACTAATAAAAATAAAGCTGGAGTAGCTATGTTAATTTTAGGCAAAATGGACATCTGAGCAAGAAAAATGATCAGGATAGAGAAGACCATTATATAATGATACAGGGGCCAATTCTCCAAGAGGGCATATAATTTCTTAACCGTGTATGTGTCTCACTACAGAGCATCAAAATACATGTGGCCAAAACTGCTAGAACTGCAAGGACAAACATAAATTCACTGTGATAGTTGGAGATTTTAACACCCCTCTACCAGAAATGGACACAGCTAGCAGGCACAAAATCAGTAAGAATATATGTGAGTTCAACAGCATCGTAAATCAACTGGATATAATTGACATCTATAGACTACTTCATCCCACACAACAGCAAAATACACATTGTTCTCAAACACACATAGAACATTCACCAAGATTAATGACAACCTGGGCCTAACCATAACAAATTTAAAAGAATAAAAATCATACAATGTATGCTCTTAGACCACAGCAAAATTAAACTAAAAATCTATAACAGAAAAATAGCTGGAAACCCAGAAATATTGGGTCCTTAAAAAACACACTTCTAAATAACACATGGGTCAAATAAGTCTCAATAAACATTTTTAAATATTTTGAACTAAATGAAATAAAAATACAATCTATCAACATTTTTGGATACAGAGAAAGTAATGCTTTAGGTGGAAATCTGTAGCACTGAATGCATGTATTAGACAAGAAAAAAAGAAAGATCTAAAATTAATAACCTAAGCTTCCACCTTAGGAAGTTAGAGAAAGAAGAATAATACAAACTGAAAGCAATAAGATAAAACACATAATAAAAATTAGTGCAGAAGGCCATGAAATTGGAAACCAAAAGTTAATAGAGAAAAATCAACAAAATCAAAAGCTGTTTCTTTGAAAAGACCAATATAATTGATAAGCCTCTAGCCACTCTAACCAAGAACAAAAGAAAGAAGACATAAATTTCTATTATCAGAAATGAAAAAGGGACCATTACTACTGATTCCAAGGACACTAAAAAGATAATAAAGGAATATTATGAACAACTCTGTTCTCACAAATTTCATAACTTAGGTTAAATGGACCAGTTGCTTTAAAGACAAAAATCTACCATAATTCACACAACGTGAAGTAGATATCTGAATAGCGTTATATACATTTTAAAAATTGGATTAATGTTAACAACCTTCCAAAAGAGAAAGCACCTGCCTCAGTTTCACTGGCTACCAAATTGGAATTCTACCAAACACTGAAGGAAGAAATAATATCACTTCTCTATAATCTCTTCTAGAAAAATAAAAGTAGAGGGGACACTTTCTAACTTATTCTATGAGGCCAGAATTACCCTAATACCCAAAGCGGAAAAATACATTACAAGAAAACTAAAGAATAATATCTCTCATGCACATATATGCAGAAGTCTTCAACCAAATATCAACAATTTGAATCCAGCAATTTTTTAGAAGAATATACACCATAAACAAGAGAGGTTTAAGCCAGGCATGCAAAGTTGATTCAACATTCTAAAATTATCTAATGTAATCCATTACAAAACATCAAAAACTTCAAGAAAAAAATATATGATCATATCAATCAATGCAGGAAATGCATTTGAAAATATCCCGCAACCATTCATATTGAAAACTCTCAACAAACTAGGCATATAGAGAAACTTCCTCACCTTGATAAACAGCATCTACAATAAACCTGCAGCTGACTTTGCACTTAACTGTGAGACACAAAATCAGTTGACTTGGGACCTTAATTATTTCTGGAGATTCTCTTCATCTTTGTTATTTTCTATAAGCTAGAAAAGTCCCATGTTCTACCCACATTGAAGAGGGCAGTAGACAGAGGGTAACCACCAGGAGGTGGGGACCTTGAGTGCTATCTTATAATTCAACTCTGTGTGTGTGTGTGTGTGTGTGTGTGTGTGAAAATCTGCACAAAACTTTTGATTCCCCAAAACTTAAGTGCTCATACTGTTTACTGAGCCTTACCAATAACATAGTCGATTAACATATATCTTGTATGTTATACATATTATGTACTGTATTCTTACAATAAGTAAGTTGGAGAAAAGAAAATGTTATTTAGAAAATTATAAGAAAGAGCAAATACATTTACTATGTATTAAGTAGAATTAAATCATCATAAAAATCATAAAAGTCTTCATCCTCATTGTCTTCATATTGAGTAGGCTGAGGGAAAGGAGGAAACAAGGGGCTGGTCTTTATGTCTCAGGGTGGCAGAGGCAGAAGAAAATATAAGTGGACCTGTGTAGTTCAAAACTGTGTTGTTCAAGCATCAGATGCGTGAATACACACACACACACACACACACACACACGCATATATATATGTACAAAGGTTCCTCTTCTCTTCCTAAACAAATTTCTCCGCTTTGCTCTTTTTACCTACTGGTGTATCTTAAACAACATTCCAACTCCATAGAGTTTCCTCATTCTTTTTTCGTAGTTGCACGATATTCCAGTTTGTAAAACATTATATATCTAAATAAAATCACCAATTTTCTGTTGGCAGATACTTAGGTTATTTCCAATTTTTCCTATTAGAAACAATGCTGCAACAAATAACCTTCTTTCGTACTTATGTATTTGTGGGAAAAGTGTCTAAAAGTGGAAAATAGTGCATCATTTTTCTCCACAGCTTTACACTTTGCGTTAACAGACTTTTGCTTATTTACGAAAGTGGCGAAAAATATATTGAAGTATACGAGGCAAGATAAGCGAGGTTATGCAACACCCAAACTCAGTGACTGAACACAACAGTGAGTCGTTTGTGCACATTATCTGCCTCATGCAGGTGAGGTGGGCCCTACTTCACTCACCACTCGAGGCTCTGGGCTGCTGGAGACTCAGCCGCCATGTAGCTGCTTCATCTGCAGCATGAGGTCTCCTTGGTTACCTTGACGAGGTATAGAGAGTGGAGAACCAAGCGGGTCCTTTCCACCCCTTCAGGCTGGAAGGGGCGCTGATCATTAATTACCTCTCCTTACATGGCACACCTAAGTGCAAGGCATACAGTGTGTGTGGGATTCAGTGGAATATTTGGCGAACATTAATGTCTCTTTCACAAGCAGTGCAATTTTAATTATGAGTGAGATTAATCAACTTTTCATCTTGAGAGCCATTCCTATTTCCTCTTCTGTGAATTGAGTATAACATTTTACCTACTTTTAAACTTGTATTATCAGTCTTTTTCTTATTTATTTTTAGAAGCTCTTTATGTATAAACGAGATTATATTTTTGCATTAAGAGATTCAAATGTGTCTTTGTCATTTGACCTTTTTCTTTACTTAGGGTGGATTTTTAAATATTAATTCTGATTGATGTTGATATTTATCAATATTTTGATATCGACACATTTAAATTGTTTAAATATTGATGGTTTTGCTGATTTTTGGTATTGATGATTTGTATTATATATTTAAGTTTTTCATAGATTCTCTATTTTGTGTCATTTTTAGAAAAAACTTCCTCACTCTGAGGTAATGAAATAATTTCCCCATGTTTTTTCAAGTATTTTTATAGTTGTATGATTTTTATATCTTTGTCCATTTGGAGTTTGTGTCATTGTTTGGTTTAAGATACAGATTCAATTTCCTTTATCTCTGGATAATTCTTTTCTAGATGGCTACTCAGTGGTCCCGATCCCATTTATCGAATATCCTCAAGGTACCACCTTTATCATATCTGAAGTCCTGTATGTACCAAGGTCAGGTTCTGGATTTTCAACTTAATTCCCTTGGTACATCTGTCTATCTATTTTAATTCCTGCGGCTTCAGAGCATATGCTCTGCTGCTTTGGTATCTGACAGAGCAATTCTCTTTGCGTGGCCCTCATTTTTCAGGATTTTTAAAATTTCTCTTTTTAATTTTTAACATGAACTTTAAATTACCTGTTCATTCAAAACATTGTATTTTTTTCAGATTCATTGAATTTGCAAATGAAGATAGAAAGAGCTTTCATTACTATAATATGATGTCAAGTATTTATTTTCAACATCATGGTGTGCCTCTCCATTTGGTCAAGCCTTGTTCTGCAGCCTTCAGTAGAATTTTCAAGTTTTCTTTGTTTAGGTGTTTCCTATTTTTTATTAAGTTTAGTCCTAGATGTTTTACCTGTTTGTTAGTATTGTAAATAGGCTTTTTTTCTTTCATATTTTAACTGGCATTTTTTTGTATCAATGACAGCTATTGCTTTATATCTATAAATTTCCCATCCTACTATTTTTCTGAATTATTTATTATCTGTAGTAATAGTTGACTTACAGATTTTGTTTCTATAACCATATCATCTCCATCTTGCTTTCACATTTTTATACCACAATGAAATTTTTTTAAAAAAATTGTATTGTCTACTACTTCTAAAACAGTGGTTATCAACCCCATTACAGTTCTAATTTTAATATAAAGAAAAAATACAGGGGAAGTCGTTTATAATAAAACAGCTTGAATTTCAAATGTAAATAATGATAATAAATAATAAATTAGTCAAATATTTCCACCCAATTATAATAAGTTTATACTTAAGAGCATCAAAACAATATTTCATCGTATTTATCACTATTCTATAATTGGGTACAAAATTAGAGCAAGGGCCAGCTACATAATTTGCAGGATCCAGGGCAAACTAAAAATGCCAAGCTTCTTATTCAAAAGCAGGAAAAATATGCCGGTAAAGGTACCGGCTCTTGGGTATCCACTCCTTCCCACTGCCAGATTGCAGTGTCTGGTCCAGCTGGGGATAGGGAAATTGATCCAATGTCTTCCCCTCCTATGGGACTGCGGCCCCAGCTCATGGAGGATGAGTGAACCCAATGGATATTGCAACCTCTGCACCAGGATGCACTGGGCATCTGGATGAAGAGTGGGTCAGAGGCTCACCCCTTCCTAGATGCCCATGGAAGGTGCCCGGGTGCTGTTAGTGCTGGGCAGGGTTGACTGCTGCCACTCCCTACCCAAGACACCACGAGGCACATGCACACAACCTTGCCCTTCCCTGTGCCCATGTCAGGCCCCTGTGGGGACAAGGGGCTGCAGTGATCTCTGGGCCAGGGTTGGGAGGAGGATTCCAAGAAGGGCGAAAGTCAGCAGGGCTTGGGGAGCAGGCCATCAAAATCTCTCTGAGGGTGATGGGGAGGTGGCAGAAGCTGAGACTGCTCTAGTGCTCCAAACCTCCAATCCCCCAACACATGCTCTGCTGTCCCATAAGACTTTACCTAAACAACACACGTTCAAAGATAAAATCCTTAAAAATTTCAAGATGGCCACTACAGAACACTAAAGGTCAATCATTTGGCTCTTCTGAGCATGGGGCCTAAGGGAACTGCAGAGGTTACTGGTCCACCAAGCCAGCCTAGACCCAAGGGGCGGTTTACAGAAAGGGTGTCCCCTACAATGATTCTGAAATCTATGTGAAGGTATTTTGGGTTGTTACAATAATTTAAGAGTGCTGTTGGCATTTAGAAGGCTAGGGATATTATGCATCCTGGAAAGTGCAGAAGAAAATCTCCTACAATGAAAACTTACAGTATTCCCCCAAAGACTTTCAAATATTCCCAGTCATATAGATGAAAACCAGCTCATAAGTGTCTGAGTCTAGAACATAACTGTTTAACATATGAATTCTAAGTCTTTTTGCAGTTTTAATATATTCTGAGTTTTCAAGGAAAGCAACTGCTAAGTAAATTGAGAAGAGGTTATACTTTGTGTCGTTCAGAATTTCATTAAGAGTTGTTTAGCATTTGAGGAAATTCTCTCTCCAGTGACAGAGATTCTCCTGTTGTTTGAGTCACCAGATTTCTTGGCAGTCACAATTACATTGATCATATAGACTTACATTTATATAGATGTAACTATGCTTATTTGTCCTTTGTATCGAAATATTGAGTATAAGGAACAGTAATGACAATGTTCAGTGACAATATTTTGTCTTATTTCCAACTTATTTATTATAATTAGGCATATACCTGTGAATATGAATATTTCATTTTGTCTTCTAATGAAATTGTGTTCCAAGCATTTGCATATAGAATACAAGCCATTTTAAAAATTAATTATACTTTCTCTTTATTTCTACTTTTTATTACACTGTGGGCACAATACTTACTAAAACTTTTTTCTGAAATTTTGTGTGGAGCTAGATTTTTATCTTTGAATTTCTTTCCAGGACAGAAGCGTGGTCATACCTAAAGTATCCTTGTGTTTTTCCTGACTTTAGTGGAAAGGCGTTTAGTGTTTCTCCATGAATAACATATATTAGCTTTTGAGATGAAATAGATACATTTCACTTGTATTATTGCATAAAACCTTTTAAGTCAATAATGGATATTAAATTTTGTCAGATACCTTTTTACCATCATTGGAGATGAAAATATGATATTTTTCCTTTAGACCTAATTGACATGCTAAATTAGATCAATAGATTTTCTAGTATTAAACCATCCTTGTTTTTCTGGTATGTACCCTACTTAGGCATCCTTACTAAGAGCTACCTCATGAGTGAACCTGGGATGTCGAGGTGCTAGGTTGGGCCAGGCCCCCTCACTGTGTAAGGCCCTCACTCCTGCACATTAGCATCCAGAATGCATTTCTCATTTGTGGCTTGGTAAATTCATAAACACCTGCCGGTGCCAGGACTCGGCTGTTAAATCTGCGAATGTTCCAGAGATTGACCATATATTCTGGGATAACAACAGAGCATCTGCTGACAAAAATGATTGGGGAGACTGAGGACATCTCTATACAGTCTCCTGTAAAAGGTCTCTGAAATATTGTTTCTAAGACCAGTTATTCTGGAAGCATATTCTCTTGCAAACCCCTCCCTGTGTGTGACCTCTCTGCAAAATGTAAACAAGTGGAGTGGAGAGAAAGTATCCACTCCAAACAGCTCAGCACCACTGGAGGCACTTCTTCCTGCACTCTTGGCTTAGGACAAAGGGACAGATGGTGTGCAATCAATCAGACAAGCGACTGTGACATCACCATGTCTACATACAGCTTTCTCAGGCAACACTCGATTTACATTCCCAGCAGCCCCCAAATCAGTACAATCATTATTCCACACTGCCCTCTAGCACCTGAGATTCACAGTTGTTTTGGGATCCAGTACATGATCAATAAAGGGCAGAGCAAGGACTGGGCTCTGGCCCACATCCCTTCACTGGAGATGCTTTCATTGAATGTGTACATTTTCCAAGGTCTCTGAGCATAGCTATGGTACGGAATGCCCTCAGGGTGTGTGTGTTGAGTGGCGGGCTGTGTAGGGTGCCATAGTGGAGGAGTGGCTGCAGCAGTGTGGAGGGAGATGGCAGGATCACAGCTGAGAGAGGCATGGGAGAAAGAGGAGAGGGTGCACAACTCGGGGATGCTCTTTCCAGGGCCTTTCTAGAGCTTGCAAGCTTCTTGCCATCCTGTGGGTTCCAGTAAGTATTCCACATGGCTCTCCAGCTCCAGATCCAGAAAGGAGGGAGGAGGAAGAAAAAGAGGGAGGCACAGAGACTTCGGGAGGAACAAATACATATATTTAATTTTGTTACCTTAAAAAATTTTTTAAAGATAAAATCTTAATTCTCAGACAAATATGCTGTAAAAAAATAATATAAAAAACCCATGTAGGGCCGGGAGCAGTGGCTCACATCTATAATCCCAGCACTTTGTGAGGCCTAGGAGGGTGGATCACTTGAGGTTAGGAGTTTGAGACCAGCCTGGCCAACATGGGGAAACCCCGACTCTACTAAAAATACAAAATTAGCCGGGCGTGGTAGCATGTGCCTGTAATCTCAGCTACTCAGGAGGCTGAGGCAGGAGAATCGCTTGAATCTGGGAGGCGGAGTTTGCAGTGAGCCGAGATCGCACCACTGCATTCCAGCCTGGGTGACAGAGTGAGACCCTGTCTGAAAAAAAAAAAAAAAAAAAAAAAAAAAAACCAACCAACCATGTGCAACTCTTGTAAATTTTTTTTCCCTTTGCTTTCTCATTCTTTCTTACTCTGTGTATATATACGTGTGTGTGTGTGTATGTACATACACCCATATAAATACACATACAAACAGTAGTTTTGAACCATTTGAGTATAAGTTATACCATGGCTTGTCCCCTAAACATTTCAATGTGCATTTTCTAAAAATAGGGATAGTCTCTTATATAACCACACTAGGGTTAACAACCTCAGTAAATTCACCACTGTCACACTGACACAGTAATTTCTCTGGTTGATTGTACATATCCCAGTTTTGCAATTCACCCAATAGTGATCCTTAGAGGCTTTCCCCCTCCTTTCCTTTTGCTTTCATGTCTCTTTAGCCTTTTTTTATCTGGACAATTTCCACCTCCTTTCTTTTTTTCTTTACCCAACTGATGTTTTTGAAGGTATCTCATTTCTTTTTATTTAAATTAAAAGGTTATTTCCTCCTGGTCTGAGATAGGTTGTGCATTCTAGGCCAAAACATTGTCTACCTTAGAGAGACAATTGATCCTGTTACAGCTACATTTTAACATAAGATAGTGTTTCAGAGGAAGGTGGGGAGGTAAAAGGCCCTCTTTTACTGTACCAAGCCACACTGCAGGGGCTTCTTCAGAAATCTTCTTCAAGTTCCTATGCATCAAGTTCTACTCGGCCCCACCTCACCCACTTCATCCCCCCCAGTCCCCCACCTCAGCCTCATCTCTCACTGGGGCTCTTTGTTCCCTGAGCTCCTTGCCTTAACCACGACTAGAGAGTGTGCTTCACACCCTGGGGGCTTCCACACCTTTGCCCCCATTGCTTCCTGTGCTGGAGGGACTTCCCTCCTGGGATCCACTGCCCTATTCCCAAGGAGAGGCTGCTTCTTATTCCAAGTCGTCCTGCATGGCCACCCCTCCACAGAACCTCTCCTCTTTGCCTCAGTCCAGGGTAACCACCATGCTTTCTGTCCATTTTATTACCTTTCTCAATTCCTGTGTTTATCTTCCCCTACTAGACCATACGTTTTCTAGGGATAAGGAACATGTGCAATTTATCTGTAATTAATTCATCTGTAATTAATTTATTTGTAATTTTGGCACATAGAATAAATATTCAACAAATGAATGTATTAATTAATAAATAAATTAGTAGTTATGTGTCGGTGACAAACTTCATCATTTGGCTCAGGGCAGGTTTCCATTATTTAATGACAGGAGAGGGTGATTGGATCAATTGCCCTTGATTGATCATTATGGCCTTAGAGAAGGAATCACCAATAAATAGTCAATTCAGCCATATACCTAAAGTTGGTTAGGGTTATAATTACTGCTCCCAAGTAATTTCACGGTTTCAGAAGTCTGACGTTTGGTGATAAAGGCTGTTTATTTACTTTTCCAAGAAAGCTCATCACATATGCAGTATTGACCTTCTCCTCTGGAAACGTCATTGTAACAGTCACTTATTCATTAAGAAATGATTATGTTATGTTTTACTTACATCTGACTCCTTATTCTAATACACAAAAATCAGGTTACTTAAAACATAAGAAAACACATTCATTTATAGATATTGGACAGCAACTAGGTTTATTGTTTCAAATTAGGCATTTATCTTCCTTTTTCCTATTGCAAGCCCCATATAACATAATTCGGTATGGCACGTGGGATTTACCTGTCAGAACTTCATTACTTTCAATACATAGAACTTGCTGGCTGGTGTGACTGTTTATCAAAACCCAAAAATGGTCCAACCCAGAAAGACAGACCTCTTCTTATTAAACATTATTTAAGAATTACACTTGAGGCTGGGCACAGTGGCTCACATCTATAATCCCAGCATTTTGGGAGGCCGAGGCGGGCGAATAACCTGAGGTCAGGAGTTTGAGACCAGCCTGACCAACACGGAGAAACCCAGTCTCTACTAAAAATACAAAATTAGCCTGGCCTTGTGGTGCATGCCTGTAATCCCAGCTACTCGGGAGGCTGAGGCAGGAGAATTACTTAAACCTGGGAGGCAGAGGTTGTGGTGAGCCAAGATCATGCCACTGCACTCCAGCGTGGGCAACAAGAGCGAAACTTCATCTCAAAATAATACTAATACTACTACTAATAATAAAATTACACTTGAATTTTTTTCTATTTTGGCAAAATAGATTCATTTTATCTTTTTAAGTACAGTGACAATTCGCTCACTCCAACAGGCAACTATTTAGCACTAATTAGGTCCAATGTTCTAAGCATTGGCCATGCTCCAGAAGATTGAATCAGACATGATCTTTCCTCTAGGGGAGCTTACACTCTATTGAAAGAGAAGCCAGTATAAATCAATCACTTGCTTATCAATTTCCCAGCAGTTACTCTATCTATCCTGTACTTATGTTAATCACACTCTCCCTTCTCCTTCACCAAAGCATCCATCATTTGGCAAACCAGTAGGACCCTGACCAGTTCTCTCTCCCTGGACTACGATTTCTTTGAATGCACACTTCCCCTGGATTTGCTCCTTTCCTGTTCTCCCACAGCATCTGTGGGGTTTACTATCTCAGAACTTGCTTTACTGTGTTCATCTATTATTGTCTCTTTCCCAAACTCAATGAAGGGTAATGTGAGAAGACAATTGTTCTTTTCAGTTTTTCATCCCCAGTGTTAAGGGACACACATCTGGGCACAATAAATCTTTGCTGGATGGGTGGATGGAAGGACAGATGAGGTGAGCCTCAGCTGAGTCTCCAGTGATGATGGGGATCAGCCCGCCAGGAAGGCAGGGAAACAAAAGACAGGTGGAGAGGCTGGGACTTTTATTAAATCCCCAAATCCTTATGGTAAGCATGGCTCTAAAATTGATGATAATTGTGCAAAATAGTTGTCTAGAGAGGCTGTCTACTTATTTCAGGGATTCTGTCATGTTTCTACAGTTTGGGACTACCTCTGGGAAAACTGATTCTAAGTCTGCAGCACATTCTTTTGCATTCTTTTGAAAGTTTTCGATGCTGGTGAATCTTTGGGTCTTTGATTGAAATTTTGTAAACAGATCCAAGACATTTCATGTAGCAACTGTTTGCTGAGTCTCTGCTTCTTAGAATACTTCCAGGCACATAGTAGGTATTTCAAAATGTCCATTGAATGAAAACATTCTTGTACTTCCAAAACAAGTGTGACTAAAAATAATAACACTGTTTTTTCATGTGACTCAGACTGGATCCAAAAGCTAGTTCCCATGGAATGTCCCAAAAATGTTTGAGGGAAGATAATGTTTGAATTAGACACTGCCACTGTATTAGTTCGGAGGCTGCTATGAATAACTACCTGAAACTGGGTAATTTATGAAGAAAATAGATGTAATTGACTCACAGCTCTGTAGGCTGTACAGGAAGCATGGCTGGAAGGCCTCAGGAAACTTACAATCATGGTGGAAGTTGAAGGAAAAGTAAGGCATGACTTCACATGGCCAGAACAGGAGGAAGTGAGTGAAGGGGGAAATGCTACACACGTACTTTTAAACAACCAGATCTCATGAGAACTCTATCAGGAGACAGCACTAAAGGGATAGCGCTAAACCATTAGAAACATCCCCTCCCCCCATAATTCAATCATCTCCCATGGGGTTCCTCCCCTAACAATGGGGTTTAAAATTCAACATGAGATTTGGGTGGGGACACAGAGTCAAACCACATCAGCCACCTAAATAATCCCTTCAAAGGACAATCTGGATTAATGATAATTATGGAAATATTAATCTTATATACTACAGTCACAGTGTAAATAGATGTTTAATATCTATCTTTAAATGAATGCATGAATTGACTCAGCATTAGAGTTCTGAACAGGGTTATTAAGAATTTCTGGAGGTATAGGTGGAGGCAGAGTGAAAATGATTTGTTGTATGAGATTCTTAAAAGTTAATTTCTTTATTGAGAAGCTTCTAGAAAGAGGAAGTAAAGATTCCTAGATGTTTGCTGGTAAAGAAGCATAAGTGAACAGCAGACACAACTTTTTTTCTACCTTTATCCAGGGAAATTATACAAGTGGCTTTCTTGATGGAAAGAAGAGAACCAGACTAAAAAGGGCTATGCTTTTGGTGATGAAGATGATAATTTTTCATGCTATGTTTTTACTGGTAAATAATTCACATACCAAAATATTCAGTTATCTTTCACTCCTATCCTTTCTTTCAAAGCCATTAGCAATTCTGTTGGTACCACCATAAAAAAATTTATTAGACTGCTTTATCTCCTGAAAGTCCCATCCATCAACATTTCCATTTGACTTAATGACCGGAAGATTGGAAAATGCTGCTCTAGTCTGAGTAGTTTATAGAACTTCCTCTTTTTAAACTTTATCACATGGCCTGTTGTCATGTTTTTATTATGTCCCTAATTACCATTAGGTCTTCTGGTCATTTCTCATCTTCAAATGTCTGCCATGGTTATCTCTGCCTAGGAAATACCTAATCATTTCCCCTCCGATGTTTATTTTTCTCAAAAAGTTTCCTCATATGAATATGGTCTGGTGGTTTTAAGAAGATATTCTGAATTTGTTAATTGATTTAAAGCCACATTCTCCCTCTCCCTTTGTTACAGTGAGATAAATAATTAGAATATTGTGTTTTCCCCAAATGCACAGCAACAAAAGGCTGAGTGATTTTGAAACTCAGCCCCCTCAGTTTGTGAGAGCATCATTTGGTACATTCTTTCAGAACTAATTCTAGTTCTTTCTCTCATTAGACAAGCTTTGTTTGAAAAAAATATTATTTTCTATATTAAAATTACTTGATTATTGTTTCAGTAGAACAAAATATTTGTTTCACTGCTTGCTGGTGTGAGACTGTACTTCGGACTCAGGGGAGATTTTGTTTCTAGACTGCTTTTTTTCCTGCTTCCTATTTAGCCATATGCCTAGCTTTTGTGAAAAATGCATCACTCAGCCTAGATTATTTATTGCTCTACCACCAGTGTTGACTCCATCAGATAACCTGGTCTTCTTGGTCAATTCCTATGTCCTGGTTCATGTTTAATCTGTATCCACAGGACATTGGGAAGCTAGTGAAAGTCCGAGTCTGTTGGTACAGTTTATCTGGGGACTAGAAAGCAAGAGCTGTCAGGGTTGATGGGTGAGAGAGCACTTTCTCGGTATTTCTATCCTTTCCAGAGAAAAAGGATAGGTCACTAGGATCATGCTTACAAATCACCAACAATGCATGACTTCCTCTTAATGTAAGGCTAACTTTCATGTTTTGGAGTTATTGCACCTGTCTTCTTGTGTCCCAGATGGTCTTTATGGGTGGAGAGCCACTACTTCATGTATTTGCTTATCCAACATGGCCTGCAACAACGTCTATCACACAGAAGCTGTTCAATAAATATTGAAGAAGTAATTTAATAAAGACAAGAATTAATATAATTTGTTGATGAAAGATTGAGAAAGTAAAAAGTCTGTTAAAAAAAACAGTGACGCATGAGCAAATTTGGGGGGAGATTCTTGGAATGAGCAAATGTAGAATAAAGGAAGAGGAAAGAGTGATGGAGACAAAGTCATTTGCTTTACTATACTTTTTAAGGTTAAACACGTTTTATTTCAAATGGAAGAAAACTCCATTCTTGA
Organism: Homo sapiens; assembly: GCF_000001405.40. Classification (NCBI taxonomy): domain Eukaryota; kingdom Metazoa; phylum Chordata; class Mammalia; order Primates; family Hominidae; genus Homo; species Homo sapiens. Next base: position 107,204,386 of record NC_000002.12, read on the forward strand.
TTATGATAGACACAAAGGGAATATCATAAATTCCCAAAATGCCCATTCAGTAAAACACAGATTGGAAGCCCTGCTCAGGCTGGCCAGGCCTCTCTGTGGTCCCTCTCATCTGCCAGCCCAGGGGCCACTCTTTCTGGGTTCCATACTGACTCTCACTGTCAACCTTGGAAGTATCTTGGCCCCACTTCTGGAAAGTTTGGCTTTCTCTCTCACATGCAACTATGCAAACCCTTTGCACTACTCCTGTGAAATTCTCATCGATTTTCTTCAGCTCTGGTGGAGATCTTTTTTGGGGTAGGTACTCAATACCTGGCTCCTGCCTCTGTCTCAGGCTAAAATCAATTGCTTCAGCCTCACCTCCACCTGCTCCACCAGGTCCTATCCCTACCAGTTGGACCTCCCCACATGGTTGTCCCATTCATACCAGGTGGACCTCCATACTGGTAGTTTTTGGCTCAGCTTTATTCACCCCCAGGCTTTGATGCATCTTATATTTCCTTTTCTATTCCTATCTGTCATAGATGTTTTCAGTCCACTTTTGGGCAGATGATTCCTTTTTCTTCTAAAGACGTCTCTCCCTGCCAATCTTTAAAACCCCACACAAGACAGAAGTGTAGCAGAACTGAATGCAAAAGTGCAAGAATGTTGGTTACCTGCAGCCCAGCCTTGCCCTGGAAGGAGCCACCATGTAGGTAACAGGAGGATGAAGACCTGGAGGGATCTTCCCTGTCAGTGTGCAAGTTTAGCAGCAGAGGCTGGTTGAAGAAGAATACGGAAGAAGGAAGGTCCTATTACTAGAAAGGGGAAGACAAGGCTGGGAAGCCAGCAAAATGGAGAGAACCTGTTAACAGTGTGGACTGATGCAACTTTTGGGAGTGGAGTGGCCAATATGTGTCTCAGATGATGATGCCTATAAGACAGCATTTCATTTCTATGAAGTAATCCATTTTTAGGACTCCTCTGAAAATGTTAATTGCACTCTTAGAAATACTTCACGTTAATGGATTGTTTGAAGGAAAATACTACTCCTAAAATATAGGCTCTTTTAAGAAAGTAAGAACCCAGGAATTTGCAAAGACTAAGCAGGAGGATTTGGGTTTTTGTAAGGCTTGGAATAGGTTGATCAGGGTGGAAAGGTGATCTGTGTATATAAGTGTCTACATATGTACACGTGCACATATGTATATGATTGCTTTTTTGGGCAAAATACTGAATTTAAAAATCAGTACTTGGCTGAAGGAGATGATAAGTTTAGTGTAGCTTCAAAAGGTAAATTTCTGATATAAGAATAAATCTGAATTTTAAGATCTATTATTCTTGATTTTATTAGTTTAGTAGTCATATTTTTAAAGCTGGGCATCCTGGTACAGGAATAATAATTGCTAAGCATCATCAGCAGCTGGATTGCCCCGAACTCAGTGCATTGCATCTTTAGAGTATCAGAAAGGACAGATTTTCATTGAGATTAGTGGGGACAAGATAATTGGGGTACCACTATTTTCTCTAGCAGCTCCTTCTCTTTTTTTGCATTATTTATATTATTTATGTTATCTATATGCTTTGACTAACTGATGGAACGCACCATGTCGGGGGCTCAAGGAAAAGTCACAGCTGATACCTTAGCACCTCTGGAGCAAAAATGAATTGCACTGCAAAGCTGGCCCAACTTGGAGTAAGGATCTGGACTTTGTACCTCTGTGTTAGTCAGTCATAGGCTGCAGGCTGGTCCCAGGGGTTGGGGTTGGATGGGGATTTGAGGGGCTGGTGGATGTGGGGAGTGACTCTATGTGTGAGGGGCTCCTGTTTGGCCAAGTGTGATTCTCCTAAGAAGAGGAATTGGAGGGTCCTGTGATCCCTGAATAGCCAGCACTCTCAGTGGAATAGTTGGGCTGGCGAGGTAGACAGGGAGGACAATGACTTAGTCATTGTCACCTCCCTCCCTCTTCGACCTATCTTCACACACCTTGATCAAGAACCCTCCTCTCTTCCTGTTTACTTGTCTCTGCACCAGCTCTACTGCTTCTTACTGCCAGGCACAAACTGCTCCTCTGAACTTTATGTGAGAGCTGTCTAATCATGTGCAGAATTATAGTGTCTGTTGATGAGGTGTTATATTTTAATTAATACACTCCATAAGCTCATTATCTTTTTTGGCAATCACATCTCACTGGTGACTTGCACTGTGAACACAAATTTTGTTCCTATGTGCTACAGGGAAGCAATATTTGTTCCACCTTGCATTTCTAACTTTTTTGTTGTTGTTGGACCCAAGAGCAGATCATGTCATCATTCCCTATTAAATTTGAACTTGTCAGATTTTTCCTATCATTTTATCCTGATAGCTCAGATTCAATAAACCAATGCACTATTTGCCTGTTGAGCTTTTAAAAACTCAGAAACATAATGATTATGTCTTTAAAATGTAATACAGGTTCTTTAGCTTGTCTGTAGAAACTTCTTTCCATATTGGCATCAGTCCTTTAATCACCTTAACCATTTTTGTGGTTGCAAAGCTAACTGCAGTTCACCCAATAGTATCATTCAGCTTATACATCTCTATTTGCCCCTAAAATAGCATAAGGGACCACTTCAGATTGAATGCTGTACTAGGGGCTGAGCACGGTGGCTCATGACTGTAACCCCAGCACTTTGAGGGCTAAGGTGGGTGGACCACCTGAGGTCAGGAGTTCAAGACCAGCCTGACCAATATGGTGAAATCCTGTCTCTACCAAAAATACAAAAATTAGCAGGGTGTGGTGACCTGAACTTGTAGTCCCAGCTACTTGGGAGGCTGAGACAGGGGAATTGCTTGAACCCTGGAGGCGGAGGTTGCAGTGAGCCGAGATTGCACCACAGCACTCCAGCCTGGGCGACAGAGCAAGACTCCATCTCAAAAAAAAAAATAAAATAAATAAATGCTGATCTAGAAATATATAATGCCTATAGCATTTCTACAACCTAGCAGTTTAGAAATCTTGTTAAAATAAAGTGTGGATAATATGACAAGACTTGTTCCAGACCTCAGTGATTCTTTCCTTTTCTGCTTACTCATAAAATATCTGGGACAAAAGCTCACATATTGTATGGAAATTTATTTTCCCACCTGAAGTTTTGATAATTTGAGTCTACAAAAAGCTGATAATAGACAGATTAATAAGAGAAGAATGTGTACACATTTATTAATGTGCATATGGACACAGAAATCATACAAAATATGAAAACTCAAAGATGGGCCTTGATGATTAACACTTAAATATCCTCTTCATTGGGGAGAGGGACAATGGGGTGGGGTAGTAGGAGTAAATGATTTTTAGGGAAAGTAAATGAGGCCAAAGAACAGTGATGTGGGCCACATTTCTCTGGGCTATAGGGGAGGTAGCATCACAGGTTATAGGAGAGTCACGGGAGAAAAGCATGTCAAGCAAAGACTGACTTGTTTGCAGATGAAAGTAGCTCAGGGAATCTTGGAGCTGCCTTAGAAAGGATCAATGGTAGTTTATTCCACCAATGTAGATGTTTTTCTTGAGATGCAAAACTTTTCCACAAAAGGCAGCTTCTCAGGGCAATTCTGGTCTGCAGGGCCTCCCTTATTTGAAACTTTATTTTTAGTATGTTTCACATATTAAAGTAGGATTGTTAGCAATAGAGAGATGTGGTTAGAGATTGTGAGATAAGAGATTAGCGAAGGGGGTTGGGGGGTATAGATTGGAACAAGCAGCCCATATCTTTTTAAATCAGTCTTTTAGTTCTGAGAATAGATCAGTTCAGTTAAATAGCTGTGTCCCATTCCAGGAGTTGGCATTGCAGATGGGCTTTCAAACCTAAGCCTCTATTATGATGCAGGCAAACAAATCTTCGATAAGAGGCATTTCTATGGAAACAGAAGAAAAAACAAAGGTTAATGACTAGACTAGTGTATAAGCTAGATTTCCTAGAGTTTCTAAGGCATCTTCAGTTGGAGAGGGCCAGCAGTCACAAGCTGTTACACTTTTCTGGATTGTAGTTTGAAACAGGTGTTCCAGGGAACTGAGTAGTCTATACATCAACAGGCACAAAGGCAATTTATATACAAGTTCCTGTAGTGCTTTCTCCTGAATTGCATATCAATTTCATATCTAGCTTCAGTCTGAAGAGCTCTAAGAAATGAACAGTTTTAATTTCTTGTGATTTCAAGTCAGAAAAGTTGGAAATGTTAGTCTGGAGAGTAACAGCCAGATATTGGAGTAAATGTAACATGTTAAATGATGAGTTAATGGGTGCAGCACACCAACATGGCACATGTATACATATGAAACAAACCTGCACGTTGTGCACATGTACCCTAAAACTTAAAGTATAATTAAAAAAAATAAATTGAGCAATACATACAAAAAAAAAAAAAGAATTAGTCCAGGTAATAAAAAACAAACTAACAGAAACCCTCAAAAATAATGGATGGGGCTAGAATCTAATAATAAGTGCACTATACATTTTTTTCCTGAAATATATATGTATATATACATATATATTTTCTCTCTCTACTACCCTATTTTTACCAAAGATAAATCATGGTAAGACTAATCTATTTGCAAAATAAATTGCCTTTGGCCTGATTATTTACATAAATTTAGCAAGAATAGTGATTTATCACATATGCTCTTTTCAAGTTGGCCTTGCTGAAACATTTTAAGAAAAATTTTAGATTAGGCCAGGCATAGTGTTCTAAGCCTGTAATTCTCGCACTTTGGAAGGCCAGAGCAAGAGGAGGCTTGAGCCTAAGAGTCAATGACCAGCCTGGAAACATAATGAGACTCCATCTCTATTTACGTAAAAAGAAAAACAATTAGATTGGACTTTTTAAAAGCCTCTCAAGACTAGGAAGCCAAAATAAAAATTTGACTTGTCCTCAGGCTGTGTCTGAAATATCTGTACAAATTGAGTAAATATCCCTCTTCCCAAGGTTGTCCTCAAAATAACCTGAAGTTCCTGGGCCTGTCAGAAAGTGACATTCTTTACTTAGCACAAGGTCAGGAGCCCTGTAAGGGAGCCACATAGACAAGACACTGGGCCAGTCTTTTTTCCAAGTTTACTGACTTTTAAGTCAACCTCCACTTCTCAAAGAAGCCTCATCATATCTGAAAATATGACATTACAATCAAAGTCTTGGTAAAAATCCAGTGTCTCCAATTGTGTCCTGTTACAAAAGAAAAGACATTGTTATTTAACTTATGCAAATAATTATATTGCCTTTAAAAGTTCTTGAAAAGTTTTCAAGACTTTTTGATTCCTTAGGGATCAGTTAAAGAGAAAGGCAAATGTTTCAGTTTTGCTCATGAAAGTATATTTTGCCCAATTACTGCAAGCTATAGATAGCTTAAAGGGAAAACAAAGAGTTTTCTTGACCCTGGAAAACAAAACATAAAAAGAGTCAGCAATGTTTCAAACAAAAATGTCATAAAAATTGTTTTCAATCCTCTGTTCTTTCAGTTCTGTATAATTAATTTTTTTTGGTCATTCTTAGGTTAGCAATTTTATGAGTCCATTCTTTTTTTTCATTTGAGTTTTTAAAATTCTTATTTAGTCCAATTGTGTTATCTTAACCTTGTAAGAAACCTGTGTTTAAGAGTACTGATAGTCTTTCTCATGAACATCTTTAAAGACACAGCACTTTAGGATTTGCAAAGAGCTTTTAGAAAAAAAAAGGCATCATCATAAACCTGTGGACAATAAGACAAAATGATCATGGTTAAAAATGCAATTGACAAAGAAATTTGATTATTTTCTCTGGCCTACAACAATTTAGCAAAATAGCCACAATTATGATTGATTACATGTACCAAGATAAATCAAATGTTTAGGACTCTTGTACAGTTTTGAACACATACTAATGATGTATTTGTACAAATATAACTCAAAGGTTAAGCATCATTTCTTGTTTGACAATGCTTCCCATAGGACTTTAACATACACAAAATAAGCCTAATATCTCTCTGTCGGATTTTCAGGGATGCATCTGGAGTATCTAAAATTTAGTTTTAGGTCCCCCAAAGTTTAGAGTTGTGAATTTGGAAAGCTTGTCAAATATCAAAGGTTTAAAACATTTGATCAAAATAGGATTACAGATTACTGTAAAATAATAGTCATTCATTTAGGCAAAATGATAATGAAAAGATTTCAAAAAGAAAAAAACCTTTACTCTTTGAAATGGAAGAGACTCAGATTCCAAGTAATCAAAAGATCTAATAAAGACAGCATGAGGGCCGGGCGCGGTGGCACACGCCTGTAATCCCAGCACTTTGAGGGGGCTGAGGTGAGTGGATCACGAGGTCAAGAGATTGAGGCCATCCTAGCCAACATGGTGAAACCCCATCTCTACGAAAAATACAAAAATCAGCTGGGTGTGGTAGCACATGCCTGTAGTCCCAGCTACTATGGAGGCTGAGGCAGGAGAATCACTTGAACCCTGGAGGCGAAGGTTGCAGTGAGCCAAGATCGCGCCACTGCACTCCAGCCTGGGACAGAGCAAAACTCTGTCTCAAAAAAAAAAAAAAAAAAAAAAAAAGGAGCATGAGGCACACAGGATTTCTCTCTCTCTCTCGCCCCTCTTTTTTTTCCCCTGCAGTTTACTCAAAAGGTGAACAAAAATCTTTTTCTTACAATCTCTTATTAATACTACACAAAAATATTGTTTAAAAGAGAAGATCAATTCCTAAAGTCACATGAACTTGAAAAGCATTTGGACTATTTATTTAATTTATGACTACTTGTATATTTATAAGTCAATTTGGTGCCATGTGGACAACATACAAACACATGTATAGATATATACATACATGTAGACACCATATGCAACACAACACATATGTATATGTATATGTATCCAAAAGCCAAAGACATCAGGGGGTTTAACGCAAAAGAGAGAAGAGCTTTAGACCTAAGAGGAACCCATTCATGACTCTTGGGGATCTGTGAGGAAAACAGGGGATTCCAAAAAAGGGGGTCAGTGATGTCTTGACTGTATTCCTCCAGGGGTCTCAGGGTCACTACAAGTCCCTGCTAGATCCCTTCATGTGGTATCAAAGGTGGCAAAAAGGAGAAGGGGCAAAAATGGAAGGAAATGGGAGAACAAGGCTTAGAGGAGCCCATTTGGGGAGGTCTAAATTTTTCAAAAGAGCAATGAAATTTTAGTTAGCAGGAATTTGAGGAAAAAAAAAAAATCCAGTCAACTAAATGGTTCCCATGGGCAAAATAGCAGAGAACAGAGAAGGATACCTGCTGTTAACCAAACTGACTTGAAAATCAAACTCTTAAAACAACACAAAACAAAAAATACAACTTTTCTGAATATATTGGTAGTAAAACATTTTGTCCCGTGAGCATCTGGCCTTTCACTGGAGCAGAGAGAACTGTGGCTGCAGTGGGAATGCAGTGCCTCCTCCAGCCTCTGCTTTCTAGGAGGAGCCCACCTTGCTCACTCACTGGTTTGGTTCCTAGAAGCAAGGGGTGTGTCTTTCTGGCCCAGGGGAGTGATCTTATTCTCTCAATCTAAACCAAGGTTTTAAATCAAAGGTATACCTCAAGAAATGAATCAAAACCAAAACAAGTAAGTACACATGAGACTAAAACCAAAATGTCATTTATGGCTTTAATCAAAGTCTACAAAGAGGGAGCAAAAGCTGCAACCCTCCCAAGATCCATTCCACTCCCATCGACAGGTCAGAGAAAGGAAATGTTTTGCTACTACCTGCAAATGAGGTACAACTCATATTTCTGTCCAGCCCTATTCTCTAGGGTCTTGACTTCTTGGCTTGCCATCTGCACAAAAAGGCTGACAATTCCTGTGCCCAATAGATGGAAGATTATAAGAAACGAACAGTCAGTAAGAAAGAAAATCAAAAGCTGTTCATGGGGGTGGAACAGATTACAAATGGGTTCTCAACAAAACCAAGAATTATACAAGTAATTAAAACTACGCACATTCATTCTTATAAATGTTTCTTTCCTGAGCCAAAGGAATATATGGAAGCATTTCTTTAAGATGTTTATGTTTCAAAGACATGGTAAAGTGTACATCTACAGGGGCGTAGTTCTCTGACTAGAAATCAAATGTGGTCCAACAGTGATAGGTCTGAATTCTAACCACTAGACTACAGAGTGTAGAGTCTCTGCAGCAAATCTCACAGATGATGAAAGTAGGCAGTTTGAGCTTACAAAAGATTTTAATTTTGTTTCAAATACAATTTATGCTTTAGTTTAAAGTCTTTCCAAGGGTGTTTCTAAGCCTCTATTCTGTTTGTATCTTTTCATAGGTACCAATAAGACAGTTCTTTAAGATGAGAAGTCTCTAAAAAGGTTTTTAATATATTCAATTTATTTTAAAAGCAATTCCAACCAATACAAGAACGAATTTACATATTTTATTTTAATTCAAATTTAGAAAGAATAAAAGGACAAAAAAGATGCTTACCACCTTCACTCAATTGGGCTCTTTAGGGAGAGGTATTGGAAAACTGACCTGGTAGAGAAATTCTTACCTTTTTTGGAGAGCTGTTCATCAGTTGTCCCAAGATCACCTTCATAGGCTCCACAATGAAGAGAATGATTTGTTATCCTACTTACAGAGCCAAAACTCTAGGGAGTCAATATTTTCCCCTGAAGGCTTGATAATTTAAGCCTGTAAAAAACTGCTAATAGACAGATTAAAAAGAGAAAAGGGCACACACATTTATTAATCTGCCTAGGAACACAGGAATGAGACAAAATATGAAAATTCAAAGAAGGGGCTAGATGGTTGACATTTAAATATCCTCTTCATAGGGGAGAGGGGAGATGGGGGGTGTATAGGAGTAAATGCTTTTCAGTGGGGGCAAATGAGGCTAAAGAAAAATGTCATGGGACCCAGTTTCTTGAGGCTGTAAGGGAGGTAGCATCAGAGGTTATGGGAAAATGAAGGGAGGAAAGCATGTCAAGCAAAGACTGACTTGTTTGCAGATGAGACTATCTCAGGGCATCTTGGAGCTGCCTCAGGAAGGACAGATGGTAGCCTGTGGTTGAATTAATTTTTTCCTAGATCTGGGCCATGGTATCGTTGGGGATTCTCAGAGAAAGCCTGGCTGTTTATTCCATCAGTGTAGATTTTTCTCTTCAGGTGCAAAATTTCTTCACAAAAGGCAGTTTTTGGGGCAATTCCTGTCTGCACGCCCTCTAAATAGCCATCTTGACATAAGTCAAAGAAGTGTGCTTTGGGGTAAAATACATTCAGTTTCCTTTAGTAGTTAAGTTTATGTCCACTTCCTTTACCACCTTCAAAGACAGAGCCACACCTCTCTACTGGCAGCTATTCTGTATCTTTCCCATTCTTCACCCTTAACTAGAAATCACTGGTAGAGACTTGGTGATTTTATTTACAATTTCCTCAGTGACTATTCTGTAATTCACTTTTGGCGTAAAACATCAATCCTTTCAGCAGTACTTAGCAGTATTGTACACCAACACACACACACCACATACCACTTTATACATACTTTAATTCTGTCTTATAAGCGATTGTCTTATTTTCTTGCAGAGGAGGAAAAAATAATTTTTCTTCTAGCCTTGTAAGTTCTTAGTTCTGACCCCTATAATAAAGGACAGATTAACAAATGTCAACAGAAAAACCAAACTCTGCAATATATTTTAATGAGGTTTATTCTGAGCCAATGTGAGTGATCATGGCCCAGGGAACAGTCTCAGAAAGTCCTGAGAAAGTGTGCCTGAGGTGGTTGGGTTATGGGTTGGTTTTATACATTTTAGGGAGACCAGAATTGTGAGTAAAATCATTAACCAATGTATGGAAGCTATACACTGATTCTGCCCAAAAAAGTGGGACATTTCAAAGGGTCAGGGAAGGAGTTATAGATCATAGGTGGATTCTGAGGTTTTTGGATTGGCAATTGGTTGAAAAAGCTCTACAGACTTGAAGTCAGTAGAAAGAAATACGTGACTTAAGGTAAGCAGCGGAGGGGAGGTTGTGAAGGCCAATGTTCTTATTATGTAGATGAAGCCTCTTCATTTGGGTGGCAATCTTCAGAGCAAATAGATGGTAAATGTGTCTTTTCAGATCTTAAAAGGTGTCAGACTCAATCTCTTAGATCTGGGAAAGGTCTGGAAAGGGAAGCCAAGGCTGCATTTATGGAGAATCTCTACTGATACAAATTTCCCTCACAAAAGATGGTTTTGCAGGGCTATTTCAAAATATGTCAGAGAAAAGTATTTTGGGGCATAGTGTTTTGATTTCCTTCAGGGTTTGCTATCTGCAATGTGATGCTATACCAGACTCAGGTTGAAATTTGGCATCTTATTGCTATAAGCCATCTGTGTGGCCAGTCTTATGATTTCTATTTTAATGTTGATGCTGGTCACTTGTGTCTAAACTCCAAAACGGAGGAAGTATAATGAGTTGTGACCAACCTACCTTCCCATTATCGGTCTAAATTCAGTTTTTCAGGTTACTCTGGGGTCCCTTTGGCCCACAGAGTGTCCATTCAGTTGTCTGGGGAGCTTGGGATTTTATTTTTGGTATATACAAGAGAAAAACATACATATATATATTAACAAGTATATTGCATATGCACATATGCAGAGAAGTGGCATAGAACTCTCACTTATATAGCATCTTCAAATAAAACAACAAAGAGGGTGTTAAGGAGGCAAGTTATGACAAAGGGACAGGGAAAAGGGATAAACTAGAGTAAGGTTTGTTATGCAGATTTAAGTCCTTGCCTTCTCTAATGATAAGAGTATCTTGTAACTTCTTAGCCACCCCTCTCTTCCTGGTGCAGAGAGGCACCCTTACAAATGGAAGTCTCCTTTAGATGGAAATTTTCCTTACAAAAGATTAACTTCTACTCTATTTTCAGAGTTTCCGTTGTGTTTGAATAATCAGCTGAAAATAATTCTTTTGCCAAAGAGGCATATTTTGGGGATGGGAGACCATACTCTGGCCTCCAATATATTCAGTCTCAGAATCATTTCGAACAGTGAAGCTAACAACAAAGTAGAAAGATCCAGTTTTCCTTTGTCATCAGTCAGCTTGTTTCTGTTCAATTAAGTTTGGTCTAAAGCTGTCTCCATACGTATTCGAAATTTGGCCTAAAAGTTTCTCCATACATATTGAATGGTAACCCAACATGATGTGTAAATAGGCTATAACTTACTCATATAGCTAATAACTGAATCTTAGCCAACTACAGGCAGCCAACTGTGCAATGCAGGTTTAAATAATACCAGCTGTAATCAATCCAGCTGTTTTTGTACCTCACTTCAGCTTTCTGGAAGTCACTTTTCTTTTACTGTTCATCAAATTTTATTCAACTGTGTTACAGCCCTGGCGTTGCTCTGAATCTATTCTGGATCTTCTGGCTCTCCAGTTTGCTAATCATTCTTTGCTCAATTAACTCTATAAAATTAAAGTTATCTAAAGTTTTCCTTTTAACAAGTAGTGTTAGAAGTGGGATTCCAAGTAGACCTTCCAGCAACCCCCAGGAGCATGGCGTGATCAAGGGAGAGACCCGCCAAACCTCTTGTGTCCACTCTTCTCTCAGCAACTGGGGACTGTGGGTGAGTTCTCTCTTGGATTCTATAGCTCCACAAATCTGTGTTTTGAGCTATTTCAGTTTAACAAATTTTTTATCTGGACTGGGTTTGGAAGTCATGACAAAAACTGGCCCGGGTTCAGGAACAAATTGGATTCAATAATTAACTGGACTGGATCCAGTTAGGGGCCTCAGATGTCTGACTGGATGAGTCAAAAACTGGCTATAAATGGCAATTACTGCAGGGAGTGCAAAGTTTGGCTTTCACAAATTCACAAAGGGGGCCAGGCGCGGTGGCTCAAGCCTGTAATCCCAACACTTTGGGAGGCTGAGGTGGGGGGATCACTTGAGGTCAGGAGTTTGAAACGAGCCTGACCAACATGGTGAAACTCTGTCTCTACTAAAAATACAAAAAAATTAGCCGGGCATGGTGGCGGGCACCTGTAATCCCAGCTCCTCAGGAGGCTGAGGCAGGAGAATTGCTCGAACCTGGGAGGCAGAGGTTGCAGTGAGCCAAGATCACACCACTGCACTCCAGCCTGGGTGACAGAGCAAGGCTCATCTCAAAACAAAACAAAACAGAACAAAAAGCAGAAAACAAAACAAAACAAAACAAAACAAAACAAAGAAAAGAAAAGAAACGAAGGAAATTCACAGCGGATTTTTGTTGAATCCTCTTTGTTTCTTTTTTCTGTGTGTGCTTAGGTAGGGGAAAATTATTGGCTGAGTTGAACAAGGGGATCTGAGAGCTCAAGCCAAAATTTAATGTAAAAAGGGGATTCTTACTTTCTGAAGAACTGAGTGTTTGTGATATAGGAGTTAAGAAGAAATTATTTAGGCTGATAGTGAGGGCAAGGATGTCCTCAGTAAGGTTTTCCTTTTAAAGAAAAACAGCCCCCCAAATCATTTTCTTTTCTAACAAAGAGCAGCCTGTAAAACCGAGCTGCAAATATAGACAATCAAGCTGGAAGCTTGCACAGGTGAATGCTGGCAGCTGTGCCGACAGGAAAAGGATACCTGGGACTAGGCATGTTCAAAATGCCAGCTCCATCTTCCTTTCTCTTTGCCAGCCACATGTACGGTAAGGAGCAGATAACATGGTGCAGGCCAAGTGGAAAGCCCATTTGAATAAGAAGATTAGGGTGGGGTAGCCAGCTTCCCCACATGCTATGTAAATATTTCACCTGGTCCAATGAATCTGTGGGCCCTATGTAAATCAGACACCGCCTCCTCAAGACTGTCTATAAAATCTAGTGCACTCCACTGCAGGCCAGAATTCCCACCTGGGCGCCCCTCTCTCTCACGAGAGGGAGAGCTATTCTCCTTTCTCTTTCTCTCTCTCTCTCTTTTTTTTTTTTTTTGAGATGGAATCTAGTTGTGTCACCCAGGCTGGAGTGCAATGGCGCTATCTTGGCTCACGGCAACTTCTGCCTCCCAGGTTCAAGGGATTCTCCTACCCCAGCCTCCCAAGAAGCTGGGACTACAGGCACACGCCACCACACCTGGCTAATTTTTGTATTTTTAGTAGAGATGGGGTTTCAGCATATTGGCCAGACTGGACTTGAACTCCTGACCTCAAGTGATCTGCCTGCCTCAGCCTCCCAAAGTGCTGGGATTACAGGTGTGAGCCACCATGCCTAGGCTTTTTCTCTTTCTTTTGACTATTAAACCTCTGCTCCTAAACCCACTTCTTGTGCAGGTATCCTCAATTCCTTTGGCGTGAGATGACGAACCCAGGGTCTTTAAGCCAGACAATGACACCTCTTCATTTGACTTTCTGACTATGCAGATTATTATATGTATAAGTATTAGGCTCCAGAAACAGCAAGAACTTACAAAAATGGTGAAATCTTACTAAAGATAATTTACAATTTAAAATTACAGTGGATAATTCCAAATGAACAACACCGCACTTTAGGAAGTTTATGTAAAAATGAGGGCTCCCAAGTTAGGCTAACCAAGGGACACTTATTGATGTGCAGTATCTTTGTAAGCAATTATCATCCTGAAGTGTTGTGTCTTCAAGGAGGTTCATGGAAAGGATGGAAAGGACCCTGACAAGGACTCTTGAATATGGGTTTCTGATAAACTCTAGAATTATATCATTTGGGCTGGATAAGAATTCCCAGAACTCCAATAAATAAACTGACTGGTTTATAAAAGTGCTAATCCACAAAGGACAAAAATTAATTAAAATATCAAGGAAATACTTTGGCAGATTTTCATGCTAAGTCAACCAGTACTGAACTTGTTAAGATATGCAATTCAAATGAACTCCATGATCCAGATCAAATTACCTATGATAACTCATCTAGTAAACAGTGTTTTGGACTTGAATTGGAGAAATGAAATTGGTATTTAAGAGGATATAAATTGAATGTTAAGTGTGAACTCATGGAAAGCCTGGGCAGTAATCTGGATTTTCCTGTGTCCTTAAAGCTTTCATTATTAGAAGCTCTGTATTTCATGACTCATCATTTAAGAGATGAAATTATCCAAATTATGAAAAAATATTGGTGTACTGACTATTCTTAATTGTTAAAATGGTTTATGATCAATGTTTGGTTTGTCAAACCCATAATCCTGGGAATGCAGTCAAAACTTCAGGTATATTTCTGCTACGTGATGGGCCATTTGAACATTTATAGAGAAATGTCATTCAATTGCCATTTTCAGTGCGTATTTTCTCGTTTTATAGACGCTTCCTCATGCAAGAAATCCAAGGCTATAACAGTAGCTAAATGGTTTTCAGGAAATGTGTTTCTCTCATTGGGCATTTCTGCAGAAATCTCCAGCAGTATAAGTACATGTTTCACTGACTAAGTTGTAGAATTGTTAAATAAGTTATTACAGATACAATAGCATTAGGCAAAGCAAACTGAATTGGCTGGATTTCCATAGCTGAAGATATTGCAGATTAAAAACAATCAGATCCACTTCTAGTAGAAAACTTAAGTTGACCCCTTGCGAAATTGTCACTGGAAGGTCTGTGTCCCTAATAATAGAACCTCACGTATCTTTTACTCCTAAATTCTGATGTGAGTAAATGCTACGAAGCTTTAATGTATTATGCCAAACTGTGTTTTCACCAAGTAAAGGAAGCTTTTTATGATCCGCTGCCTGAGGACAATTAAACCCTTCACAATCTAGAACCTAGAGAGATTGGGCCTTCTGGAAACAATGTCAGAGAAAGACTTCCCTTGCCACTCACACTGTAGCAAAACTTCAGGACCTCCAACCATAGGCATGTAATCTCACAATTCAGAAAGGTCCCTCCAGACTCTTGGAATTGTATACTCACTGGAGACTCTAAGGTAAAGGAAGTTTCTCTCCAGAAGCAGGTGGCATCCTAAATGTGGTCAGCTTTCCCAAGATCATGGATCAAGACTGCTCTGATATCACACAATTCTTACCTCTTTTAATTTTTTTCTTGCTTATGCTTCTATGAGCAATATAACTGGAAAAGGTGCCTCATGTGTACCTATGGAGTACACTTTTATTTATGGAGAATTTTTCAGCCAACCTTATACATGAGCCAACTTATGTCTTGGTGGATGGAAGATAAAGGGCCAGTGTGGACTACGAATCTTAATGCTATTTTTGTTTCTACAGAATTGGTCAGAAACAGAACATTGGTCCTCTCCTCTTAACCTACATCACAGGTTAAAGAGATCATTGCCAGGTCTTTTCCTTTCTGGATGGACATCATTGTGTTAGAGCTCTTTTATTATAGTTTGGAGAAATTTTAAATGAGTCAATAATTGTACATTTATCCCTCATGGCAGGCTCTACAGCATATTCTACTGCAAAGGCTATGGTTGCACAATAGGCTTTTTAAAATTCTCTTGCTAAAGTTGTACTAGGTAATATAATTGCTGCAGATTACCCACTAGCTGAACGAGGAGGAATCTGTGCAGTTGCTGACACTTTTTGCATATGGATGAATACACTGGGTATTGTAGAGACTCGGTTTCATGGAATTAACCAACAGCCTGCTTGATTAAAGAGGGCAGACTCCTTATCTGGCATATTCTTTGAAGGATTTGATTTTGGTGGGTTTGATTCATGGAGACCCTGGCTAAGGAACATACTCCAAGCCCTTGTTATTATCCTCCTGAGAGCCATAATAGAAGACTTTCTGATGCTTTGTATTCTCTCAAAAGTTTTCAGTGTTTGCATGCAACCATCCTTAGAATATCAAATGCTCTGTCTTCAACTAGAATGACAAAATCTAAAAGAAATGCACAATCATGAGGACACTGTAACCTATGAATGATATGTTGAGATCAGAAGCCCCAAATGACGGTAACTGAGAGTAGTGCTAATGCCCTAAGTTTTGGTCATGCTCTCACATAGGAATTGTTAAACAGAATTATGAGTGGCCGGTGTTTTGGACTGAGCTCCCGCACTAGTTCCCACCAGACCAGACCAAACTGACATGGAGCCATTTCTGCTCAATGTCACATAGTCGAACTGAAACTTTCAGAAAGCAGATAGATCCCAAAACCAGAGCTGAGATCTAACAAGACTTGCAAATTTCACACTTCAACCAAATAAGACCATTTACAATGGTGGCAGAGTTACATCACTACCTAAAGTTTTTGTGAATATCTCAAAATTGAGAGATTGACCAAAAGAAGGAAATTTTTCAATTAAGTTTGGCCCATAGATGCCTCTATACATATTTTGAGTTTGGCCTAAACATTTCTCCATACATATTAAACTGTGACTTGATATATAAACTAACTGTAACCTACTCTTGTAAAACGGTAACCAAATCACAGCCAACTACAGGTAGCCAACTATTCAAAGCAGGTTCAAATAAGGCAAATGCCCCATTGTAACTAATTAGCTGTTTTTTCACCTCATTTCAGCTTTCTATAGGTCACTTACCTTTTTCTGTTTGTAAGTGTTATCCAACCATGTGACAGCCCTGGAGTCACTCTGAACCAATTCTGATTTTGAGGGCTGCCCAATTCATGATTCATTTTTTGCTCAGTTAAGTACTATTAAATTTAATTTTTCTAAAGTTTATCCTTTAACATTTCTAACAATGAGGCCACCACATCTTTGCTATTCTTGTTCTAAACATAATTTTAAAAAATAGTTTTTGAGTCATTTTTTTGGATGATGTTTTCCTAGTTACTTATAATTTTTTCATTTCAGATGGTCTTTCACTTGCTGTATCCCTAGTGTCACGAGGCTTCTCTTCATCATTCTCCTCTTTCTCTCTCTATTCCCTTTAGACAATAGTGATGCTCACCTACTCTTTCAGTCCCAGTCTTTCTTCATTGTTTTGATCCTCTTTCCACACGTCCCCCTTGGTCAAGCCACTAGACTCTCACCATGATTGCATTTCCAGCCCCCACACACGCTGTGCCCATGTGCACAGACACACACTCACATACACCAAACAACTAGAAGAGTTGTTCAAGAGTTCAGCCACCTCTTATTTCTAAACAGGTGCCACTCAAAAATGCATCATCTTTTTCTTTTTCTGTTTCTTTTTGCTTTTTTCCTGAGATAGTCTGGTTTTGTTGCCCAAGCTGGAGTGCAGTGGCGCGATCTTGGCTCACTGCAAGCTCCGCCTCCTGGGTTCACGCCATTCTCCTGCCTCAGCCTCCTGAGTAGCTGGGACTACAGGCGCCCGCCACCACGCCCAGCTAATTTTTTTTTTTTTTTTTTTTGTATTTTTAGTAGAGACGGGGTTTCACTGTGTTAGCCGGGATGGTCTTGATCTCCTGACCTCATGATCTGCCCGCCTCGGCCTCCCAAAGTGCTGGGATTACAGGCGTGATGCATCATCTTTTTCTATGATATCAAATGAATTCCTCTTCTCTTGACTGTTTTTGATGAATCTGATTTTCATGATATAATCCTCCCTTAATTCAGGTAACACTATTCTTGATAAACGAACTTTAGTAATAAAGTAAAATTTAGGTAATTGGGTAACCCCTTTTCTTGCACTGCATTTATTATATTTAGACTATTCCTTTGTGTTAATGTCAGAACTAAATGAAAGTGAGGGAACCAAACAGAGAATAACTACTAGGAAATTCATTAATTAGAGCCATGTTTATATCTTACTGTCAATTTTATTTGAACTAAATTATTGTAAGTTTAATGTGACTCTTTAAGTTTCTTATTAAGAAATAATATGCCTGAATTTCTGACTGTATGGGAGCACAGAAACCTTGCTCCAGAAGATTTAATAAATTAACTGAGCAAAGCACTGATAGCAATCCCTGACACATTGTAAGGGCTCAACCAGAGCTAGTTCATAAAATAATATATATTTTTTACTTCATCAGTATTTTCACATTATGAGAGGTAGTCACAAGATTTTATTTAATAAAGAATATGGTTATTTTACAATAATAGAGCAGGAATCTGAACAATAAATTTGCTGATCGACATTCTCCTGCTCTATCTTATGTTACTTATGATCTTTAATATTACATTTTAATGATTTACACTAGAGTTGACTATATATTTTAAAGTGTCAGTTATTACAGATACATTCTTGTATATGAAGCCCTATATATGGAGAGAAAATACATAACTCACCCTACAGAAGAATTCTTTATACAGAAAATCTACCTTTGGCTTCCTCTAAGTAACAATGTCTGCCAGAGTGGCAGCCAGTCCTTGAAGTCTTTGATACTGGTTCTTGCATAGATAAGGATCTTGGGCCAGAATGGTAAACAACATCCTGCTTTCTTCAAGAAAATCTCATTACTAACCAAATTTCAGATGAGTAAACAGCATGCCCAATGACAGAGCTGATTTACATTCTGGCCTTATTGCAACATGAGCCCAATTAGCAGAAACAAGCACTTCAAAAATTGGCATTGGTCTGCAGAACACACTTTGGAGCAGCATTGCACAGGAATGTTTACTAGACTATTTGAAATAAGTCAATTAAAATTTTGCCTCTTGAATAATGCAACCTATGAGTAAATGTGTACTAGAAGTGACAATAAACATGAGCATGAATTAATTTAGCAGAATGGCCATATTGAAATATTAGAAGTGATCAATGGCCATAAAAATATTTTGTCCCAAATCTCTGACTTTAATTTTCTGTATTGACAACAAAGGTTAGTTGGTTAATATTAAGAGTTGAGAATACTGAGTAAGTTTTGAAAAGTTTCATGAGAAGGAATTTGCTGTTTTATATCCATTAATCTTCATAAGGCTGGTAGCTGAAGAGAATTTTTCCAATATTAGTCAAGCATGAAATGACAAAGCTGATAGACAGTTAAAGCAAATAGCATTTTTGTTTGTATAATGACTTTTGGGGGATATTATTAATAACCATTTTACCTTCATTAATTAGAGGAGCTGTATTTCCTCTGCTGGGTCTCAGAATAGATAATGTGCTTTTAGATTTTCTTTCAATTTAAATATTCATTTGAATGAAATACAGAACACGGAAATTGGAGCATGATTTAACCTAACGGTGTCAGTCAATCATAATTAAGGGTAAATAGAAATGAGACCATTTTAACTAATTTATTTATATATGTATTTAAAAACATTTACTACATACTAGACCATTTCACATATATTATCTTATTTAAAACTCACAATAATGCACAGAATCTAAATAGCTGATACTCAGATTGAAACCAGGTATGACTGCTTTAGAATCCACCTTCAAACCATCCTCTTCCCCCACATTTTCCTAGGCTAGAACAGCAGCTGGTTTCAGTGTCACTACTGACATGAACCAAGGGTCTTTATATTCTACTCTATTCCCATAGAGTTATCTCACTTTGTCCCTTAACACAGCCTGTGCTCAGGTTTTTCATATTTCTCTGTATCTTCAAATTACTTACTTACATCAAATTTGTCTTTGATTCTATTCTTGAGAAATAAATTCTTATGGAAAGCTTATAGAAGAGGAATCTGGGGTTAAGTAAGCCGTCTGAGGTTCCATTATCAAGAGGAAATAAGCCCAGAATATCTAACTCTATTAGAACAACCCCAACAAAACCTATTAGATCGTATTTACTTTTTATTTTAAACACGTTTTATTAGAGAGAAATGTGCTTGGTGAATTATCAGCAAGTGAACACATTCATATAACCTCACCCACATAGAGAAATAAAATAACTAGGATCCAGATGTTCCTTCATAAACCCTCTTGATTCTTACCCATTCACATTCTCCAAAAATAACCACTGTCTTGATGTTTAACTCCATAGATTTGTTGCTTCTGGTTTTAAGCCTTTTATAGATTGAATTATATGTTATGTTTCTATCTTAGTCCATTCAGACTGCTATAACAAAATACCATAGATTAGGTCACTAATAAACAACAGAAATTTATTTCTCACAGTTTTGGAGGCTGGAAGTCCAAGATCCAGGCACTAGCAGATACAGGGGATGGTTAGCGATCTCTTCCTGATTTATAGAAGGTGACTTCTTGCTGCGTCCTCACATGGTAGAAGGGGTGAGGCAGCTCTCTACGGCCTCTTTTATAAGGGTATTAATCCCTTTCATGAGGGATCTGACCTCATGAGAGAATTACTTTCCCAAAAGGCCTACTTTCTAATACTTTCATCTTAGGGGTGAGAATTTCAACATATTAATTTTGCGGATACATAAGCATCCAGTCTGTTAAATAAAGTAACACTGTTACTTATTTATTTATTAAACTTTTTTATTAAACTTATTTTTTATTAAACTTATTAAGCTTATTTTTTATTAAACTTATTTATTTATTAAACTTTATTTATTACTGTTTAATAAAACAGTTACTGTTTCTATGTTGAACTTGCATCAGCACTCTTGGTTAATTTATATGTTAATTCTAATAGCTTACTTATGAATTATTTTGGATTACTATATATATAGATATTTTGTCTACAAAAGAATGACAGTTACATCTTTCCTTGTGTCATTTCTTTTTCTTGACTTATAGCAATAGCTATAATCACCAGTGCAAAGTAGCGATGATGCTATGATGGCAAGCAATTTTGTCTTATTTCTTATGTTAAAGATTTCAGATGTCACCATCAAGTATATTGTGTGATGTAGGGTGTATATATATTTTTATATAAGTATATATGCACATATATACTTATATATTTGATAAAGGATGTGTATATATATACTTATAGATGTATACATACTTGTATATGTATATATAGATGTATATATACATCTATAAGTATATATATGTCTATATGTATATGTACACATATATACACATATACATATATACATATATATACTTATAGATGTGTATATATATCCATACACCCTATGTGTATACAAACATCCTTTATCAAATATGTATACATACATGTATATATACATCCTTTATCAAATATATATACATAAATATATTCTTTATCAAATTGAGAAATTTCCTTGTATCAAAATTGTTTTTCTGCATTTATTGCAATGATTATATATTATTTTCTTTCTTTGTCCTGTTAGTGAATGGTGAATAATTTTTATTGATTTCTAAGCTATACTTGAGGAATACATCTAACTTGATCGTAATGTATAATTCTTTTCATATTACAAGATGATATGGTTTGGATTTGTGTTCCTGCCCGCATCTTATTTCAAATTATAATCCCCAGTGTTGAAGGAGGGGCCTGGTGGGAGGTGATTGGATCATGGGGGCTGACATCCCCCTTGCTGTTCTCATGACAGTGAGTGAATTCTTACAAGATCTGGTTGTCTCAAAGTGTGTAGCACCTCTCCCTTCTCTCCTTTTCTCCTACTCCAACCATGTAAGATGTGCCTACTTCTCTTTCGCCTTCCACCATGATTGTAAGTTTCCTGAGGCTTTCCCAGCCATGATTTCTGTACAGCCTGCAGAACCATGAGCCTATTAAATCTCTTTTCTTTATAAAACACCCAGTCTCAGATAGTTCTTTATAGCAATGTGAGAATGAACTAACACAGAAGGCATTTGGCTAGTTAATATATATATTTTTTAAAATTTCCATATATTTCTTGGAAAAGTTGGCCTGAATATAGACATTCTTACAATATCCTTTACAGAGATTCATACCGAGTTTATGTTGAACTCATAACGATGTGATAATAAGTTCTTGTTTCTATTGTGTAGGTGAGTTGGGTAAGTCTGGTATTATATCTCCCTGAAGTATTTGATACGATTCATCAATAAAACCATTTGGGTTTATAGTTTTATATGTAGGAATACTTCAAATTATATATTCAATTTCTTTAACAGATATAGTACATCTCAGATTTTGATGAATTGTGTTACTTTAAGAATTTGTCTATTTTATGTAAAATTTTACCAAATCAGGAGCATGAAGTTCTTTATAATATCATTTTATTATATTTTAAGGTCTGTAGGGCCTGATAATCAATATCAGGAGTAAAAAGTAAGATACTCTGTAGAAGTTATTTCTATTATTTGTAATTTTGCATTCTCTCATTGAGTCATAATCAGCTTAACCAGTGGTTTATATCAATTTATTGGACTCTACAAATAATTGATTTTGCTCTTCATAATTATACGTTTTTTCTTCTTTCTTCAGTTGCATTTTGAACTATCTTTGCCATTTCCTTTCTTCTACTATCTTTGACTTTTATGCACAGTGTTCTTCTATTTTGTTTTTCTTTGTTTTGGTAGCTTTCTGAGCTATAAATTAGATCACTGGTGGCCTTTCCTCTTCCCAATTTTTGCATGTAAAATCAAACATTTATCTACATCCACCAAGTTTTGATACTCCTATTTTCATTATAATTTGCTTCAAAACATTTTCTAATTTCTGATGTAATGTTGTTTTACCTGTGAATTATTTAAACCTTCTGTGATTTATTTTTCAAAACATGGGAATTTTCTTGTCAACTTTTGTTCTTAATATCT
Organism: Homo sapiens; assembly: GCF_000001405.40. Classification (NCBI taxonomy): domain Eukaryota; kingdom Metazoa; phylum Chordata; class Mammalia; order Primates; family Hominidae; genus Homo; species Homo sapiens. The sequence goes on from NC_000002.12 coordinate 107,226,802, forward strand.
TATTAATTTTGTTATTTTCACTGTAGTTAGAGACTTTGTACAATGCAAACCTTTAAAATTTGGTGAAGGTTTCTTTATGGCTCAGTGTGTGATGAATTTCAGTAAATGTTTCATATTCAGCTAAAAATGTGTATTCTCTAGTAGCATGTTAATTAGGTCAAGTTGATTAATAATACACTTTCAAATATTTTATGTAGTTATTGATTTCCCCCCTCTATTTGTTCTGATACATACTAAGAGATGTATACTAAAATTTCACACTGTAATTGTAGATTTGTATATTTGTTTGCATTTTTTGAATATTTGCTGAGTATATTGTGAGAATGCATAATTGGGTGCCTACAAATTTAGAATTTTTTTCTTTCTAATGATTGGATCATTTTATAACTATGACATTTTCTTCTTTTCCTCTGGTAGTGCTTTTGGCTTTAATATTTACTTTGTTTTAAATCAATTATATTCACACTGTTCGAGACATCCTAACCAGAGTGAGTCCACCTTGAATAAAGGCTTAATAAAACCAAACTTTCTGGGTTACATTCCCAGGGGGTTGGGCACTTTGGGTCACAAGATGTTTATGGTTAAGGAACTGAGTTAATGATGCTAATTAACTAAATGAAGACCTAGAATTTATGGAAATGCCCCAGTACTTTAAGAACAAAAAGAATTCTTAGTTTAAGAATAGGTTTTGCTTTAAATATAATAGTACACTCATATGCTGAAATCAATAGTAACATAGGAAAATAATAATACTAATAGCCTGTCCCAAGCTGATTACAAGCCTCTGTAAAAAAGTGAAGTGGTCTTAATATCGCATATAAGCAAGCAGAATGTTTAAGGTAGGGGTGTTCCTCCTCTTGCTTTCTGAGGATGCCGTAGTCTGTAATACAGTAGTCTTTAATAAACTATCTTAACTTCACTATACTGTGACTTTCCCTAAATTTTTTGCTGTGTGAGATCCAAGAACCTGCTCTTGGGGTCTGGGACAAGACCCCTTTTCAGGTGATATTTCCTCTGGTGACTGCCAGACCTTAATGAGGTGAGACCTCCTTTCTGGTAACAATACCAACTTTCTTCCTTTGTCCTTCCTTTTACTTTCACATTTCTATAATGTAATATTTAGGGTGTGTGTGTGTGTGTGTGTGTGCGTGTGTGTGTAAGTGGTATATGGTTGTGCTTTTAAAGACTTTATACCTGATCTGACAATCATTGCTTTTCTATTGTTTATTTCTTTAAGTTGAACTATAACTTACATATAAGTGAGGAAAGAAAAGAACTTTTATCTGAGGAAAAAGAACTTTTGCGTGAGGAATGTGAACCCTTTCAAAATATTAGGAGAAAAGAGGCATGAAAATGAGACAGCAATCATGTTCTATTCTGCCCTTTCGAGCTATGTACTAATCTCTTGAAACTGCTTGCAATTGCCACAAGTATTAATTAGCCTAATAATGTCTCATTATATGCTGTTACTCACACCCTGTAGCTTAACAGTGTATAGCCAATCACTAATCAATGTTATTTCTCTAAACGAATGATAATTCATAGCATAATTTGATTAATATATCAGCCTATTCTCTGTTCCCTCTTTTTTTGCCATTAAAAACCTGCCTGTAACAAAGGCCAAACAGAGCTTATATCGAAGATTGCCTGGGTCTGAGTCTTGCAGGCAGCCATCCTTATTTTGGCTCAAGTATATTATTTAAATCACATTTTGTGTGTTGGTCTCTTCCTTTCAGGTTGACACAAGAAAGCTCACACCATAAATGTAGAGCTTGATGAATTTTTGTAAATGCAACACACTTGTGTTACCAGCACTTGGATAAAGAGACAAAATATTACCAATATTCCACCATTCTTCTGTTCCTATTCCAGTCCTCACCTTCCCAAGGCACCACAGCGTAAAAGAAAGCATGGGTTGTGCCATTTTACAATGCTCAACTCTCACTTGAGCTATTTGCAAAGATTTCTGAGGGTTCTCTCTAGGGTTTTCAATTCTCACTGAGTTTTTCTCAGAGACCCCTGACCGTTGAAGATCCCTGTCTCCTCAGCATTGGGAAGTTGTAGAAAAGTCCACTCTTCTCTAGTTTTGGTGTATCTTTTAGCCATCCAGCCTGCACAGCTTCAGACTTAATCAGTTATCTTGTGGGGAAGTGGCCCACGAAGCCTCTGCTTTTGTCATTCCAGTGTCTTTACAAATACTAAAAGCTGGCTGATTTCTCCAGCTCCTGCAGCAGCCCTGTTAGGGCAAGTGCGGATTCTCACCCTCTAGCCCTGCTCAGAATCAGTAAGAGAAATCAACTAATGGGCAGCGGCAGATCCTCAGCTCACCTCTGAAACTTTCTCCTCTCTCTGGAACTTTTGTTCCTCTAGATTTTATGAAAGCAGCTTTCAAAATAATGTGGTTGTGTAACTTAACAGGTTGTTGTCATTGGGACTGTGAGACAGCCATGAACTATTCCATCTTATATGAAAGTAGAAGCAAGTGCATATTTCATATCCTTGTCCTCTAATTAGAATGTTTATGCCATTTGAATTGAACGAAAGAACACACATTTGTAGGGATTTAAAAATTTTTATTTCAACAGTTTTTGGGGTAAAGGTGGTTTGTGGTTACATAGATGAGTTCTTCAGTGGTGATTTCTGAGATTTTAGTGCAGCCGTCGCCTGAGCAGTGTACACTGTACCCAATGTGTAGTCTTTTCTCTCTCACCCCCGGAGCCCTTCCCCTTAAGTCCCCAAAGTCCATTATATCATTCTTATGCCTTTGAATTCTCATAGCTTAGCTCCCATTTATAAGTGAGAACATATAATGTTTGGTTTTCCATTCCTGAGTTACTTTACTTAGAATAATGGGCTCAATCTCCATCCAAGTTGCTGCAAAAGACATTATTTTGTTCTTTTTTATGGTTAAGTAGTATTCCATGGTGTATATATACATTTTCTTTATCCACTTGTTGGTTGATGGACACTTAAGTTGGTTCCATATATTTGCAATGGTGAATTGTGCTACTATAAACATGTGTGCAGGTGTCTTTTTTATGTAATGACTTCTTTTGCTTTGGGGAGATACCCAGTAGTGTGACTGCTGGATCCAATGGTAGTTCTATTTTGGTTCTTAAAGGAATCTACAGACTGTTTTCCATAGTGGTTTCACTAATTTATATTTCCACCAGCAGGGTAAATATGTTCTGTTTTCAACACATCCATGCCACTAACTATTGTTTTTATACTTTAATTATGGCCATTTTTGCAGGAGTAAGATGGTATCTCATCATGGTTTTAATTTGCATTTCTCTGATAATTAGTGAAGTTGAGCATTTTTTTTTCATGTTTGTTGACCATTTGTGTATCTTCTTTTGATAAATGTCTATTCATGTCCTTTGTCCACTTTTTGATAGGATTATCTGTTTTTTTCTCATTTGGAATACTAGTCCTTTGTCAGATGGAGTTTGTGAATATTTTCTACTGCTCTGTGGGTTGGTTTGTTTACTCTGCTGATTATACTTTTGCTGTGCAGAAGTTTTTTAGTTTAATTAGGTCCCATTGATTTATTTTTGTTTTTGTTGCATTTGTTTTTGGGGTCTTAGTCATGAATTCTTTGCCTAAGCCAATGTAAAAAAGAGTTTTCCCAGTGGTCATGAGAGTTCGTCCCCACTTGAGATCATACTGCAAGGTTCAGCTGGGAGCTTCTTTCACCCTGAAACCCCTCCCTGAGCTCATTGGCTGACTTCCCTGAGGGCCCCTGTGAGATACAGTCAGGAATGGCTTTCCTTGGTTGATGCTAGAGACTGGGAATGCCTACAAGGCACTTCCTGCTGCTGCTTCTAATTTTATATTTCATGCCGCTCCAGCTCTGGGTAGGGTTAAGGCCTTCTCCCTTGGACTGGATTTTCAGATTCCACAGTGGAGACGTGTACCTGGAGGCAGACTTTCCTCCCGTCACACTCTGGGAACTGATAATTTTTCACTTGTCTCACAGAGTAGGCTGCAACCTACTGCTTCTTTCAAAGTGTCTGTGGATTCTTTCTGTTTTCCTGTTAAGTTCCTGTGGTGGTTCTGGAGAAAAAAATTTCACAGTGTGAATCTGTACCCAAGATTCTGTCCTTCTAAGTGGGAAAGGCCCACGAACACTGCCTTTTGTCCATCACCTTGAAAGCATAAAATAAACAGAACAAAAGAACCCCACACATTTGGTTTTAAATCCTCCAACTTTATATATGCCGTTTGTCCCACCTGTACAACATACTTCTCTCATTCTTTGGCTTCTTTTAGGTTATTTAAGTATTTTTATCATTTTTTTCTCCATTCCAGCTCTATTGACTTAAAAGATATACATCATTTTACTATGTTAGTGGTTAACCTAGGGATTACTTTCACAACATTTTGAAAAATACAAGGTCCTTGATAAACTTAACCACATTTACTCTCCTCTACCAACTTATTATTTCTGTACTTGAATTATTTTATAATTTAAATCCCTCAGTGTTATTATTTTTGTATTTTCTAACATGAATATAGATTTTTACAGATATTTATCCATTCTGTTGCTTTTCATTGCATCTCTGAGCTGCCATCTGAGATTATTTTCCTTCTGTCTGAATTTTCATCATTAATACATCCATTAGTGCAGGTCTGCTGATGACAAATTATTTTACTTTTTGTTTGTCTGAAAGTGTTCTTATTCCATTTGCAATTTTAAGAGTTGTTTTCACGGGATGTAGAATTTTAGATTGGCAGCTATTTTTTTCAACAGCTTGAAGACATTTTATTTTCTTCTGGCTTCCTGGTTTTCTGTTGAGAAGTTAGATGAGTCCTATTGTTGCTCTTTTAAAGGAAAGTGTCTTTTTCATTGGTTGCTTTTACATTTTTTTATTTGTCTTAATTCTCACAGGTTTACTAGGATATGCCTAAGTATAGCTCTTTTGCTTTTTGATTGTTGGTGTGTATGTGCAACTTACTTGGGCTTGATACAATTTTTGAATTCATTGCTTGATATCTTGATGTCAGTTTTGGAAAATTCTCAGCCATTACTTATATATTGCTTTGATCCATTCATTTGTTCCTTTCTTTCTGGGACCCAACTACAGATATTATAGAACTTTCACACTTGAGGCATGTCTAATATGATTTTAAATCTGACCAATGAATTCTTAATTCAAGAGTTTCAATTATTGAATTTCTTTAGTCCAACAATTTTATTTAATCTTTTTAAATAATTTCCATTATCTACCCAAATGCTTAATCCTGTTTTTTAAAATTATTTGAACATATTCTTGAATATATTAACTATAGTTATTTTATGCTCTTTTCTGATAATATCACTGCCTAAATTTTTTATGAATCTCTTTCTATAGTCTGCTTTTCCTCTTGGTTTCTATCATCTTGTTTTCTTGTTATTGCTACATCTTGTGTTTATTTTATTGAATGCCAGACTTTGTATGTGAAAATGCTAGAGACAATTTGAGCTTCAGAATGATCTTGTTTCCTTTAGAGAGTTTTTACTTTTTCTCTAAGTAGACATTTAAGTTGTATGTATGTATGTATGACACCCTATATTATCTTTATCCAGTTAATACTTGAAGTGATTAAGGTGGGCTCTGGTCCTTGGTGGACAGAGGCTTTTTTATTTCTGGTTCTCTCATACTCCTAGAGTACAGCCTTTCATTGTTGAAAATGTAAGCCTGGAATATTGAAATAGCCCTCTTTGGTATGTCCTGAACTACTTTTTTTTTTTGGGGGTGGGGGACAGGGTCTCACTCTCATCGCCCACGTGAGAGTGCAGTGGTGCAATCGTGACTCATTGCAGCCTCAACCTCCCAGGATCAAACAATTAAGCAATTTTCCCGCCTCATTTTTTGACTTTTTGTAGAGACGAGGTATAACTATGCTGCCCAGGCTGGTTTTGAACTCCTAGGCTCAAGTAATCCTTCTGCCTCAACCTCCCAAACTGTTGGGATTACAGACATGGGCCACTATGCCTGGTCTTGAACTACAATTGTTGCTCTTTCTGCTGGCAACTACTTAGCCACTCAACCTCTTAAAAACTCTTTTTAGAATTGACAAATTCTCTAAAAGAAAAAGCAGCATAAATCCTTGTCTTCTTAATATTGGTTCTACAAATTATTTCTGCTGTACAGATGTCTTTTTCTTCTCTTTTTGGAGAGTGAGGAGGAAAATCTAGTTAACTTAATTGCTGGGTTTTTTTTTTTTTTTTCCACATTGGTTAGGTTAAGAACAATCTGATCCTTTATGTCTGAAGGTATTTGGTGGTTGTTTATGCACTAAACATAATAGTAGACAACTTCAATACACAATGTTCAATAATGGATGAGAAAACCGGACAGAAGATCAATAAGAAAATGGAGTACTTGAGCAACACTATAGACTAATTGGACCTGATGGACTTATACAGAACAGTGCACAACAGCAAAGTAATCAACGTTCTTGTCAAGCACACATGGAACTTTCTCCAGCATAGATCACATGTTAGTCTACAAAACAAGTCTTAACAAACTTAAAAGATGGAAATCAAAGAGAGTATCTTTTCTCATTACAATGGAGTGAAACTAGAAATCAATACCAGAAAAAAACTGAAGAACCCACAAATATGTGGAAATTAGAATACTCATTCTTAAATAGCCAATGGGTCAAAGAAAAAAAATCACATGAGAATTAAAGAATATCTTAAGACAAGTGAAAACAAAAACACAGCAAATCAAAACTTACAGAAGCAAGCAAAAGCAGTACTAAGAGAAAAGTTTATAGTGGTAAATATTTACATTTAAAAAGAAAAATCTCAAATCAACAACTTAACTTTATACCTCAAAGAAACAGAAAAAGAAGAACAAACTGAAACCAAAACAAGCAGAAGAAAGGAAATAATAAAAAATAGAGCAAAAATAAACAAAGTAGAGAATAGAAAAACCATAGGAAAAAGTGAAAACTAAAAGTTGTTTTTTTTAAAGAGATCAGCAAAATTGACAAAACCTTAGCTGAGTTAACCAAGAATAAAAGAGAAGACTCAAGTAAGTACAATAAAAAATGAAAGAGAGGACATTATAACTGATACCACATAAATAGATAAGACTATAAGAGAATACAATTGTGCACCAACAAATTGTGTAACCGAAAAATGAATAAATTCCTAGAAGCATGCGACCTACTAAGACTGGATCATGAAGAAATGGAAAATCTAAACAGCCCAATAATGAGTGAGGAGATTGACTCAAAAGCATCCCAACAAAGAAAAGCCAAAGTCCAGGTGGCTTTACTGGACAATTCTACCAAACATAACATTTAAAGTGTCTCTGTAACAAAAAATGTCAATCCTATTGAAATTGTTTCAAAAAATTGAAGAGAAAGAAACACTCCCAAACTCATTCGGTAAAGCCTTAATGCTAAAGGCAGACCAAGAAATTATAAGAAAAAAAAGGCAAATCAATAACCCTGATGAATATTGATGGAAAAATCCTCCGCAAAATATCAGCAAACCACATTCAACAAATCATTAAAAGAATTATATAGCATGACCAAGTGGAATTTATTGCTGCAATGCGAGAATGATTCAGCATATCAAAATCAATCAATGTAACACACTACATTAACAGAATGAAGGACAAAACCACATGATCATGATAAAAAAAAATCTCAAAAAACTAGAAACTAAAGAAAACTAACTCAACATTATAAAGGTCATATATGAAAAGTCCACTATTAACATCATATTCAATGGTGAAAGATTAAAAGCCATTTCTCTAAGATGAAGAATAAAAGAAGGATGCCACTCTGCCGCTTCTGTTTGATATAGTACTGGAAGCCCTAGCCAGAGCAATTAAGCAAGAAAAATAAATAAAAGTCCTCCAAATTTCCAAAGAAGGAAAATTATCCTTATTCATAGAGGACATGATCTCACATATAGAACACCTAAAATTCCACCATAAGCCTTTTAAAACTAATACATTCAGCAAAATATTAGGATACAAAATCAACATGCAAAAGTCAGTTGCATTTCTATTCACTAACAATGAACAACTTGAAAAGGAAATTAAGAAAACAATTTCATTTACAATAATGACAAAGAGAATAAAATAGTTAGACATAAACCTAGCCAAGGAAGTAAAAGACTTGTATGCTGATAACTATAAAACATTATTGAAAGAAATTAAAGACAAACCAAAAGACATCTTATGTATCTGGATTGCAAAACTTAATGATGTTAATATGCTGAGTGAGGGGCCAAGATGGCAGAATAGAAACAGCTGTGGTCTGCAACTCACAGTGAGACCAACGCAGAAGGTGGGTGATTTTTGCAATTCCAAGTGAGGTACCCAGTTCATCTCATTGGGACTGGTTAGGCAGTGGGTGCAACCCATGGAGAGTGAGTAGAAGCAGGGTGCGGCGTTGCTTCATCCAGCAAGTGCATGGAACCAGGGGACCTCCCTCCCCCAGCCAAGGGAAGCAGTGAAGGACTGTGCTACCTGCCCTGGGTATTAGGCTTTTCCCATGGATTTTTGCAATCCACAGAACAGGAGATTCCCTTATGAGCCTATACCACCAGGTCCCCGGGTTTCAAGCATAAAACTGGACAGCTCTTTGAGCAGGAATCGAGCTGCAGAAGTTTTTTTGTGCTCCTGCGGCGCCTGGAACGCCAGTGAGACAGGAGAACCGTCCACTCCCCTGGAAAGGGGGCTGAAGCCAGGGAGCCAAGTGGTCTTGCTCAGCAGGTCCCGCTCCCATGGAGCCCAGCAAGCTAAGAACTACTGGCTTGAAATTCTCACTGCCAGCACAGCAGTCAGGAGTCAACCTGGGATGACAGAGCTTGGTGGGGGGAGGGGCAATGGCTTTTCATGAGGCTTTAGTAGGTGGTTTTCCCCTGACAATGCTAGGAGACTGGGATGTTTGGACTGGGCGGAATTCACCACAGCACTGCAAAGCAGCTGTGGCCAGACTGCTTCTCTAGATTCCTCCTCACTGGGCAGGGCATCTCTGCAGGAAATGCAGCAGCCCCAGTCACGGGCTTACAGGTAAAACTCTCATCTCCCTGGGACAGAGCACCTGTGGGGAGGGGTGGCTAAGGTGGCAGCTTCAGTGGACTTAATCTTTCCTGCCTGCTGACTCTGAAAAGAGTGGCTGATCCTTCCAGCACAACACACAAGCTCTGCTAAGGGACAGCCTGCCACCTCACGTGGATCCCTGACCTCCATGTCTCCTGACTGGGAGAGACTTCCCAATGGGTTGACAGACACCTCATATGGAAGAGCTCCAGCTGGCATCAGGCCAGCGCCCCTCTGGGATGAAGCTTCTGGAGGAAGGAGCAGACAACAATCTTTGCTGTTTTGCAGCCTCCACTGGTGATACCCAGGTGAACAGGGTCTGGAGTGGACCTCCAGCAAACTGCAGCAGACCTATAGATGAGGGGCCTAACTGCTAGAAGAAAAACTAACAAACAGAAAGCAACAACAACAAAAACATCAATAAAAAAGACCCCCCAACAAAAACCCCATCCAAAGATCATCAGCCTCAAAGATCAAAGGTAGATAAATCCACGGAACATGAGGAAAATTCCAAAAGCCAGAATCCGTCTCCTCCTCCAAATGATTGCAACACCTCTGCAGCAAGAGCACAAAACTGGATGGAGAATGAGACTGACGAACTGACAGAAGTAGGCTTCAGAAATTGGGTAATAACAAATTCCTCTGAGCTAAAAGAGCATGTTCTAACCCAGTGCAAGGAAGCTAAGAACCTTGATAAAAGGTTACAGGAACTGCTAACTAGAATAACCAGTTTAGAGAGGAACATAAATGGCCTTTTGAAAAAAACATAAATTTTTTTTTGAAAAAACTTAATAAAATAGGTCACTAGCTAGACTAATAAAGAAGAAAAGAGAGAAGAATCAAATAAACACAATAAAAAATGATAAAGGGGATATAACTACTGATCCCACAGAAATACAAACTACCATCAGACAATACTATAAACACATCCATGGAAATAAATTGGAAAATATAGAAGAAATGGATAAATTCCTGGTCACATACACCCTCCCAAGACTAAACCAAGAAGAAGTCAAATCACTGAATAGACCAATAACAAGTTCTGAAAATGAGGCAGTAATTAATAGCCTACCAACCAAAGAAAAGCCCGGGACCAGACAGATTCACAGCCACATTCTACCAGAGGTACATAGAGGAGCTGGTACCATTCCTTCTGAAACTATTCCAAACAATTGAAAAGGAGGGACTCCTCCCTAACTCATTTTATGAGGTCAGTATCATCCTGATACCAAAACCTGGCAGAGGCACATCAAAAAAAGATATCTTCAGACCAATATCCCTGATGAACATTGATGAGAACATCCTCAGTAAAATACTGGCAAACCAAATCCAGCAGCACATCAAAAAGCTTATCTGCCACGATCAAGTCAGCTTCATCCTTGAACCATGCAAGGCTGGTTCAACATATAAAATCAATAAACATAATTCATCACATAAACAGAACCAATGGAAAAAAACACATGATATCTCAATGGATGCAGAAAAGGCCTTTGATAAAATTCAACATCCCTTCATGTTAAAAACTCTCAATAAACTAGGTATTGATGGAACATATCTCAAAATAATAAGAGCTATTTATGACAAACCCATAGCCAATATTATACTGAATGGGCAAAAGCTGGAAGCATTCACTTTGAAAACCAGCACAAGATAAGGATGTCCTCTCTCACCATTCCTATTCAACATAGTATTGGAATTTCTGGCCAGGGCAGTTAGGCAAGGGAAATAAATAAAAGGTATTCAAATAGGAAGAGAGGAAGTCAAATTGTCTCTGTTTGCAGATGACATGATTCTATACTTAGAAAACCCCATCATCTCAGCTCCAAAACTCCTTAAGTTGATATGTAACTTCAGCAAAGTCTCAGGATACAAAATCAATGTGCAAAAATCACTAGCATTCCTATGTACCAACAATAGACAAGCAGAGAGCCAAATCATGAATGAACTCCCATTCACAATTGCTACAAAGATAATAAAATACCTAGGAATACAGCTAATGAGATACGTGAAAGACCTCTTCAAGAACTACAAACCACTGCTCAAAGAAATAAGAGAGGACACAAACAAATGAAAAAACATTCCATGCTTATGGATAGGAAGAATCAATATTGTGAAAATGGCCATACAACCCAAAGTAGCTTATAGATTCAATGCTATTCCCATCAAACTACCATTGACTTTCTTCACAGAATTAGAAAACACTACTTTAAATTTCATATGGAACCAAAAAAGATCTCATATAGCCAAGACAAACCTAAGCAAAAAGAGCAAAACTGGAGGCATCACACTACCTAAATTCAAACTATACTACAAGGCTACAGTAGCCAAAACAGCATAGTACTGGTACCAAAACAGATGTATAGACCAATGGAACAGAACAGAGACCTAGAAATAAGACCACACGTCTACAACCATCTGATCTTTGACCAACCTGAAAAATACAAGCAATGAGGAGAGGATTCCCTATTTAATAAATGGTGCTGGGGAAACTGGCTAGCCATATGCACAAAACTGAAACTGTACCCCTTCCTTACAACTTATACAAAAATTAACTCAAGATGGATTAAAGACTTACATGTAAAACCCAAAACCATAAAAACCCTCAAAGAAAACTTAGGCAATAGGAACATAGGTACGGGCAAAGACTTCATTACAAAAACACCAAAAACAATTGCAGCAAAAGCCAAAATTGACAAATGAGATCTAATTAAACTAAAGAACTTCTTCACAGCAAAAGAAACTATCATCAGAGTGAACAGGCAACCTACAGAATGGGAGAAAATTTCTGCAGTCTACCCATCTGACAAAGGTCTAATATCCAGAATCTATAAGAAACTTAAACAAATTTACAAGAAAAAAAAACCCCATCAAAAAGTAGGCAAAGGTTATGAACAAACACTTCTCAAAAGAAGACATTTATGTGGCCAAAAAATATATGAAATAAAACTCATCATCACTGATCTTTAGAAAAATGCAAATCAAAACCACAATGAGATACCCTCTCAAGCCAGTCAGCATGGCAATTATTAAAAAGTCAGTAAACAATAGATGCTATCAAGGCTGTGGAGAAATAGGAACACTTTTACACAGTTGGTGAGAATGTAAATTAGTTCAACCACTGTGGAAGATAGTATGGCAATTCCTCAAGGATCTGGGACCAGAAATGCCATTTGCCCCAGTAATCCTGTTACTGGGTATATACCCAAAGGAATACAAATCATTCTACTATAAAGACACTTGCACATGTATGTCTTTTGCAGCACTATTTACAATAGCAAAGACATGGAACCAACCCAAATGTCCATCAATTATATACTGGATAAAGAAAATGTAGTACATACATACCATGGAATACTGCATGCAGCCATAATAAAGAATGAGATCATGTCCTTTGCAGGGACATGGATGAAGCTGGAAGCCATCGTCCTCAGCAAACTAGCACAGGAACAGAAAACCAAAGACTGCATGTTCTCACTCATAAGTGGGAGTTGAACAATGAGAACACATGGACACAGGGAGGGGAACAACACACACCAGGGCCTGTCAGTGGGTGGGGGACAAGGAGCGGGAGAGCATTAGGACAAATACCTAATGCATTTGGGGCTTAAACCCTAGGTGATGGGTTGACAGGTGCAGCAAACCACCATGGCACATGTATACCTATGTAACAAATCTGCACATTCTGCACATGTATCCTGGAATGTAAAGTAAAAATAAAAATAAATAAATAAAATAATAAAAAAAGAAAAAAATATTGTTAATATGCCAACACTACCCACAGTGATGTACAGATGCTGTGTAATCCCTAGGAAAAAAATGACTTTTTTTTTGCAGAAATAAAAAGAAAGAACAAAATTCATATGGAGACTTAAGGGATTCTAAATAGCCAAAACAATTTTGGGAAAAAAAAAAACTAAGTTCTTATACTTAGTGATTTCAATATATATTGCAAAGCTACAGTAGTCAAAACAGTGTGCTACTGGCATAAAGACAGACAGTAGACCAATGGAATAGAATAGACTGCCCAAAATAATCCCTTATGTGTCTGATTAAGTAATCTTAGATAAGGGTATCAAAAGCACCTAATGGGGAATGATAGTCTCTATAACAAATTGGGGGTGGGAAAACTGGATATCGACATGCAAAGAATGAAGTTGGGCCTATATATTTCTCCTTACAAAAAGATTAACTCAAAATGAATTAAACACATAAACATAAGAACCAAAACAATAAAATTCCTAGAAGCAAACGTAAGGGAAAAGCGTCATAACATTGGACATGGCAATCAATTCTTGAAGATGACACTCAAAGCATAGGCAATAAAAGCAAAAATAAACAAATGAGACTACATTAAATGTTTAAATTTCTGTGCATCAAAAGGCACAGTCAATAGAGTGAAAAGATAACTTACATAATGGGAAAAACATTTGCAAACTATATATCTGATAAAGGGTTAGAGTAATATCCAGGACATGTGAAGAATTTCTACAACTCGACTGTTGACAACAAAAACCAACCCAATTTAAAAATGGGCAAATGACTTAAATAGATATATATTTCTCCAGTGACATGGAAATGATAAACAAGCATGGGAAAAGATGTTCAACATCACCAGCCATTAGAGAAATGCAATCCAAACCACAATGAGATATCATCTAACACCCATTAGGATGGATACTTAGGTTATCTAATAATAAATAAAAATCAAGTGTTGACAAAGATGCGGAGAATTTGATAAAGTGGAACCCTGTGTGCTATTGGCAGGAATGTAACATCATACAACCACTATGACAAACAGTATGGCAGTTCCTTAAAAACTTAAAAATGGAACTATCATATGATTCAGCAATCCCTCTTCTAGGTATATACTAAGAAAAGTTGAAAGCAAGGTCTCAAAGAGATATTTGTGCATCCATGTTCCTAGTAGCATTATTCACAAAAGCTAAAATGTGGAAGCAACTCAAAGTCCATCAATGGATGAATGGATAAGCAAAATGAGGTATATACATACAGTGGAATATCATCCAGTCTTAAAAAGTAAGGTCACTGTCTTGCATGCTACAACATAGCTGAGCCTTGGAGATATTATACCAAGTGAAATGGGCCAGTTAGAAAATGACAAATAATGTATAATTTTACTTACATAAGTTATGTAAAGCATTCAGATTCATGGAAACAATGGAATGGGGCTTATCACAGTTTGGGGGGAGAAGGAAATGAGTTGTTGTTTAATAGGTACAATATTTTGGTTTCGCAAGTTGCAAAAATTTTAGGGATCTGTTACACAACAATGTGAATATACTTAATGCCACTATTCTGTACACTGAAACATGGTTAAGATGCTAAATTTTACATTGCATGTTTTTTACCACCGTTAAAAAATAAATGTGTAATGATTAAATAATAAAAAAAAGAAAGCGATGATCGTGGCAGCCCCTGCGCTCACAGTATAATTATAGTGGTGCTGGCATTGGGTTGATTAATCTCTCAGAAGAAGAGGAAATGATGTCTATAATAAAGTTATTATGAAGTAAGTATCAGAAGTATAACCTTGATGCCATGATAGAAGATGAAAAAAGCCAGAGGAGAGTAAAACACAAAGGACTAGGTGGCTTTTCAGAAGGGCCTTGAAGCATTCCTAAGATTTTGACCAGTGAAGCTGCTGAGTGAAAAACCAATTCATGTCCAGGGAAGTTTTTCAGAGCATTGTATTTGTAGAGGTATAGTGAAATTGAACCTGGATTTGTCAGCTGGAGTGGAAGCCTTGAGTGCAAGATTAATAAGCAACATTTGGTTTGTGTAGTAGCCAAGAGGAGCTAGCAGAGGTTTCGGGGATGAGTTCACTTGAACAGAGATGCACTTTAGGATGATGAGCAGCAGCAGCAGCAGACAGGATGAATGGCTGTGCTATGAGAAAGAAGCAGAGAGTGGTTAAGAGACGAATACAGCCTGCCAACTGAAAAGCAATGATATACTCCGTTACGCCTTCATCAGGAAAGGTATGGCTCCACTGAGCGGGGATGGTTGCTGAAAACCAGCCAGTTCTCTGCACCCCAAACTGTGCTCCTGAGGGAAGAGATGCCTTTTCCTCATTTGTACAACATTATATTATGAGATGGAAGTGGCCTTGGTACTGGTGAGGCATTGTGAAATGGAACCCAAATCCAGATACATTGTTTTTAGAGAGAGGGATGAATAAGTCACCTTGGAAAGTCCATGTCAGGGAGTCATGGAGAATGAAGTAATATTAACAGGAAGAGGGAGGTCAGGAGGATAAGGTGTGGTTATTTAGATGTGTATGTTCATTTAAGATCTGAAAATATTACAAAATAACAACAGCAACAAAATCTAATGGAAACTCTTTGTAATGAAGTGTGTAGATTTCAGGATATTAAATATTAATGGAGGTTTCTAGATATCTCCAAAGCACTGTGGGAACAGTGCTTTGTACATGATAACAGCCATCTTTTGTTCCTTTTGTTCATGCTTGCTAAAAATTGGGGGATCTTAGACAACCATTTACAAAAAATATCCTACCCTGCACAGGGCAGGCTCTCTGGGCCTGGTCAGCAGTTACAACTTTTGTTTCTAGAAGTCTGTGTGGCTCTGTGTGTCCTCTGTAGAGATTTCCTTCTCTATCCACTAACTCTCTCAGTTAACATTCTTCACCCTTTTTAGTTTATTGGATTTTTTTTTCTTTCTTTTTTTTTCCCCATCTGTGTGTTTGTTTGCCTGTTTCTCCATCTTCATCCTCCAACCTTGCTAGTTTGTTCATTCACACGTTCATTTGGTCATTATTCACACATTCATTTATTAAGCCCATGTGGTAGGCAGAATTCTAGGATGTTCCTCTGAATCCCACCCCATGTCAGAGATAGAAGATGCTAGAGAGAGTCAAAGCTGCAACAGATGTTGTCCTATTGGCCTTGAAGGAACAAACTTCCCTGTTACAGAGATGGCCACAGATCAAGAAATGGCAGGAGGCCTCTAGGACCTGAGCCTAATCCTGGCTGGTGGCTCAAAAGAAAGTAGGGACCTGCAGCTATAAGGAACTGAATTTTGCCAACAACCACACGATCTAGAAAGAAAACCCAGAGTCCCAGAAAGGAACACAGCTTGGCCAACATCTCTGATTCAGTCTTCTGAGACCCTGAAACTGCATCTGTACTTTTGCCCTACAGAAACTGTGAGATAATAAATAAAGGGTGTTATTTTAAGCCTCTGTGGTTGTGGTTACTTATACATCACAATAGAAAATTGGAACAGGTTGACCTTCATTCCTGTTAGTTTGTTTCTGGGCCTGTGTTCCAGAGCTACTAACTCTGCTTACCCAACCCACTGTGCTAGCACCATTGTCCCTGAGTTCCCCAGTGGAGAGCCAGGATTCTCCATTTCCTGGGCCTGCACACGATTCTTGGTCAGGAAACTGTTTACCGTGCTCATCTCCTGGGGTCTACGTCCTTGTTTTGACTTAAACACACAACTTTCTAGCCAATCTCTGCACAAACTGACCTGACTGTTTCCTTTTTCCCCCACAACATTGACAGTCACCCTATCGTTTACCAGTCCAGGCAGTCCTTTTCTTTAAGCCAGTCTTTTCTTTCTGCAGCTACTCCAAGACCTGATATTAAAGGGAGGAAAGAGTTTTGATCAATCAGTGTAAAACAAAATCAGCTCAGAAAAATCTGGTCACAATCATCATCATTTTAATGAAGGGGAACATAAAGTTAGTGCCTTCTTAGCCAGGAGTCGTTTGTCCATCAGTGAGCGATACAGACTCTGAACCTTTGAGGAAATGTTTGAGATAATCTGGCCAATGCTGATAGTGTGGGGGTAAATTCAGGACAATCGAGCAACCTTGCTGGTACAAGATCTCGCTTGGTGAGGTGTGCCACAAGCTTGCCACCCCCAAACTGATATTCTCACTTTGCCCTCAAGACTATGAACTCTGCCAGTACCTTTGTTTACCACTCAGAGTTGCAGCTGCTGTCTTTGGATGAGGGAGAAGAGAGACTTACCCCTGGGAGTCCAGATTTGTAGAAGTTCCAGGTAGAAGCAGGAGTCAGGAAAACGTAATATTTGTCTTCTGCAGCAGTTCATGCATCTTTTTGTTTGTAAGACACTAAAGGCCTAAATTGAAATTATCTCTTCCACCAATGCTTTCTCTCTCATATTGCTATTGTTCTTTATTTCTGCTGTCCATGCTTTTATTTTTCCTTTTTGGAATCCATAAGAAGAGAATACCATTCCCAACTTAGGTGAGGGGTCATCCTCCATTTACCCTCCTGTCTTTGCATAAGTGTATGATGTTTCATATGGCAAATACTGTATCAAATGAATTGTATGACATAACTAGATACAGAGCAGCATTTTGTGAAAAATAAGTACTGCTTTGGAATAAAAATTACTTACAATTTTTTTTCTTTTTTCTTTTTTGAGATGGCGTTTCACTCTTGTTGCCCAGGCTGGAGTGCCATGGCACGATCTTGACTCACTGCAACCTCCACATCCTGGGTTCAAGCAATTCTCCTGCCTCAGCCTCCTGAGTAGCTGGGATTACCGGCACCCACCACCATGCCCTGCTAATTTTTATATTTTTAGTAGAGGCGGGGTTTACCATGCTGGCCAGGCTGGTTTTGCACTCCTGGCCTCAGTTGATTCTCCCACCTTAGCCTCCCAAAGTGCTGGGACTGCAGGTGTGAGCCAGTGTGCCTGGCCACAAATCTTAATATATTAAATATATAGGATTCTTTTGCTATTTGAAGGAGGGGGATAAAATACTGAAACATTTGAAATTAATGATGAGGAGAATGAAGACTCTTAAAAAAAAAAACCTTTTCATATAGGAATCTTTGAAGCAAAAGCAAAGGATTATACCCTACTCATCACATGAAAGAAAGTACAAAGGAATATTGTAAATGTTTTATGAGTTGAATCATGTTTAGATGAAATCTGCATTTACCACAATTAGAGTGAAATAAGCGGGTAATGTAAAGGTTGGAAATGTTTAATATATTTTCCAGATTTTCTGAGTTTCAACTGCTTAAATGAAAATATTTAGAGAAGACCAAGTCTTATGGGTGAGATCAAAACCTTAGAGATTGGAAAGAAATGAGTTTTTCCCCTGTTCCCCACAGCATGTGCACAGCCTATGGCCTTTGCTTACTGGCAGAATGTGGGATGAACTTCATAGGCCCTGAGAATGTGGGTTTTTCTCACCAAAGTTAGCAGCAGATATTTTAAAAACAGCTTTCAAAACAGCAGATGCCATTTTTTATTAAAAAAACCCCACATGAGTCAGATTTAAGACAAACTAAAATTTATTACTCTAGGTGAAGACTTCTTAATTGTTCTTACTTAATAAGACTTTTATCATAATAAATACAATTCATGGACTTTTATCATAATAAAAACAATTCAAAGTGAATGGTTGGAAAGTAATCTCATTGCCAAGGTTCATCAAAAATGCAAAAAAAGTGATATGTTGATTGATTGTTTGATCAATTAATTTAGAGAAAGAATACAGCTACTCTGGATAAATCCTATGTACAGTGAACATTCTGCATTATTTATTTCTTGGAATAAGGAATAGACATTGGTCTTAGCCCACCTTGTATAGAACTAGTTTTGTAGTTCAGATTTGTAAAATTCCTGCAAAGCAAAGTAACAATGAAGAAAAACCTAGAGATTAGAAATAGGGAAGAGCTCACCTTGCCTTGAACCATGATATTTCTATGAAGTAAAGTGAGTTATACTTCCTTGAGCCACTCGCAAATGCTTGTTTCAAAGTAAAAAGGCATCTGTAACTTTAAGAGGTAAAAAATACAGAGATGGTAAACACCACCACATAATACAAATCTACAGCCCCCCAAACCTGTAATTTATACCTTCTTACATTCCGGTAACTTTGAAATGAGTTTACAGTTTATTTAAACATGTACCAAATGTAATTTACTTGGAGCTACAGAACAATCCAGAGTAGATTTGTTAGGCCAGGCTCTGAACCATCAAAGAAGAAAATTTGTCATATGAGTTGCTGGCATAGCCTTAACTCTGTAGCAGGGCACACTAAACTGTGATAATTTTTCTTTGGTCATTTTCGGCTCTTAATACCATTTTGATAGTTGATGTAAGAGCTAATTCTCTTTCTCCTTTGATCACAGAAAGTTGAATTTTTAGTGATTACAGTTTTTAAGGATTTTTTTTTCTTTGATGGAAGCGTAAAGAAGGTCAGAGCTTTAATTCTGTCCATTAAAGTGGGACAGAGCCTTGACTTAAAAAAGAAGACAGTCACTGGGAAGGAGGGCACCAGCCTAGTGGCCTCTAATGGACATTATTTTCTGGTAGATGGTTGAGTTCTCTGTGACTTCAATCTTATCCCTTTTTTCTGGCATCTTTGGCCATTTCCATCACCTTTCTCAAATTTAAAATCATTATGGGCACTGTTTTAGTCATTTCTGCCATTCTTTTCCCCAATATTTTGTCCTTCTAAAATATTCTATGCTTTATCCCCACTACCCGTGTTCTTCCTTCAGCAGGCTTTTCCCTCTTACCCACACCTTGTTCTTCCTCAGGGCCATTTCCACTCTGCCTACCACAGTGTTGCTGGGTTTGCTCCTCTCCACTAAGGTGCATGCTGTCTTGCACACTGCATGGCCCTTTCTCACCACACAGTGAGTTAAACAAATGTGCAAAGCACCCAGTACTTGCAGGCCTTTCTCAGGATTTTCCTGAGTTCATTCTTTCTACATACTAACTCTCTTTATAAGAACTTGTGATTGTCACAACCTGTTTGGCAGCTACTTCATGGGGTAAACTAAATGGCAGTTATACATTTCTTCTGTAATCTGCCATTTTGTACGCATGCTTTTGGGAAGGGTTGTATTTTTTAAAACACTCCCGCTGGCAGGAAACTGATAACCAACAGTTTCTACACATTACTACCACAATTGTACTTCCCAATATTTTGAGTTAGGAGTTAAATGACAATCCTAAGCAGTTTTGCAGTTGCCTTTATTGTGATGTCTTGGTGTATCACTGTCAGACACACTTAGAATCTGGAGCTGAGACAATGAGAAAAATATGTATGTCTTTAAAAAGTAATGCTTTCAGGAAGCCTGATTCTAACTCTGAAATGTAATCGAATAATTAAATCACATTTTGAGTTAATGCAAACTTTCCCTAGTTAAGATCTTTCTATTCTTATCTTGGTACTTAAAAGTGTTGTTCTTTCTTGCAAATCTTGCTAAAGTCTAAAACCTTTGTAACACGCTGGGACTATTGTCTGCCTGAGGAAAAAACCCTAAAACTATCTATAATTAGTAGGTCCTATTGTGAAACACCACCAGCATACTTACAGGATCCTGCGGCTGCAGATTTAAAGACTGGTTATAAAGCGTAAAGAAGGAGTTCAGGAGAAAATGTCTTGACATTGCAAGTCTATTTCCATGTTTTTTGTTGTTGTTGTTGTTTTCTGAAAAAGGCAATCCTACTACAGATGAGAAATGTAACACTGAAATACAATGTGAAAGTATGTGGGTTTCTAAGAAGGTCAAATTTTATATTTAACTTCATCAAGGTCACTCTCATTTTCCTATTTTATATGCTGCATCTCAAACATGCTCATGAATAGTCATCTCTATAATCAAAGAATGACACTAGTCATGTCATCAGAGTTTGTCTTTTTAAGTACGACAGCCACAGTGCTTAGAAAAATATAATGTCACCTTAACCACAGCATGATGTTGAACCCATTGGCTATATGCACATAGTGGGCTGCAGGAGAATCTGGACCATACCCAGTGGTCTGTGGGTTCAGGGCACCTGTGGCCTGTTAGAGAGAAGCCCAGCTCATGGAGTTTAAAATCTGAAGTGATGTAGTGATGTAGCTGCCCAGCTACCACAGGCTGCAAATGATGCTGGGCCCTGAAGGCACTCCTGCTAAACTTGCAAGTTCTGTTCTGACCTCTCATCTACTTTTGTGTTTTTCCCAGATTCTTTCATTTTTAAACAAATGTAAGTATTAATGGTTGCATTGAAAGAATCCAGACCAGGCTTTGAAGACCTTTCCTTCATGCTTCAAGCTTCTGCTGTGGTCCTGTGTTCTAGTATGTGAGAAGCACATGCAGAAAGCAGAAGACTCTTGCCGTGCGATAATATATGAAAGATGACCAGTGACGATTCGTCTTTCTTTCCCTGGTCCTTTCTGGTTGCAAAATAACTAGCATCCCCCTTTCAATGCCACAATGCAACACTCCCTGATAAAACCAACACTGAGTCATGAGTGGCTAAGGAAGGTTTATTTTTCTGGTCATGGGTGCTGGTGAGAAAAGTATCCAGCCCTGCCTTGTGCAAGCCATGTGGCATGCCAACCAGTCATGCCAGGCCAAGGTCCACGAGAACCCGGGGAAATTTTCTCCCAAGGTCTCTAAAATATGTGAGGGAGACTGAGACTGAGACTGAGTATACTATTGTCTCCGTGTACTGAAGAGGCTGACTTTTCTACAGAGGTTTTATCATTCAGGATAGGGATAGATCTACAGCTAAATTTATTTTAATGTTTGCTTTTAAATTTTACAATCTACTCTTTTAGTATTAATAACCTTAAAAAGAGAAAATGCAAGTTTAATAAAAAATAAAATACTACATTTTTGTTTCTCAACAGAGTTGATGATAGACACATAACCTGTACAGAAGGTTTTGACATTTACCATCCGTCATAGGAGTGTACTGATTTTATAGAAACTTGAAAACTGGAAAACACACATGTGCTCAGGAAATATCAGCACTTATTTGTTTAGTTAGCCACCGACAGGAGCTAGAACCGAGTTATGAAGTCTACTTCAGGTTCTACAGCTGAGATTGAAAACTTCTAGCCTAACTCTGGAGTAATGGATGGACATGTCTCCCAGCTTATCCCTGGGTGAGCGGGCAGGTCTGCTTTCAGACCACAGCTGAAAGGGCCTGGAGCTGATTTATAAGGTCCTTTCAAGGTCCACAGTGGAACTGAAGACAGCAGGTCAGCCTGCTGGGGCCCTGATGAGCATGTTTCTCTCTGGGTTCTGGAGACTGGATGCTGGCAGGACTGCCCTCAAGCCTGGCTAGGAGGGGTTGGGGACAAGATTTGGGGTCCTTTCTGGATCTGCTGTGGGATGTAGGTCAGCTGGCCTGTCTTCTGGGGCACATAGAGGCAGGCATCTCTCCAGGTCACTGGGTTGCCAGACTGCTCTCAGACCTCAGCTGAGAGGGGTTGGGGCTTATGTTCAAGGCTGTTTCAAGATCTGCTGTGGACCTGGGGTTGGCAAGCCTGCCTTAGGGACTCTCCAGCTGTGTCTCCCTCTGGGTGCTTGTGCAAGCAGGACTGATGTTGGGATACAGTTAATAGGGGCTAGGGCCAGTCACAGAGTTGTTTTAGGATTCGCAGCTGGGATGGAGGTCAATGGCCTGTCTCTGGAGGCACTAGCATATGTGAAACTCTTTTTGGGCTTCTTGGTGGATGGTTTTGGTAGCAGAACCAAGGCCAAATGGGGCTGTAGTCAAACCCTTGGGGAAACAGGGCCATTTCTTGGTCTGCAGCCCAAATCACAGTCTGTGAGTCTGCTACCTGGGTAAAGGTCTACCCTCTCAAAAGGAAGCTACTAGGTTTTGGGTTCTACTGGCATTTCACATACTCCTACCTCAATCCCAGGGCTTCTACAAAGGCACTTTTGTCCATGAGTGGATGTGAAGTAATTGTTGGTTTGGGAAGATAGCAGCCAAGGGACCTCCTTTTCTATCATCTTGCTAGTGTCTCTCTCTTTTACAATGTGCCCAATGTTTACACTTGATTATTTCTGTCAATACACTAGACAAATACTTATAAAGAAAAGGAGCTGTTCTCAAGAGCGATAATATTGTACTGGTATTTCTCCAATTGAAAAATCACATTTCTAAGGGCATAATGACAACCAGCTGAAAGATCTGTTAAAATAAATTTGTCCTGTCAAGACCCACTTAGTATTGAA
The DNA here is from genome assembly GCF_000001405.40 of Homo sapiens. Classification (NCBI taxonomy): domain Eukaryota; kingdom Metazoa; phylum Chordata; class Mammalia; order Primates; family Hominidae; genus Homo; species Homo sapiens. The sequence goes on from NC_000002.12 coordinate 107,249,858, forward strand.
AGTGAAAACAGATGACTTAGTCCTTTCTTTCTCTCGTTCTCTTTTCCTATCTGTATTTAAAGCCTTTGTTTATGTATTTATTTGTTTTTTAAAAAAACTTTTAAAGAGGAGTTCACAGCAGAAGGTTCACAGATTTCCCATGTACCCCCTGCCCTCACACATTCACAACCTTCACCATTATCATCATCCACCACCAGAGTGGCACATTTGTTAAAACTGATAAACCTACATTGATACATCATCACCCAAAGACCATGGTTTGCATTAGGGTTCACTATTGGTATTGCACATTCCATGGGTTTGGACAAATGTATAATGACAACATGTATGAAACATTACAGCGTCGTATGCAGACAGTAAACTGTTTCACTGACCTAAAAATCCTCTGTGTTCTGCCCATTCAGCTTCCCCCACTCCAATTCCTAGCAACCACTGACATTTTTACTGTCTCCATAGTTTTGCCTTTTCCAGAATGTCATGTAGCTGTAATCATACAATATGTATGATTTTTCAGACTGACTTTGTTCACTTAGACATATGCATTTAAGGTTCCTTTATGTGTTTTCATGGCTTGATACCTCCTTTCTTTTTAGCACTGAATGTTATACCACTGTATGGATGTAACACTGTTTATTTATCCATTCACTCACTGAAGTACATCTTGGTTGCTTCCAAGTTTAGGGAATTATTAATAAAGTTATATCCACGTGCAGGTTTTTGTGTAGACGTAAGTTTTCAACTATTTTGGGTAAATACAATACTAAGAAGTACTGGATCGTATTAGAAGAGTATGCTTAGTTTTGTAAGAAACTGCTAAATTGTCTTCCAACATGGATGTATTATTTTGCATTCCTATCATCATTGAATGATGTTTCTCATTTCTTCACATCCTCACTGGCATTTGCTATTGTCAGTATTCCATATTTTGGCCATTCTAATAGGTGTATAGTAGTATCTCAATGTTGCTTAATTTGCATTTCTCTGGTAATATCTAATGTGGAACTTTTAAAAATGCTTATTTGCATTCTGTATATCTTCTTTAGTGAGATGTTTGCAAGGTCCTTGGTCCACTTTTTAACTTGGTTGTTTATTTTCTTGTTGTTGGGTTTTAAGAGTTCTGTGTGTTTTCTGGATGGCAATCCTCTATTAGATGTGTCTTTTGAAAATATTTCCTCTCAGTCTGTGGCTTGTCTTCTTATTCCTTTGACATTCTCTTTTGCAGAGTAGAAGTTTTTAATTTTAATGAAGTCCAGATTACCAAATTTTTCTTTCATGGATAGTGCTTCTCCACTGTAACTATGAAATCATTGTCATACCCAGGGTCATCTAGATTTTTTCCTTGTGTTATCTTCCAGGAGTTCCATAGTTTTTTGTTTTACATTTAGGTCTGTGATTCATTCTGAGCAAATTTTCATGATAAGACCACCTTTGTCTGGATTTATTTATTTTTTTTGCATGTGAACATCTAGTTGTTCCAGCACCATTTGTTGAAAAAACTATCTTGGCTCAATTGTATTGTCTTAGCTTCTTTGTCAAAGATCAGTTGACTATATTTATGTGGGTTTATTTATGGGCTCTCTATTCTGTTCCATTGATATATGTGTCTATTCTTTTGCCAATATCACACTGTCTGATTACTGTAACTTTATAGTAAGTCTTAAAGTCAGGTGGTGGCAGTCCTTCAACTTTGTTCTTTCCTTCAATATCATGTTGACTATCCTGGGTTTTTTGCCTCTCCTCATAAACTTTAGAGTCATTTTTTCAATAGTTATAAAATAACTTGCTGGGATTTTGATTGGAATTGCACTGAATCTATAGATCTAGTTGTGAAATCTGACATCTTGAAAGTATTGAGTCTTACTATCCATGAGCATGGACTACCTCTCCATTTACTTAGCTCTTTGATTTCTTTCATCAGAATTTGTTAAAGTTTTCTCATATAGATGTTGTACACATTCTGTTAAATTTCTATGTTAGTATTTCATTTTGAGAGGGTACTGATGTAAATGATATTGCGTTCTTAATTTCAAATTCCACTTTTTCATTGCTGACATATAATAAAGCAATTTGCTTTTATATATTAACCTTATATCTGAAACCTTGCTATAATTGCTTTTCAAAGAGTGTATTTTTGTCCATATTAAAAATTTTCAACATAGCTGATCATGTCATCTGCCAACACAGACAGATTTTCTTCTTCCTTTCCAACCTGTGGACACCTAGTTTCTTTTTCTTGTCTTATTGTATTAGCTAGGTTTTCTAGTATGATGCTAAAAAGGAGTGGTGAGAGGAGGCATCTTTGCCTTGTTCCTAATTTTAGTGGGAGAACTTCTAGTGTCTCACCATTAACCACACTGTTATCTGTAGATTTGTGGTAGATATTCTTTATCAAGTTGAGGAAATCCTTCTTTATTCCTAGTTCACTGAGAATTTTAACCACAAATATGTGTTAGATTTTGAAAAATGCTTTTTCTGCACCTATGGAAATGATCATGTGTTTTTTCCTTGTTAGCCTGTTGATGTGATGTATTATATTAATCAATTTTCAAATGTTAAACTAGTCTTGCATTCCTGGTATAAGTTCCACTTGGTCTTGGTGTATAATTATTTCTATATATTGTTGGATTCAATTTGCTAATATTTTGTTGAGGATTTTTGCATCTATGTTTATAAGAGATGTTGGTCTGTTGTTTTCTTGGAATGTCTTTGATTTTGGTATTAGGGTGATGCTGGACTCATTGTGTGAGTAAGAAGGTATTCCTTCTGCTTCTGTCTTCTGAAAGAGAATATAAGGAATTGATACAATTTCTTCCTTAAATGTTTGGTAGAATTCACTAGTGAATCTACCCGGACCCAGTGCTGTTTGTGAAGGTCATTAATTATTGGTTTAATCTAATAGATATAGCCTTATTAAGATTGTGTATCTCATGTGAGTTTTGACAGATGGTGTCTTTCAAGATATTGGTTCATTTCATGTAAGTTATCAAATTTATGGGTATAGAGTTTCTCATAGTATTCTTACAGTATCCTTTTACTGCCCATGAGATCTGTAGTGATGTTCTGACTTTCATTTCTGATATTAGTAATTTGTGTCCTTTGTCTAATCAGCTTTTGATTTTACTGATTTTTTTCTATATTGGCTTTTTAATTTCAATTGTATCGATTCCCTCTCTAATTCTGATTTATTTTCTTCGGCTTACTTTGGGTTTAGTTTGCTTCTTTGTCTAGTTTCCTTACGTGAAAGTTTAGATTATTGACTTTAGACCTTCTTTCCTTTCTAATATATGCTGTAAATATTGTAAATTTTGCTGTAAGATCTAATTTTGCTGTATGTTTGATAAGTTGTATTTTCATTTTCAGTTAGTTGACAATATCTTTTAAATTCTGAAGTTTTCTTCTTTGACCTATGTGTTACACAGAAGTATGTTGTTTAATATTGAATTATTATGGGGTTTTCCAGTTATCTTTGTTACTGATTTATAATTTAGTCCTGATTTAGTTGGCTAGTAGTTATTTTAACAAATATGTGCCTAAGATGAAGCTTGAAAGACTGCTATTACAGAAGCTGTATTACATTTCACACAGTGAAACATCTTTGTATTTATATCAAACACCTGTTATTCTAAACTAATTGTGCATATTTTTATTTGCAATTTTTTTGTGCATACATGAAAAGTGAACTGACCCTTACTGAAATGTTAGCTTCATTAGCAAAAGAACTTGGCAAATAGTTAAATGATTACACTTTTAATCAGTGACACCAGATACTTCAAATATAAAATCAGTTAAAGTAAAACCAAAAATTATTTGATTTATTAACTCTATTTATGAAGCTAAATGTTTGAACTTTTTTCTGTCAAAAATTAAATATCTGGCATAACTTGTGAATGCTATTGTAAATTAAATTAAAATTCAACATGGAGAGTAGAAATTATTTGTTTTTGTGCTTATACTATGAATATAAGTTTTACTGAAGCATAGTGTGGAAAGAAAATGAACAATGTTCTAAACTAAATTAAGAAACCTATAGAGCAGAAATGTATGTGTAATTAGCTGTAGCACAAACAGAGGCCATCGTTACAACCAATCACACAGGATGCATGTTGCTACCAATTGAAACTGAATTTGCAGTTAACAAAATTTTCTATGTACTTATACCTAATTTTCTATATATTTATTCTATATATTTATAAAGATTTCTATGTATTTATACCTGAGCTACAACATTGTTTCTGATGGTGTTGAATTAAAATAATAAAGTAATGAATAAATAAATAAATAAAACTTCAGTCTTGCAGTCTGAGCTTTCTTTCTTTGCTGTTCATTATGAATCCAGTTTTAGAAAATGTGTGAGCCTTTATGAAGGATTAGTTTAAAATCACAGTAAGTGCCCTCTGTGGTACTGAACATATTTTGGAAACAAGTCCCTTACATTTTTGTTGTATTTTCAAAACTGGTTGAAAATTTTTAACTAAATAATTGGACACATGGAGCACCAAACAACTTTGTCTTTCAAAGCTTTTAGTAAATTGTAATCATTGAGGATAAAATTTGCTAACAGGGAGAGAGTGCTCTTTATTCCTACAGAACCACAGAAGCAGAGAACACATCCGATGAGGGGAGATCAGAGAGTCTACATGAAATGATTTTGGCATTTGCTATACTTTGGATAATCTTGACTTAGAAGAAGAATATTTTAATGATGATGCTATTTTTAATTAGAAAATTTCTATTCTAAACCAGCATATAATAAAAATGAAAAGATCACAATTTTGGACCATCTAAAATTGGCCACAATATTCCAAGAAATAATAGAGATAAATTTTCATGAGCTTTGTGTTATTAAATATTTATTGAAGAAATATTTATTGAAAAATACTTATTGAAGTAACCCAGAGCCATGCGTGGTGATGTGTGTCTCTAGTCCCAGCTATCTGGGAGGCTGAGGTGGGAGGATGGCTTGAACATGGGGCAGTGAGCCTTGATTGCACCATACTCTCCAGCCTGGGCCACAGAGCGAGACCCTGTCAAAAACAAACAAACAAACAATGATACTCAGACTGCAGTATCCTTTTTAATAGAAAATAATTTTGAGACTATCCTTCATTTAGCAGAATTTTATCTGAATTTATCAGATACCTCAGCACCCATAGAAAGTCTATTTTCTCCTTTAAAAAATGCTATGCTTTTCAAAGAAGAGTCAACTAAATGTGTCAACAATTTCAAATGTATTAACCATAAATACATACAGAAGAATAGTGCAGGTAATTTTGTGAAAAACATTTTAACACAATAAGGTTATATTGAAATTACTGACTCCAGAAAAATACTAGGGGCATGAAACTCATTAAAGCATGAACTATATTCCAAGCTTTGCATATATATTTATTTAATTTACACAATCACTATAAAATTTTACCCCAGTGTATACACATACGCGCAAGTATATGGAAATAAGTGTATTTTAAAAATAGATTCAGAACAGAACTGTTGTATAGGCCAATATAATAATGTAATAAGACCACATTATCAGTCAATCAATAAATATATCAGAAGTGTTCATCTGAATGATCGCACAGGCCCCACAGTTTGGGCGGTGAGTAGGACCCGGGTCTACTTCTCGCCCCCTCTGTGCGCTTGGCTCTTCAGGCCCGCAGTGCACAGGGCTCGTACTCTGCTGTGTTGTCTTCTCTCTGCCTTGGCTGCGCAGTATCAAAGCCCTCCCTATTTACGGGGAAACCTTTACCTCGCGAATCTTGGAATCCCACCGCCCACCACAGCAGGTGAAAACGTCAGATGCTGGCTTTCCGGCCTTCTGTGCGCTTAGGGCCAAAGCCTGTGTTAGGCTTGGCCTCAGATCCCCGCACCACGGAACTTGTAGTGGGAGCCAGTGACTCAGAGTTGGGAAAGCAAAGATGTCGTTACCCGGGGGCACATGGGGACTGCTGCAGTGGTCCTGGCGTCCAGTGTGCAAGGACAGCACAGGTATTGCTCCAGCAGTGGTGCTCAGAAGCCAATCCCCCTTCCCCCCGGCAAACCCCCAGCCAAAGCCTAAGTGGAAGCGTGGGAGCCCAGCAGGAGGCGCAGAGGCAGCAGCTGCGGAAGCTGGTGCAGGTGGGCCGGGTGGGCCACGGTCTTCGCTGCCCTGGCCGTGTTGACAGACTTGGCTGTGACCGTGGCTCCTGCTCAGCCCTCCTTTTTGCTGCTTATTTTCTAAGTCTGGTTCTCCTGGCTGTTGTGGGATTCTGGAATCAACCATCAACCCAACATTTCGTTTTGTTGTCGTGAATAATTTCCTTTTCTGCTCTAATCGGCCGGAGTTTCTGCGCTCATGCTGAAAAGCCATGGCTGCTATTACCTCCAAGGACATACACCAGTGTCAAGCCAAGAGGTCTAAGGCTGTGCTTGGGCTTGGACCACGGTGGGTGTCCCGGCTCTACATAGAACTCACATGAAGAACTTTTCAAACTGTAAACAGTAACTCAGCAGGAAGTAGGAGTGCTTCAACCCTGAAAATAGCATGGAGACCAGGGAACAACACAAGTGTCATCCTGATATCAATTGGGGTGTCCTGGTCTGTTTAGATTCACATGAAATCAGATCATGGCCATAATATGTAAAATGTAAATCTAGCATCCCGGTCCTTCTGGGATTTGATTTTCTTGATTACTTTTGTTTCGTGTGCCCACTTTTACCTAGGTAGTATGTTTGAACGTTCACATTTGTTTAACAAAACATATGATACACTAGGCTTTACCAATAAGAACTACGTATTCAGCCCTCTGAATTAGGTATTATTACTATCCCCATTTTACAAATGAAGAACTTGAAGTTTAAGAAATAATTTTCTGAGTCACAAAATTATTGCCAGAGTGACAGAGTGAGTGGTCTGAGGGCAAATCCCAGGCTCTATGGAACTGGCTGGTACCACCCATGCTGGGCCTGCTGTCCTTTTCTATCCCTTATCTTTTCCCCTAAAGTATGGACAACAGGAGGTTATGTCTGCAACAGATTTTAAGTTTTGAGGAAAAGACTTGTGTCTGAGTGAGAGGGTTGAGAGAATGTGTTATTAAGCATTGCTATACCACACCAAAGAATGAGCAAGCAAACAAGACAGGGTGACAACAAGATCCTTTCAGTTAGATTTTAGACCCCCATATCCCTGAAATGTCCTTGGTCATTTCTGCTGGCCAAACCCTTTCGTAGGATATTTGCTTCTACTTTCTCACTGAACTTTTCCAAATTTTCTCCCTCCAGGAAACCCCAATTAATTACTTTGATTATAGTGATAGAACTGATCTTATTTCTTCACTTTCTGAGCCATGTCCTGAGGTTTATTTTTTCCTGAGTGACTTATCCTTGAACTGGTTAAACCAAAAGCTATCCTGAAAGTAATGGTGCCTCTCCCTAGTAGGCAGACAGAATTATAGTTGTACATTCAAGGGCTTTTCTCTTTCCTATACTAGCCTAGACTACTAGGCAAACAATAAAATGGAATGAAATGAAATAGAATAAATAAACAAAGACCAAGTAAAAGCTAGTAAGAATACCCAGGCAATGAGAGTCCCACAGACAGGTCCAGTTGAGTAGGTAGAAACGGGGGTGAGGAGAATGAATGGAGGACTTGTAGGAGGGTGAAGGTGGCCGGGGGTGGAGTCTTGGGATTCCTCATGAATGGGCCTCTCTCTCCAGGGTGGTGGAGACCACAACATGATTCTCTGTCCTAAAGCAGCTGCACATCTAAACCAAAGCCAACAGCAACAGCATGTCAAATAGGAATGGACTTAGGCGGAAGTACTCAGAGAGGTAGCAGGAGGCCAATTCTGGCTGGACAGAGAAGCCAGCCAATACCAGCCACAAAGCTACTCCACAGCTGGTCCAAACAGTGCTAGAGTGCATTGTCCAGCAACGAAGCCACAGAGAGAAACAGCCAGGGCTGTGAGCTTCCCATGAAACTCCCCAGACCAAACCGTGGCTACACTTGAGTTAAAGTTGAGTAAGAATAAGTGCAGTAAATGTATCCATCCTGCAGTTATTTTTATCCGTTGATTTCTTAGTAATGTAACTTTTGAGAAATTCTAATTGATATTAGCAAAGCCACATTGAAGAAGAATTTTCTATGTTGCATAAGAGCTGTGGGTAAAACAGAACGTCCCCCAGGGGCTGTGATGGTGAGTGCAGGCAAAGGTGAGTGGAGATGGCTGGCAGGTAGCAGGAGACAAAGGACAGGGCAAAATGAGAAGGAGGGAGGATGTAGAGAAGGGGAGCCAGGCAGAGGGAGAGAAAGGCATTGACCCAGGAGTGGGAAGCAGGGTACTGGTGGATTTTTCGGGTCCTTTCTCTACTGGGATCTCAGCTTCCTACTCAGATTTTTGCTACAGCAGTGGAGCGTGTGTTTATGCTGAAGCAGCCACATATGACCAAACAAGGAAGGACTAACCAGTGACCTTACAGAACTAGATTGACTAGTTAGCTTGGGTCAGTGAGGAAAACTGGAAAGAAAGGCCAAGGTGCTTAACCTCTCAAGCAAGGTGTAGCATTGGCTTTCTATGTGGTGTTAGGAAATGTCTGCGGGTCTCACTCACTGGAGATGCCACTGCAATTAATAGGTAGGGTCACATTTGTTAAATTCTGTGGCCCATTTCAATATGCTAATTGCAACCCTATTAAGAAATGCTGGGAAAAGCATATTAACAAGATTTGAGGTGAGAGCGGAGAAAGAAAAGTAAAGAGAGAAGAGATAGGGGAGAGAAGAGAAAGGGAAATGTATGGGATGAAACATTACACGTTGATGGATGCTCTGCCATGCATTGCTGGTCAGTCACGGTGCTGAAAATAGGACCATGAATCATTTCTGTTGTAGACTTTAAATAAGGGTGGGAGAGAGGGCAAAGGGAAGGGAAGACTGTGGAGAGACAGGCAAGATAAGCACAAACACAGGCTGCGCACATCACCATTTCCTTCACCACATTGCAATTGAGCACTTCCTCCTGGACTCTACCTGCTCCTTTCTCCACCTTCCCTGTGTCCAGGCCTTTTGGAGGCAGGTATTGAAGCCGTTATAACATGTATCTGGGATTTATTTTTTTTATTCAAATATGGTGAGGCCAACAGATCAGGAGATGACTGCCTTTGAAAAGACAGTTTGTGACTCACAGTTCCCCGGAGGAGGGGGCACATCACACGTCAAAGAGCCACAGGGAGCACCAGGGCCAGTCAGGAGCCAGAGGTAGGGTCGACAGGGTGGGGGGGTATTGGTGGGGGTGGGGAGCACTTTTGTGGTTTCTCAGTAAAGGAATGGGTGAGGCAGAGTAAGCAGCTGAGCAGACTTAGAATTGGATAGTTTGAATAATTTCACCAAGCTCTGGGATATATAGGTGTCTCCAGTTGTCCACTTCTGGGCCCTGGGTGATTTAAGGCAGGGGGATAGTGTCCCAGACTGCAGACATCTGATAAAAGGAGGCAGGTGGAGGATATGGACTTGGGATTGGTTAGCTGCCTATCAAAGGCATGACCATGGGGGAAAGTTGTCTGTTATCTCTGGGAATTAGCTGATGCTGGGAGGGGAAGCTCCCCTCTAGGTCTTGAAGGCCCCAAGATATCAAAACATCATAAAATGTAAAAAATGTGACTAATACAGAGATTAGTGCAGAAACAGAAAGATGCTCAGGCAGACATTCAATGTGGAAAATCCTTGTTTCTCATCTCGGCTCTATGAAGTAGGCAGGGGCTCATTCCTAGTCGCCTGCTGTCTGGCTCCAGTGTGGCTAGCCAAGTTCATGGGTATCAGGTTGCCAGATCCAGCTGCCTTATTGATGGCACTGGTGACACTTCAACCTCAGAACACTTTTTTTCAGTTTTCCTCACTTCATTCATGCAATATACATTTCTTGAGTAGCCAGGGATTGAGTAGGCACTGGGGCTAAGCCATAGATTGATTGAACTGATGGTCCCTGTTCACACCTTCCCTAGCTCTACTACCTTTATAAAGTGACTTTCCAGCTCCGTTCACTGAGAGCTGGAATCTGTTACCCTGGTTTGGCTTTGTACTTTGCAGTGGCCAAAAGAATTCAGCACAAGTCATGTGCTGGTGCTGAGCCTAGGCCTCAGGAAGTCTTTATGTGCTTCAGTGCTCTTTCCTAGAACTTCCCCTCCACCATAAGGACAAGTCCAAGCTAGCTTGCCAGAGGATGAGAGACCAGATGGAGCAGAGATAAATTTTCCTTGCTGAGGGCATCCTCACCAGCTAGCCCCTGTCCATCTGCTGATTGCGAGTGCATGCACAAGCCCAGCCAGCATCAGCAGCAGGGCTGCCCAACCAGTCCTATACTCTTGAGGGAAAATGAATGTTTAATACTGTATGCCACAGAAGGATTTAGGGTTGTTTGATATGCAACATCATTTAGGGGCAGTAGAAAATGGATATAAAATATGTAGGTGAAAGAGAGAGGACTGATCACAAATGTTTCCAAAACAATACTGGAGACAGGTATTTTCAGACCACAGTAGAAAGTGTGGGCTTGATGTTGTCATATAGAAGAGGTTTATAACCCAGAAAGGATGGTCAGAAGAACTTTCTGAAGAAGCTGAGGTCTGAGACCGAAGGAGAAATGGAAAATAGCTACAGAAGGAAGGTGGTTTAAATGTCATTGCAGCGAGAGGGATGGTCAGGGTTCTCTAGAAGGACAGAACTAATAGGATAGATGTATATATAAAGCGGAGTTTATTAAGGAGTATTGACTCATGCGATCACAAGATGAGGTTCCACAATAGGCCATCTGCAAGTTGAGGAGAAAGGAAGCCAGTCTGAGTCCCAAAGCTAAAGAACTTGGAGTCCAATGTTCGAGGGCAGGAAACATCCAGCCTGGGAGAAAGATGGAGGCCAGAAGACTAAACAAGTCTAATGTTTCCACGTTCTTCTGCTTGGCTTTATTCCGGCTGAGTTGGCTGCTGATTAGATGGTGCCCATCCAGATTGAGGGGGTGTCTGCCTCTCCCACTCCACTGACTTAAATGTTAATCTCCTTTGCCAGCACCCTCACAGACACACCCAGGAACAATACTTTGCATCCTTCAATCCGATCAAAGTTAACACCAATATTAACCATCACAGATGGGTATATAGGTTCATGGGTGAGAAGGAAAATGCTGAGGGACTGCCAGGACTTCAGGGTGGCTGGAGTTAATTGTGTGTGTGCATGTGTGTGTGTGTGTGTGTGTATGTGTGTGTGTGTACGTATGCATGTGCAGGGGGTTGGTGGACATTGAAGCAAGGGCCTGTCAGGTCATCTTGGGACTTATGTCATGGTTTATTCAGAAGTCAGTGGAAAACCACTGAAGACTTTTCAGCAAGACAGTGGCACAATTCAATTTACATTTTGAACCACAGTTTCTGCAAAGGTAGAGGGTTGATTGGAAATAGTGTCACTAGGACCTGAGAAGACAGTAAAGAGGTCTTTAATTGAGATCATCAATGCCTGATATAAGGCATTGTCTTGGTGATAGATAAACATAGGGGTTAAAATTCACTTGCAAAACATATAAAACTTGTAAAACTAGTCAAATAACTTATAAACATTTTTAAAAGGAAAAGTGATACATTTCATTATGATCAATCCAAATATTACCAACTCCTCTGATTCTTCTTCTCTCTAGCAAACTTGATCTCAGGACAGGCATGTTTTAAATAAAGGCTAAGCTAACATTTACCTGCTAGAGTGAAATCCTTCTGTCTGGCTTCTCGTGGCTATTATCTGCATCATCAAATGGTGGCTGTCACATTACTTTGGCAGTTCTCTGGCTTTATGCTCCAAAGATGTGCTGAGACAAATGTCAATCTCAGGTCCTCAGACACTATAGGAACCTGCCGGCATGGTGAGAGGGTACCCCTGTCACTGGCAATGGCAGAAAGGCTTTCAAGGTGAACTTTTTCAAGATACAGAGTTTGATGGCTCTAGAAGGTGGCCACAGAAGCCTAAATGGAAGCTGCCTTTAATGCATGAGACAGGAATTTAAATTGCACCTGTTATGTACAAATTGTTCATCCTGTCACGTCATGAGGGGGCCCAACTTCAGAGATCATGGCCTGAGTTGAGACTTGAAACAAATCTATTTGAGAGAAACAGATGTGCTGCAGAGGAGGGAAGGGTCCCTGTCCCATCACAAAACGGAGCTGAGGTGACAAAGTGGTGGTGTAGACCAGCACTAGGTAGTTAGGGAGCTTCATCCCATTAGAACCAGAGATATGGGAAGGTCTCATTAAATCAAAGAAGGGTTAGGCATGTTCTTTTCCAGGATATCCTTGTACTAGACAGAGACATAGGCCTTCTGTCCACGAACATACACCAATAACAATGGTGGCTAACACTCATTGCAGCCCATATGAGGTAAATACTATTAATATTCCACTTTTACACAAAAGAGGAAATAGAAGTATACAAAGGCTAATTTGCACAAAGCCAGGTGGCTCAAAAGTCATGGACATGGGCTTGGAACTGAGGTCCAGTGTAGCCCCAAACTGATGTTCTTTTTACTCACCCAATGCCTGGCTTTGAGACCAGACTGGGGCCAGGTTCTAGTTCCTAGAGTTTGTGGGGACAGGTGGACAAGCAAGAGTAACAGAGCAGGACTCACTCAGGGAAGGCAAGGCCTCAGCCCAGGAGAGACATGGGTGGTGGAACCCATATACAGAGAGGAGCTCAGAGATCCAGTCAAGGGAATTGAGGTGCAAAGTTTCAGGGCCCAGTCATGAGAACCAGGATCATAGAATGCTTTGGAGACGTGCCTCAGTCCCTCTCACTCTTGTCAGTATTGGACCTCTACTTGAAAAGTTTATCCCACGGGCATAGCACTGACCTAGAAATAATTGCAGAGTATGCCTACTTGAATACCTATTCTCTTCTTCATTTATGTTTCAATTCCAGATTTTAGTTTAGCACTTGGGGGCCCAAATAAACCCTACGTTTCCAAGCTCCTCCTGTAGTGGGGTGTGACCACATACTTGATGTTCTAGCCACAAAAGATAGCTGAAAGTGAAATGAACATTCTCTATGAAGTGCTCTTTAAAAAGAATGAGCATGTCCTTTTTTTGTTGCTTTCTCCTCACTGCAGGCTAGAATTTGGACATGATGGCTGGAGCAAAAGCAGCCATTCTGGACTGTGAAGTGTCATCTAAGGAAGGCAGAGAGGCATAGTAGACATGAACAGCTTTGGGCTACCTCTCTTTAGATCACTTTTATGTGTAAGGGTAATGAACTATATCTGCATATATGTACATTATATTGCAGCAAACCTAATCCTAACTTAATTACTGAGTTTGTAATTCCTGCTTTACTTTCAGACTAGAGAAATATTTCTTCTCAATGTTCCATTGAAATCAGTGTAGCATTAATGTGAGATTGGGGGAGTGGCACTAGAAGCTGTAACACGGATGTATTCTTTATCATCTTGTCCTATTATCAGTGCTAATTTTCTCTAAAGAGCTGACTTTAGGAGTTGAAGGAAGGATTGCAAAAAAAAAAAAACTCTACTTTCCATATTCAATTCTCTTGATTGCAATTTAATGTATAGCGTCAAGGCACTTTGAAAAAACTGGACCAGTGCATTTTGTACACAGTAACCAAGATACACACACTTCTGAATGACATCAAAGAGGCACACTTACCCCCAGATGCAATATCCAAAAATTTCTAAGAAGATTTGAATAAAATATTATGGCGCCTAATAATGTAGAGACTTTTTTCCATTCGAACAAAGACCAAGAATTCATTTTACCCCTTGTCAGCAGATATAAATCTGAAACTGAATTTAAAAGCTTTTCCATATGCTCAGGCACAGCACCATCCTGAGCTAAGTTTAAATCACAGCCTTGTCCTATCATATGTATCTATCTTCAAGTGGGGAGTGGATGTGGGGGAGGAGGGTGGGTTGAGACTTCCCGTTTAAGGTAATAAATGCTGTCACGGGACCATCTGCCATGGTCTGCATGTCTCATGACTCAGAGATGCAGCTTCTGGAACACAAAAAGATCTGGTTAAAATCTAAGCTTTACTACAGGGTATTTGCATGACCTCCAGGGGTTTATCAAACCCTCCAGTCTCTGCTTCCTCATCTGTAGAACCGGGTAACAACCCCCAATTTTTTTAGTGTAACATGAGACAATAAATGGGGGAATCTAGATCCCTGGCCTCTCCACCCCCTGTTCTGTCTCACAAATGTGCTGTAAGCCCAGGCCCATTCTTAGGGGAAAACAATTATTTTCAAGCTTCACAATTGTTAACCCATTGTGATGCCGTTTAAAGGGCAGAACGCAAGTTTGAGGGACCAATACTCTGCAGGCTGGGGTCTGGCTCACAGTCTTGTTCTTTCCAGGTGATTCTCCATCTATGCGTAAGAACAGTGTCCTTGGGAGAAACCTCTCCTGAGGCTGGCCCAGCTCGGAGTTCCTACAGGTCTGTGTCTTGCTGTTATTTTGTAGGTGTTTATCTTGGTGCTGTCTGTGTTAGCAAGTGAGCATTCAGCACATTTGAGCCCACTCGCTTCGCTCTGAAATAGCCTGCACAGAGTCTTCGTGCCGCACCCTCTCTGGAGCAGCTCCACTTCTGTGTTTTCAATTGGACTCTCCAGTTCTGCCATGCAAAAGCTCCAACTCAATGGACAGCAGCCTCAGTGGATGGTTTCCATGCATACATCCAGGAAAATGGGAAAGTTTAATTGCATAAATTATACGAGAAAGTGATCTTCCCATGGCTACTGAGCGAATATATGTTAGCATGTCATTGATGCTATGCTAAATCCTAATGGTTCATACCGACATTAAACCCAAGAATGTTTCTCAGGTGAGAAAGCTGCAGTTGTATGCAATATGCCTACCTTCCTCTTGTGGGATGCAAAGGAAAACACATGCATGCACAGGCAAATGTTCTTAAACACACTTTGGGGCTGGGGGATGGTGAAGCCAATTGATTGGCAAAATCTCCCCTTTTCTTCTGTTTAGAGAAATTGCCAGTTGCATATAAATGAGGCTTGTTGAAATGGAAAGTCTTCTCTGTGAATAATTAAGGTAAATTGAACATGAGTCTGTTATCAGTGTGTTTTTTATTTCAAGAAATGTTAATTTATCAAAAAAAACAGCAGAAAAGGTAAATAGAGAAAATAAACAGTAGATTTAGAGATAAAGATTAAGTGACTGCAGACTTTCAAGATGTTAAGACTAGTTTAGGTTTGAACATAGACATCTGAGGTTTCGGTTGTGGAGAGACAGTAATTTTATCATACTGCCACATTATACAAATCCCCAGGCTGGGCGCGGTGGCTCACATCTGTAATCCCAGCACTTTGGGAGGCCAAGGAGGGCAGATCACGAGGTCAAGAGACTGAGACCATCCTGGCCAACATGGTGAAACCCCGTCTCTACTGAAAATACAAAAATTAGCTGGGCGTGGTGGTACGCACCTGCAGTCCCTGCAACTCGGGAGGCTGAGGCAGGAGAATCACTTGAACCCCGGAGGCAGAGGTTGCAGTGAGCTGAGATCGCACCACTGCACTCCAGCCCAGTCAACAGAGCAAGACTCCACCTCAAAAAAAAAAAAAAAAATCCGATACAAACTGCAAAGTACTTTTCACTTTTCTTCCTATTCTTTCTCCACTTTTATAAAAACTTCCCTTTTTTTTTAGCTGAAAAGTTCTTCAACATAATTTGTCCCAGAGCTCAAATATGATCAAATTGATGGCTCTTGTGGCATTTCTTTGCTAAATTTACTGATGATGATATTAAGATTATTAAAGACATTCATTTAATGACCTAGAAGATTTAAAAATCAAACTCCAGACATGAATAAAGACTTTGCTATTAAAAGCATGGTATGAATAAATGAACACATATATAATAAAGGTGTCTACAAGGAACTATTTTTCCAATTATTTGTTTTTAAATTTTCTAATGTATCTGATATTTCACCGACTTATATATTATGTAAATATGAATACCTACCACCTTCATTGAAGGAGAGGAATAATTTTTTTTAATGAGAAATGAACACATTCTAGTTTAAGCAATGTTGCTCTAAACCTTTTGTTGAAGGAGGGCAGGTTAAAAAATGTTTTTATGATTCATTTACATTTTGTATTAGATGAAGTCTTAGCATATCACATATAAAGTTTCACATAAATGAATGAACATACTTAATCAATTTGAAAATATTCACTGTATGTATTTTGGAGGATTGGGTTCTCAGCTTCGGCTCTATTGATATTTGGGGCCAGGTCATGCTATACAGGGGGCTGCCCAGTGCGTTGTGGAATGTTGAGCAGCACTCCTAGCCTCTGCTCTCCAGATATCAGAAGCAGCTCTCCCATGATCCTCCCAGATGTGACAACTAAAAAAAAAAAAAAAAAAATCCAGATATGACCATACGTCTCCTGGGGTAAAAAATTGCATCTAATAATAGCCACCGGCAGTAATTCCTCTCGCAAACTAAAAAACTGGGTTATTTTCTTTAGCATTTTGTAAATTATTAATAGTTGTCAATGTTGTTTGCTCACTTGCATAAAGTATACCGGCATGCAGCCTTTCCCAGGGCTGCATAGCTAATGTGCACTCCCATGCCTTCTACCAGGTGCCAGGCCTGTACACCTTACCACCCTGTGATTCAGGGTGCAAAAGGTGGCAGGCATCTCCCTTGTTCTTTGCATAACTGAAGGGAGCTAGTAATTATCCCTTCCCACAATTGCTCATTCACTTAACAAGGATACAGGAGACACCTCTCATAGGCTGAGCATTGTTGTAGGCTCTGGAGACAGTTCCATGGGCAAAGCAGGCTGATGTCCCTGTTCTCATGCTGAAGGCTGAGGGCTGCATAGGCAGGAGGGATGAGGGAGAAAAGAGCAAAAAACATAAGTATATAATATTACGTCATATTATATAATTAAGTAAACTACATAACAAATTGTAAGGTGATAAGCCATATGGAGAAAAGAAAATGCAACCAAGGTAAGAGGATTTGGAAATTCAGTCAGGGAGGATGTTGGAATTTAAATGGAGTGGTCCAGCTGGATTTAATTGAGCAGGGGGCCATTTGAATGCAGACTTCATGGAGGTGAAGAAGTGAGCCTGCTGGCATTTGGGGTGGGACTTCGTGGCAGAGGAAGCAAGCCTGTGCAAGGGCCCTGAGATTTAAGCACACTTGGCCCATGTGGCTGCAGCAGCTCATGTCATGGAGCATTGTAGGGGGCAGTGAGTGGCCAGGCCACGTGGAACCTTGTGGTCACCATAAGGAATTGGGATTTTCTCTGAAAAGAATGAAGAGCCGCTGGATGGTTTGAGCAGAGAGGTGACACAAACTCGCTTGTGTTTCAACAGGGTCACTCCTGCTATTAAGTAGAGTGTAAACTGCTGGAAGACACAAATAGGAGCTGACAGTTCATTTAGAATGCTAGGACAGTGATCTGGACCAGTGGAGATAGTGGCCTGGACTCCATAATTAGGAGAGATAGAAGGGGGAAGGGGAGTGAGAAACACATGGCTAAGCTCCACAGTGAGGCTTCAAAGACTGTTTCCTTCCCAGGGCACAGGGAGAGATATCAGAGTGCAGGGCAGTAAATAGTCACCTGCATCTTTGTGAAGAACTGGAAGTTGGTGTCATCTCAGCAAAATGTTCTCTGTATGATGGAACTGAGAAGTGCTGGCTGCCTTCTAGGTAGGTAAAAAGGTAGGAAATGGGCTCTGACATAAACAGGTTTTCAGCCATGTACCTGCTCCATCATCTCCACTTCCACTTCTCATTCATTTATTTAGCAAACATGGGCTGACTTCCCTGGCTGCAAACCTCAGGATACTGGCAAGTTCATCAGGAGAATGGATTGTTGATGGGAATATAGACACTTTTTGTATCTTTTGAGCATCAGGTTCTTAGGTAAAGGCCTTGAACCTGCCCTATTTTATGCTGCTCATGCTGCTATTGCCAATACCATAGCCTGGGTGGTTTATACAACAGAATTCTTTCTCACAGTTCTGTAGCCTGGGCAGCCTGAGATCAGGGTGCCAGCATGGTCAGGTTCTGGTGAGGGCCCTCTTCCGGGTTGGCAGATGACTCTCCTCTGGTGTGTCTTTACTTGGGAGAGAAGAGACAAAAGAAGCAAGCTTTCTCCTGTCTCTTTTCATAAAGGTACTAATTTCATGGAGGAGGGCACTACCCTCAGGACCTCACCACCTCCCAAAAGCCCCACCTCTTAATACCATGACGTTGAGGATTAGAATTTCAACATATGATTCCGGCGGGGGGGATGGAAGCATTCAGTCTATAGGACTCCCCCTCCAGTCCTCTTGTACTTCCTAAGAGTGGCTGCATGTTCTCTGAGAGCTCCCGCATCTTAACATAATGTTGATTTCAATTCCTCAGGTATTGGGCGCCTCAGTGACCGATGCAGTGGGGTATGCAGCAAGCAGTAGATGGTAGATGTGAAGCTTCCATTCCTAGAGTTGCAGCAGCCCATAGTCTTTTTATTAGAGATCCAGCTTCCTACAATTGCACCATTATCAGAAACATGGCAAACAAGGTCCCCATAGCAGTTGCCTGTCTTTTGCAATCACAACTTTATCATTATGTTGAGTTGTTCTAGTTAGAGAATAAGCAGAATTGTACATTTTATAATAAAGGGTGATATTTTATGTTTGCATTACTTGGTTTTTACTTTTCTTATTTGCTTTGTTAGTAAAAAATAAGCTCCAGACAAAGCACCCTAATAAAATGATGCATGCCTATATCAAAACAAGTCATGCACCCCATAAATATATACACCTACAATGCATCCACAAAAATTAAGAAGAAAAAAAGAAAATTAACTGAAATTTTGGATAAGGCTTAAAGTAGGTGTCCATTTTTCTGTTCACGCACATGTGGCCAACGCTCTGATTTGAGGTCTCTTGATGCTCCTCCCCAGAACTATAAGTGGAAATTGGGGAATTTAAAGGAACCAGAGATCAGCATTGTTTTTCCTAATTGACAGAAGTTTTATCTTATAGAGTGAAAAAAATGGTACTCTTGCTTTGTTGTAACTTAGAGAAAATACAAGATCTGACAGGATCCTGTAGAACTGCACCAGGAAAGGTTTGCTTTTTAAAAAAGTATATGTGTTGATGTGTTTTCCCTGCCTCAGTCTCTCATACACCCACATCCACACTCCCATACCACACTAGGTTAATAGACAATTTTTACTTAATTGACATTTTTTGTACCTTTTGAGCATCAGACCTTCCAACTACATACAGGATAAAAGGAAACTTGCTGTATCAAGACTTTGTCTAATAAGAAAGCAAAAATACGCAGAGAAAAAGAGTATAGTGTACATCCCCTGTACACCTTTTGGTGGTCAGCAAGGCAAATAGGATCATAGCTTTGGAATCTGAAATGCCTGGGTATGAGTCCTGGGGTACCTTGGTTTCTTCATCTGTAAGGCAGCAGTACCTGGTGGGGTCTACTTCTCTGCCCTATGTTTGAAGGCTGAACTCTAGCGAGATCAGCTGAATCTCTCTGAGTATCTGGATTCAGCCATGGGAAGCAGTGTCCCAGGGCTGGAGGGGAATGAGATTATCATTCCTCCTCATCCTCTGCCTACTGGCCCATGGTTGCTGTCCTCCATGGAGACACAGAGCCCTCTGTAAGGGCATTTATTTTGCTCAAGTTCTGGGGGCACCATCCCCTCCACTTGGCCTCTGAAGACCTAGTCCCTGAGTGTTTCAGCTGCTCCTTTTTGTGCTCTCTTCATGATGAAGACACCTTTGTAAATTATTCGTTCATTAATGTCTCTTTAGCTACCCTTATGTATGTGCCATCTGTTCCTGCCAGCACCACGAGGCAGGCCTGTAGGATTAGGGTTAGGACTGGGTAAATGAAGGCATATAAATTGTTTAGCATCACATCTGGTTTACAGAAGTTCCCCACACTTAGTAGTAGGTATTTTGTAAGAGGTGGTTCCTTCCCCATAATACAGGGTCACAAGAGAAAGTCAAGACCACTCTTAAAATATTAATATTTTAGGTCATCTTTGTGTAGTCTTCTGATATTTCATAAGATTACATTACAAGTTTAGGGATGGAAATGTTTCTCTATGATGCTACACAAACTATTTCAAAAAGCAATTAAGGAGAAGTCTACATTAAAGTAACTCCAACCAAAGCCTGTGTCCTCTTTTCCACTTCATAATGTTGCTGCGTTGAAGAGTGACCTTCAATAGTGTGGTGAAAAGAACCCTGAACAAAATGTTGGGAGGCTTGTTTTCCGGTTCTGGCTGGAGACTTGCTGGGACTTCATAAAATGATCTCAAAGCCTCCTTTCAGCTCTGAAACTATATAAATAGATACAATTTTATAACATCTATACATCTAATGTGATATGCATTTGGGGAACACTTCTTGGAGGTGGTAGGATTTGAACTAGACACTGAAGTAGGGTGTGATTTGGAGAAGCACAGAGTCCTGCCCACTGAGGAGAGCAGAGTCTGAGGGAAGAGGGAGAAGGGACTTGTCAGCTTTTGATGTGATTATGCTGACTTCAAAAAACAAGTTGGACACTGATTCCTCTTCTTTTATTTTCTGGAAGAGCTTGTTTATGATGTGTGTGTGTGTGTGTGTGCGTGTGTGTGTGTGTGTATGACGGAATTTACTCTCGTTGCCCAGGCTGGAGTGCAATGGCCCCATCTTGGCTCATCGTAACCTCCGCCTCCTGGGCTCAAGCAATTCTTCTGCCTCAGCCTCCCAAGTAGCTGGGATTACAGGCATGGGCCACCCTGCCTGGCTAATTTTTTGTATTTTTAGTAGAGACGGGGTTTCTCCATGTTAGTCAGGCTGGTCTCAAACTCCTGACCTCAGGTGATCTGCCCATCTCAGCCAACCAAAGCACTGGGATTATAGGCATGAGCCACTGGGCCAGGTCTGATTTGTGGGTTTAAAAAAATATATATTTAATATAATTTACCACTGACAAGCCATCAAAGTCTAGAGATTATTTTGTGGAAAAGTTTGAAAATACAAAGTTACTTTCCTTAACAGTTAGAAAACAATTCATATTTTCTATTTCTTTTTGTGTCAGTTTTGATATAGTTTACTTTTCTAGAATTTGATGCTTTCACCTGAATTTTAAAATTTATTGGCATAAAACAGTTCATTCAATTGTCTTATGACTTTTTTTATTTTTAAGTTATGCGTTATTTATTTATTTATTTATTTTTTAGGCAAGGTCTCACTCGGGCACCCAGGCTGAAGCGCAGTGGCACAATCCTAGTTCACTGCAGCATTGAACTCCTCTGCTCAAGTGATCCTCTTACCTCTGCCTCCCTAGTACCTAGGGCTACAGGCATGCACCATCATGCTTGGCTAATTTTTTTTTTTTTTTTTTTTTTTTTTTGTAGAGATGCGGTCCCACTATGTCTCCTAGGCTGGTCTTGACCCCTTGGCTTCAAGTCATTCTCTGGCCTCTGACTCACAAAGTGCTGAGATTACAGATATGAGCCACCACCCCCGGCATTTTATGACTTTCCAATATCTGTGAAATGCATAGAATAGTGTTGACCCTTTTCTCTTTGTGTTGGTGGTTTTTTGAGACTTTACTTTTTTTTTTGACCAGTCTCATCAGGAATTTATCTTATTAAATTTCTCAAAGAACTAACTTTTAGCTTTGTTAATTATTCTAACTCTATGCTTGTTTTCTATTTTGTTAATTTATACTTATATCTCTGACACGGTTTTGCTTTGTGTCGCCACCCAGATCTCATCTGAAATTGTTATCCCCAGGTTTTGAGAGAGGGACCGGGTGGAAGGTGATTGGATCATGGGGGCGGTTTCCCCATGCTGTTCTTGTGATAGTGAGTGCTTCTCATGAGATCTGATGGTTTTATAAGGGGCTCTTCCCCCTTCCCTTGCTTTCTTTCCTGCTGCTTTGCAAAGAAGGTACTTACCTCTCCTTAGCCTTCTGCCATGATTTTAAGTTTCCTGAGGCCTCCCTAGCCATGCGAAACTGTGAGCCAATTAAACCTCTTTCCTTTATAAATTACCCAGTCTTGGGTGGTATCTTTATAGCAGTGTGAAAATGGACTAATACAATCTCAAATGTTTTCATCCTTCTGTTTTAAGATAGTTTTTGTTATTTTTTTTCTGTTGATTTGGATACTTATTTATTTTCAGCATTCTTTTGTAATATTTGATGGAAAATTATAATTTCCTTCTAAGTGTATATTTGCAGGATCTCATGTGATTGATGTGATTGATATAATTTTTAAATTATTGTTCAGTTCACAATAATTTCTATATTTCATTATGAATTATTCTTTCAAGTACAGGTTACTATGAAGTATATTATCTTCCAAATATATGGGATTTTTCAGTTTTCAATTTTCTATTCATTTCTAACTTGTGCTGAAGTCAGTTACCCATTTTATTATATCAGTCATTCATGTTTCTGAGATTTTCTTTATGGGTTTGTAAATGGTTAATTTTTATAAACGTTTTGTGTATGCTTAAAAAGAATATGTGTTTTGCAGTAAGTGGCTGCTGTGTTTCATAAATGTCAATGAAGCCAAGTTTCTCAATCACAAAGCTCAAATTCTCTATATGTGCAAAATCTCTTTGTGACTATTTCGTCAGCTTGTGTTAAGGACTACTGAGAAAGTATTGAGTGTTCATATATTTGTCTATTTATCTTTTCAAATTCGTTAGCTTTTGCTCTATATTCTTGAGGCTACATTATTAGAGACATACAAATTTAGAATTATTTTATCTTCCTATATTATAAATTTTTATCATTATGAAATATACCTTTTGATCTGTGACATGTTTTGTTTAAAAACATCATATTCGTATATGTATCTGCCTTCTTTCAGTGTCTGTGTAGCATATCACTTTATACTTAACCATTGTGTAACTTTACAGTTCAACTACATCAGTCATAGCCAACATCTAGTGGCTTTAAAAAAATTGTGACTAATATTTTTCTTTAAATTGTAGCATTTAATCTATTTTTAATTAACATAATTACTGATAAAGTATATGTGAATTTGCCATTTAGCTGTTTGTTTTTCATTTGTTCCGCTTATTCTCGGTTTCTCTTTTTCTCCTTTTTTTTGCTTATATATGGGTTGTTTTAAAAATTAATTTATTTTTATCTATTATTAATTTAGCCATTACTCAAGATTAGCCTGTATCCTTGAATTATCAAACTCAATGCTTCTTTATACTCTTACCCTTCCCTGAAAAAGTGGAATAACTTAAAACTGTTTATGTATTTCCTCACCAAGCTTTATGCTATACTTTCAGTATATTTTAGTTCTCTGTCTATTTTAAATGCTCTGTGTATTATTGTTTTAGATAAGTTATATGTATCTACTCACAAGTTCATTTCTTTTAAGATTTTACTTGTTTTCATTAATAAATAAGTCATATTAGCTGCCAATATATAGTAAAAAGGACAGCATCTTCCATGATCTCTGATTTATTATTATTTTCCTTGTCTTTGTTGTTTGTTTTTGTTTTCCTTTTTATTCTCTTGGTTTTTCATTTTGACATAATTTTAGACCTACAGAAGAGTTGCAAGAAGAGTTCAAGTAATTCCTATATGTCCTTTATACAGATTTCTTGAATATTTACATTTTACCATACTTGCTTTGTTCTGAGGACTCACTTTTTCCCCTCTCCTTTCATACACACATACACCAGGCACCTCATTCTTTTCTGGATTGTTTGCGAGTCAGTTTGCTAATGACACGCTGTCCATTACCACTAAATATCTTAGTATGTTCTTAAAGTAGGACATTATTTTACAAAACACCAGTACAGTTACTAAATAACAGGAAAGAGCTATTGATGCGACTCTATTATCTATTCTGTCTACCTATTCAGATTTCTCGCTGTGTCCCACAAAATAGTCTTTTCAGTAAAAGAAAGTCCTGTACCATGTGTTCCAGTTAGGATGCCATGTCTCCTTGGTCCTCATGGTATCCTTGAATAGGATGAGTTCTTGACTTTTTCTGTACATTTTATGACATTGACCATCTTAAAGAAAAGAGGCCAATTACTTTATAGAATAGCCTCAATCTCAATGCATGGCATGTTTCCTCACAATTAGAATCAGCATGTGCACCTCAGGCAGGAGTGACACAGAGGGGATGCTGTGCCTTCACTCCCTCGTTGCAGGAGACACCGGGCACCAGTGACATTACCAGTTGCCAGTTACATCAGCAGTGGCATTACCAGTTACCAGTTACATTACTGGTAACTACAGTATGGTAACTTTCATCACTTGACTATGATGGTATCTCAGGTTTCTCCACCGTCAATTTGCTATTTTTTTCCTTGGTAACTAGTAAGTATCTTGGGTGAGATACCTAAGATTGTGTAAATATCTGGTTATGCTTCAAAATCAAAGATACAGAGCTGTCTCCACAGGGCTGATGGAAGCCAGAAGACAGAGGAATATATCCCTAGTGCTGAGAGAAAGAGTTGCCAATTTTTTAAAGTAAAAACACCCCTGAAAAATGAAAATAAAGTATCTTTTTTTAAAAAATACATGATTTGAGAGAATTGTTCACCTGAAGATCCTTACTAAAGTCTCTAAAAATAAATACATAAAATAAAAATTTAAAATTTTTTTGTTTTTAGAAAAGAAAAATAAATCCAGTCCTCACTCAATTCTGCTTTGTGTGAGCAGCACATCTAAAGGATCCCTGTCTCTGGGCTGCTGTCACCTTGTTGCTGCTGGTGCCTGCCAGCCTGGTTGCCAACCCCTTTCCTTCTCCTGACATTTGGTGCTTCCAGATGTCCTGGAGTCCCTGACCTGATGGTCTGCTCTTTCTGGCTTTCCAACGCAGGTTTGCCCCGTCCCTCCCAGTGATGCCTTCCTGCCCTGTCTCGGTAATCCACAGCTATCACGCTTGGACACAACAATGTTCAACTTAAAATCTGATATACAAGTCTTGAAAATTAAAAAGAGAATTTCTACTGAGTACATTTCATCTCCAGACTCTGTTAATGTATGAACTGTCATAGGCAGAGCTTTGGTCTTCAGACCTCATTTCCAAAGAACTGTCCCAATCTTTTTCTAATAAATGTGTTGTTATTGCTAGAGGATCCAAATGGTTTCTGATTTAATTCAATTGCTAAGCAAGAAAAAAAAAAAGTCTAGGCTACTCACAGCTGAAACAAAGAAATCTCAATTTAGCAAGCAGGCTTATCCTGCTTAAAATAATGCAAACATGTTGGTGGGTATGATGAGATTAGTGCATTTTCAAATCATCCAAGAGGGACAGTTTTACAGGAAATATAGCTTATGTGGAGCATAAGAGGCCCCTCAATTCTCATTGGCAGTGCTTTCATACTTACTGCAGCCACACAGGGCAAACATGCATGCATGATACAAGCCATTAGTTTGGGTCTGGATTTAGGAGGCCTGGGGACAGGTGAGACTTTACTTCTCTAGTTAAGATAGGGACTGGAATAGATGATTTCTACTGTCTCTTCCTGTTCTAAGATGCTGTGGCTATAGTACTGTTATCATTCAATTAATACTGGACCAGCATCTCATTTATATACTTAAGCCAATATTTTTACAATGTGGCAGTTTCCCTTCTGAAGTGAGAAATAGAAGAGAAGCTACTTTGCAATGACCTTGATTATTAAAATATCTTGCTTTCTCTTATATACGCACACACGGATATTTTACAAGCCAGAGGAGGATGTGTGGGGAGGATGAGATGACAATGCTAAAGCCAAAATGCAGTATCACTTTAGTTCATTATTTGGCCTGAAAACTCATTCCCTGGACTTAGTCAGGAGAGGTATTAAAAATGTCAAGCGAGAAATGACAGGATGAAAGGCAGATTGATTTAGGTTTTCAAAATTGATTAGCAGTTTGGGGCCATGAGAGCAATTTGTGTGGTGTTTTCACTCTACTAGTTGCTAAAATTGATTAGCACTTTTGAGGAAAGTATAGCAAATTGCTATGCTAATCAAGGTAAATTAAATCATGAAGCGACTTGATTACTGGACTCTGCACTCTCAGCAAAGCTTCAACAAAACCAGTTTGGAAAACAGTCTTTCATTAGAGCAGTAGAAAAACTTTAGGCTTTTTCCTTCTTTCCTCTTGATTTTGGGATTTGGGGGAGTGAGGAGAAATCACTTATGCTCTTCACTTTGACAATTTCTCAGTCTTTCAGAAAAAAAAGAGCTATTATTTGAGAAGATGAAAGTATCCATACTATTTTTTTTTATTGCAAGCAAATTGGTATTTACATTTTACCAGACTGGCATTAAATTGCTTTCACTTGGTAAATGGTTTCAGCTGTGACCTCGTCTTCTGGGGGCAGTAATATAATTTGTGGGTTACAGTCTGGAATGATGAGAATGTTGTTTCCCCATCAGATTAGAGATTTGGTATGTGAAAAAGGCAGATGACATTTTGTGATTGGCCTGGACAAGGTTTTGTGTTAAAGAGTGAGTTCTTTGTCCAAGAATATACCTTGTCTTAGGCTTAATTTACATTTCCTTAAAACACTTCAGTGAAATATTAGAAGTAAATATCCAATTTGAATCGATCCCATACGACAAGCAATTGGTAACAGCGTCGGATCTAATTCTGTCAACAATTCAAATCAAGTTAATAAAATATATATCGTGTTTATGTTTGAGTTTAATCTTAGATTCCACATGTTTTTCAGACTGCTGTGGGACTGGCTGCATAAGAATGGATCATATGTCACATATGAGGCTTTTCAGATTTGACTTCCCTTTCTTTCCTTTCATTCCCTGGAGGATTTGGTGTATTGGGATCAGGGTGAATATTAGAAATTATATTACCAATGAACTCCTTATATCTGAATGATTTGCCCTCACATTTGAGGACTGGTGATTTTGTCCAATCTCTTCTTTTAACAGATAAAACAAACAAAACAAAACAAAAAAATCCCTAATGTCTAAAGAGATAAAATACAAAGAATGGAGAAGGTTGATGGTAGATCATTGTGAAAACCCCTAACAGTGGAGTAGGTTGTCTCAGAAGACTTCATGGAAAAGGAAACAAGTTGGACCTTTAAAGTGGAACAGAGTATTTTGAAGTACCTGCTACTTAAGGAAGATTTTTGGTGAAGGATGAATACTAAAAACTGAAGGAGAGTATAAAAGGGCTTATTATAGCCCATGAAAAAAGGCAGGTAATGGGAACTTTCTGGGAAGGCTGGAACAGCCAGGCATCAGATAGATATGGAAGGGTGTGTAGTAGAAGATGACATTGAAAAAGTGAGCTAAGGAGGATTAGAAGGGACTCCAGGGCCACGGTAAGAAGGTTACATTTTAAACCTTTGCAGCAGGTATTAGGATTTCGATTTAGCACTGTGATTATGAAAATAAAAAGTGTTTCTTTTCTTGTTTCAGATTTTGGAGACCAGATAAAGATGGTAGTTTTGGATCAAGATGTTCTAACAATATCGTGATGGGCGTCAACACCTGGATTAATGATCACAAGGGAAAGATTCCCCTGTGGCTACACGGATTCAAATTGTGATGTTTTGTGAGTGGATTGCGTGAAATTATGTGAAGTGAGTTTTTACCCACCCTTAATCTGCCAACATTAGGACCAGACTAGAGGTTCAGGACTAGACATGAGGAAATACAGTGAATGATCCAGAATGTGGGAATTTTGAACATTGTGGGTATACGTTGAACTGTCTTTCCACCACCTAAAGGATTCAGGTAAGAGGAACACTAATTTCAATGCTGTATGCCTGTAAGTGCTTCCAAACTTTTATGAACCTCAATGTTTTTTTTGTCTAATATCAAAAGTTCACAGGGTTTCAAAATCTGGGCTGGACTTTTTTTACTGCGGGTTTTGAAATTTTAAAGCTGTAGGCATGTCAATGATTTGATTACAAAGCTGAGGCAGACATGTTGTATTACTATTACAAAATTATTTTTCCCAATATTAACTTGGGAATGCTTCCATCACAAAGCAGAGTACTGGTGTAAGAGTTGGAGTGTCTTGGTTCAAGTCCTTGTCCTGACGCTGAAGGCGTGACCGTGGGTAAGTTACTTTACCACTCTGAGCCTCTGTTTACTCATCTATTAACAAGAACAATAATATCTCTACTTTTCTTGCTGCGTTTTGAGATCATTAAGCTAGATTAAAACACATTATAAACCACTGCTTCTATTAATATAACTATTAATTGGCTGAATATCTCTAACTCAGCTTTATGAAGTAGTTAGTATTTGTGTTCATGGAGCTGATGTAATAAGCTAATAATGTGAGTCTCAGATAAGTTATCTGTCACCTGTTTAATTCACACAATCATGGGGGCTTCCAAGAAAATACAATTAATAGATATTGTGTTGAAGTCTGTATCCACAGAAGGGAAGGAGTGTGATTCCATAGCTCTATACCCATGGTTGACATTTTATCTCCTAGTGAGGCATTAACACACCTCTCACTGCTTTGAAGCTCACTTATGTTAAAAGATGAAGCCCCCAGAAAAGCAACTTTGAATACAGAAGTATGATATCCACTTATCTTCTTTATTCTCTTCCAATGCACATAGTAAAAGCATGGCTTTTCCACTGGGCAGATTATCTAACCTCTCTGGATCTTATTTCCTTAACCGTAAAATAAGAAAAAATAATTTATAATTCCCATGCTTCAAATAATGCTTTGGAGAATAGAGTCATAATATATGTAAAAATACTTTGTATAGAATAAAACTCCATAAATTAAGGATCCTAATGTGGGAGTTATTTTATATTATTTCCGGTTGTTTCCGATAACGTGCTTAGGTGATCTGAGCTATAATTTATAATGTCCCTACAATGAATAAACTTATAGGGTGCACCAGCCATGGAAAATTGAAAAGAGAAACTTTTCTATGCATTTTAAATGGATGGCATTTTATATATGGGCTTGGTTACACAGAAGAACTGAGATACCAAAAGACAATAGTGCTGGAATCCAGAGGTCAGCAACAGCGGAATGCTGCTATGACCCCTAGTGCTGGCAGACAAAAGTAAAGGTGGCATTACTGGATCTAGGAGCTAGGTGCAACCCAGAGATCAGCACCTGCAGGGTGCTGTTATCATCCCTAGTATTAGGGACAAAGGTGAATGTGGCATTACTGCAGCCTCAAAGCTGGGGCCAGCCAGAAGAAGCTAAAACCATGGTAGGTCTGTCCCATGGGAGTTGAAACCACAGAGGACATCCAGCTGCTGCTAAAGATCCCAAATGAAGCAAATGAGGAAAGAGAGAAACACCCTGACTTCTCCTTTCCCACTGTTATCCAGGCTCCTACTAGTACCCACCTTTGGTCAAACCTAGCTGGAGGCCAGCTAAGTGTAGCTGATCAAAGGCTCTTTGTAAAGTGGGCAAGGCAGGGAAAAGGGAAGAGGGATTCTGAGAGAAAGCAGGCTAAGAACTGACACAGATGTGCCTCATCATGGGTTGGAATAGGTCCTGGACCTCACAGATTTCACAGCAAGCCTCTTGCTGCAAAAGGCGCCTTTTCTTTATGAATGGCTTCCTTTCCAGTGAAGATGAAGATGATGATGGTGACAATGATGTTTACCACAGCAGTCAGTTATTGAGTCTAAATTACTATCCTGGGCATTTGGTATATGCTGGCTCTGTGCTATAAATACTGTCTCCATTTTATGGAAGGAACAAGAGCAGAAAAAATTGAGTAATTTGCCAGCTAGATAAGAAGCAGAACTGAGATTGGAAGCCAGATCTTCTTGGCACCAAAACCTGGGCTCTTTAACGTACATAGCCTGTCATCTACTCAAAGGTCTACTTATACCTTCAGATATGATTATCACCTCTTCTTCCTCTGCCAAGTAACTTCCTTGATCTTAAGTTGGTCATAGAAAAACATCTCCCTTATTTTAACAGCTTTGATTTAAAAAAATACTTTAGGTATTTGAAATCTTTTAGTTTAATATACTTTATAGAATCTCTTCATTTCCGGAATTCTTTTATAACAAATACAATGCGTTCATAATCTTTGGTTCAGCTAACATTAATAAATTATTGTCACTACAAAATAAAAATGACTCTCTTTGGAATTTAACTATTATGAGGGTCACGGTCCTAAAATATATATGCTACACAAACTACAGATTATCCAACTTTTGTGTCCTTCAGTTCACACTCGAGAATAAAGTTGAACACTCTTTAAAGGATCACATCCTAACTCTCCAACCATGAAAATTGCTCTTCAGTTTAGTCCCATGAGACACTGGGAAATGTTATGCAAATTAAATACACCTCATTGAGTTTTACTAAGCTCTGGTCTTTTTTCCTCTGTCCTTTATTGCTAACTACACCATGACCCTGAATAATCAGAATAAGCCACATTATTTTGACCATTTCACTCTGCTAGGAGGAAAATACCTGGTATACAGTAGCAGTGAGGTGGGCCAAAATGGAACATGACAGGTGAGGGAAACTTTTACCAAATCCACCCAGTATCTGGTTTTTCTTCATAGCTAATCAGCCTATCTTTCACATGAGACCTGAGCTTCAGCTGCAGGTACCTCAGTTTGTCCCCTTGGGAATTTCTTTATGCCCTCCCAAGCTCAACTACAAGTAGGTTAAGTCTTCACTGGCAGCAGCTTCTTGTCTTTATTCTGATGAGTTAACCAATTAATGTCTTTCCTGACAAAAGACACCACAACTTCAACTGGGTCACTCTAATGGGCATGATAAATTAAAGGTTGATTACTAGCATACTAAAAGAACTCTTTGCCTCATGAAAGTTTTCCCTTGAGCATTCCTTAGTTCTTTTAAATATTTATGGAATGTTTACCATATGCTAGGTACTCTTTTAGGGTATGGGAATACAGTGGTGAACGAAACTGATGAAGTTTACATTCCCTTGGGATTTATATTCTAGTGGAGAAAAATCACAGTGATTCAATAAACACATATGTTGTGTTTTTAAGTAATGACAAGCTCTTTGAAGAAAAGGAAAGCAGGGTAAATGCTCAGAATAAATAGGATACAGTAATTATGATAACTTGAATTAAAAAGCCCCTGAGGTTGTGACCTTTGAGGGGAAATGAATGGAGCATGGTAGCAGCTGCCATGCAGAGATCGGGGGCTAAGCCTTCCACATGTGGGTGAGCAGTGCTAGACCACGATATAGGTCCAGGGAGTGTAAGGACCTGGGTCCTAGACACCTGCTGCTCAGTAAAGATCAACAAGAGGTGGAAAGAGTTAATCTCTGGAAAAAAAATGCAATAAAACAGATTGTAGTAGATTAGAAAACAAAAACTGAAAATCAAGACACTTAGGACTCTAGTTCTCTGTTTGTAAGTGGAGAGGAAAAAATAAGAGAGTGAAATAATTTTTCTGCAACTATTTACCGAATATTCAATGTAGAAGGTTTTCTGCTTAGGAACAAAAGGCATAGTCCAAAGTGATACTGCACAAGTGACCAACATCACCTTCAGTTGGTGGTGGGCAAAGTTGGTGCTTATTTTTTTTTTTGCCTTTAGACATAATATACAGATAGAGATATAGGTATGTATTTTGGTATTTCCCTATATAGTTTCTCATTCACTCATAATTGGTGGAAGTTTCTAGTGGATAGGTAAAAAGCTTATGATTTAGAGGCCAGAGCCTTATGATTTATCATAAATCTTATGATTTAGAGGCCTTGAGGCAATTGCCATTACAATAAACAACCAACAAAAAAGGAGCAAAGTCAGTCCATCTCTTACTGCCCTGCGAAGCCACTATAAAACTAGCAGCAGAGGCTGCCTACAGTTTTTTTTTGAAAAGAGATGAAGCCTGCCCAATAAAAGAGTCAGTGGGAGTCTCTTCTGATAGGAAACATAACCCTTGATCTGTAGCTCATGAACTAATCCATGCAAATGATGAAATAAATTTCTTATCACATTTTGGCTGCTCTTTTGTGTGTAAGCTCCAAGAAAAAAATGTCGGCATTCTTTCCTCATGTCCTCTGGGAGAAATCTGAACACTGCTTCCAATACTTCCCTCCCCTATCATCCATCTCAGTCACATCTCAGAGTCTTCTTCTGCCTTGGGCCTTCCTCAGCACTTCCACCTATGTGACATGCCCATCCCTGCATTCCTCACACTGCTGTCAGAGAGAGAGAACTAGGCCAGAATCAACAGGCCTGACCAGGTTGACCACTCACTGTTGGTGAAATAACTGTCTCCAGGTCACTGTTTTCTCATCTGGAAAGAAAGGGTTGGATTGTAGGATAAAATAGAATTCACAATCAAGGTCAGACCCTACCTCCTCCAAAACCCTTACTTGCTCATCCAAATCTAAAGTGTCATTGGCACCTAAGAGCCTGATCCATTTATTGTCTTTGAGATTCCTTTTGCAATTGATTCCATTGAGTAAGCCCTGCCTGCTCCAGGAAGCTTTATCTGCTCAATGGCCTGTTATCCACCCAGTCACAGGCATCCAAGTGAGAAGTCTGGCTTCATCTCAGCCCACTCCCTTTTTCTCAGCAGGCATTCACATTTCCCATAGATAAGGAGCCAGGTTGGCCAGCCTCTGGTGGGACCCCCATCAGTTAGGCTCTGGTAAAGTAAGTGTCCCTTGAGGTCAGGCCTTGGTTAGGGAGAATTGCATGCTCCAGTTGTATTTCAGAATGGTACCTTTTCCCCTCCCACTGCTGAAAGCAGGAAAATGTTTTTCTCTGAACTTCGGATCTTTACCCTGAGAATCTGGTGGGGCTCCTGGAGGTAAAACTCCCAGAGCATAGGAGCTCCCCTAAGACTGAGGTCCTGGAGTTTTTAAGCCAGTTCACACTCAGTCTCCAGCAATTGGCCACTTACCCCTGAAGTGTTTCTACCAGATGGTGGCTCCAGCAGCTGCTTCTGCTCTCTGTAAGCCATGCTTCTGTATTTCTCTGTCTGTCCAGGTTTTGGGTGGTGGGTTGCTCAGTGACCTCACTTTTCTGATGGATCTAAAAAGAGTTCTTTTTAGTTTGTTTAACATTTGTTGTTATTGTTGTTGTTGTGAGGATGGGCATGAATATTTCCAAGCTCTACATGTCCAACTAGAAATGGTTTGCTTTTTTCTATAAAATATCTAGAAATCTTTCCATGACACTAAATACAGATCTACCTTCTTAACCATGGCTTCATGTTGCAATTATCTGTAGAGTTTAAAAGAAGACTGAAGCCTGCACTGCCTTTAGAGTGCTGATATAAATGGGTTAGGTGAGGGTGTGGCAAGGACATGGGATGTTTAAAATTCCTGAGTTGATGATGATGTGCAACCCAAGTTGAGAAGCTCTGGTGTAGAATGACTGAACACACACCTGGAAATAGCTATGTACCATTCGGTATATAGACTTCTGCTTAACTAAAGGCTGCACTCTTTGCACTAGAGACCAACTTCCTTCTCCTGGCAACTCATGGCTATCTTGGTTCCCTGGATCTTCTTCTGCTAGTTCTTGGCTGCTCATATTTTTTGCCATATATGATAGGATGCCCAATTTGTGGTTCAAGCTCAGGTCTTTTCTGCTAGATCTTGGTTCTTAGTTTCTTGAGTACTGAATCTTACTGATTCATTAGTAGGGAAAGGAGCCTATCAGTGTGAGGTTGCAGCTCCCTGTCTTGGGGAATGTTTTGCAGGATAAATTTCCCTTTTACTTAAGGTAAGACAAGGAGAGTTCCTTCCGTGTTGCACTCTTAACTGAAAGTGGATTTTGCCATTGCTCAGAAATATAGACCTTTGTGATTACTTAAGTGCAACACCATGAAGCAATGCCCCAAAGTCTCAGCCAACACCACAGCCCCCTCCAACAAGCCAGCAGCAGACATTTGCACATTAGCTGCTCACTATATGTGTGCTAATTTTATTTTTATATGAACACTTTAGTTATGAATAGAGTCCGATGCTATCTATCTTCTCTGTTCATCATTTCTCAAATATTGGAAGTATTCTATATCTGCACTGCCCAGTATGATAGCCACTAGCCATATGTGGTTATTGAGCCCTTGAGGTGTAGCAAGTGTGGCTAAAAAACTGAATTTTAATTGAATTTATTTTAATTTGTTTAAATTTAAATAGTCACATATGGCTAGCAGCTATCATATTGGACAGCATAGAGAGAGACAAATATTTGAGGCAAGTGTATGTTTCTTTGGTGTTTCACAATGAGGCAATTGTAAGTTTCTTTGGTGTTTCACAACTTTTCAGTTTCTCTCTCTCTCTCTATACTTCTCTGTGTTTAAAGATCTCCTGCTCTGTATTCCAATATTTGAGGCCTGGTTGCCTGGTGGCCATCTTTTCCATTGCTATACATTACTTCCTATCTAGCGTTTCTCTTGCCAATTTCCTTCTGTCCAGACATAAATGTTCCCTGTCTCTCATCTCATTCCTATGGCTCCTCTGGATGTTGCAACTGAAGAATTGGTTATTTGATAATGCCTAGAACTGACAGATAGTTTCAACAAAAATACTGAACAGTGTTACCAAAATGTACTAACCAATTAGACAAATGTAGCTGACATTGAGGTAATTTACTCCACATCCTACCTTTTATATCAGATAGTAAAGCTTTTATAATCAATCATGTATTTTAAAATAACTGTTTACTTCGCACATACAAGTGAAAACTATATTTAGAAATATACAAAGTTTATTTCTATTTGACTTTGTATTTCCAGATCATCATGTTTGCTTCCCAAGGAATTTCAGTGCTAAATTCTATCTGACCATCTTTATCTAATATGGCTGGTCCTTATTAAAGGACCAACACAAGCACCATTTGTAAAAAAATTCACTGTGGTTAAGAATTTGAGTCTGTGCTATTGGAAACAAACAATTACATTGAGGTACAAGTAATTGTACCCAAGTGACAGATTGGGAAAGCACATAGTATTGGCAGAGAGAATGAGTTAAAATACATGCCCATAAGCCACACTGAAATGTGCTAATGTTATTCCACTCTCTGACTATCACTGAACACCTGGAAGTAACTTAATGTCTCATTGGAAAAGAGCTCAAAGAAACCCCAGGAGATCTTTCAAACCATCTAGAAAACACGTGTGGATATTAAACAATCACTTATGAAAAAAATCGTGCCCAAATTTTTGCTTATACCTGTAAAGAAAGTTTTGGGAAATCCAAACCAGGTTGGGAATGTGACAGGATGGGAAGTCTTTTAAATACAGACAGCTGAAGGTGAACATTTTGAAGTCCTCACATTTTTGACCAGCTTGAGACCTGAAAGTAGCTCCACTGTGCCTTCTCCCACCACCCCTTACCACATAATCATAAACAGCACCCAGACATTTCTTTTTGAAAGACAGAAATCAGATTTAGCAATCAGCTCCTCACAAGTCATCATCTCCTCCTCTTCCTCCTCTTCATCCAGTGTGCCAGGCAGGCACTGTGAATTCTTACAGTGAGCTGGGCACTGTGCTAGGCATGTGACCTCATTAGATACACTTTTACAGAGGAAAGAGAGGGTAATGCAATGACCAACTCAGCTAGGATGTAATGAAGCATTTATATCCTAAATATGATTTTCACCACAGTTTCCTTGCTTGAAAAAAGAAATTGAAAAAGTACATGTCTACATGCCCCTTCTTGCCTTTTCTCTGCCTGAAATCACTCATTTTGCTCTTGTTTTAAAGACTAGCTCCAATGCTCCCTCTTGGTTCCATCTGTCATGATAGAGTCCTCGCTGGGCACTGTGTACGCCCCTGTTCTGTGGCACCTACCCATGTCTGCCCTGGCACAGGCCAGTCCTTTACATCGTGAGCTCCCCAAGCATGGGGACCAGTGCTGACTCATCTTTGTATCTTACAACCCAACACAGTTGCCAAAGATGGACACTTGATAGAAGTCAGGGCAATTGGCTCTCAAAGGCAGCATATTTTCAGATTCTTGCAGGTACAGCTTCCGGAGTACTAAGCTACAATGTGTGTTTTGTTTGTTTTCTACATGCACTCTGTAATGAGCGGTGACTGCAACCAGCTTAGTGACTCATAAGAGTGCTTATTAATGTTTTGGAATCATGAGCCCAGTGTTAAACACAGCCATTTTTAGAATTTAATTTGCATAAACTTATAATTAAATACATTTTATTTTAAAACAAAGGTAATCAATACTACAAAGTTATCACTTCCTACCTATCTCTGCTCTTGAGATTACTCACATCTATTGCAAGCATGGTGGAAATGCAATACAATGACATAATTCTGCACATCCCATCCCACTCTGCATTTAGTGATGTCATGTTAGTAACATGACACCATCCATGGTTGGCATATGTGTCCCACAGAAATGGACAAGACTACAAATCAGAGACCCCCTCATGCCCAGTGACTGGCACACTACCAACTTATTCTGAACCCAATTCTTCCTTATCCAGATTGAGTACTTTCATTTTCAGATCTTCCATTTAACTAAATATTTCAACAGTATCTTTCCTGCATGCAGATTGTTAAGTTGAAAGATTAAAAATACAGAAAAATGCATTTTAGAACTAAGAGACATTGAAGCCATTATCTTTTTGTACTGGTTGAGAAGTCTGTATCGCATCTTGCAACACCACAAGATCATGACAAGGGATCTAATTCTGATTATTCAATCTAGGAAAATAATCTCTGTCCTTTGAGCTCTCAGGTTCTTAAGGTTGAGGAAGACAGGATTTCTTATAATTTTGCATCAGAGTACAAAATGAATAAAATACAGAACCTGTCAGCTGAATCACTATACTGAATACCTTTTTAAGCAACAAATGCTTTCACCCGGCATTTGGTGATTGAATATACAATCAAGATGAAGCAGTAAAAAGGCCAGTACGCTACCTCATGGGATTCTCTTCTGTCTCTAGTTTATTCTCCATCTTTTCCTCCCCTCTGCCTCCTATAATGTCTTTTCTCTCTCTGTTTAAGGATACCTTGCTCTGAAATTTCTTACGTTGAATAGTAAAGCAGATAGTTCTAAGAGAAGATTATTTGCTGTAATGCACTTAAAAAGCTTGTTTGGGGTTATTTGGGGGTAAAGCAAGGTACCTTAAAAACAGTCTCGTTTTCTTTCTAAAAATTGAATAAAATTGAAGATCCCAAGAGTTGCTATTGCCTGTGGTCACTTTGGCTCATTTATGATTTTTCCTTAAATAATTTCCATTTCTTCTCTATCTCACCTTTTCAGCAATATTTTTTCCCTCTTAAAATCTGCTTACTTCAGTTTAGTGTGACCCAATTTGGACTGATGACCTGGAGGGGAATTTTATGAACATCGTTTACTGTAAATAAAGGTCAGGGAGAGAAGTATGGTTTATGTAACTGGCTTTTTAAATGAAGTAAAAATTGGATTATTTTCTCAAAGGTGAATCCACTCAACAGGCCTGGAAACTTTTAGTTAAAAATAGTATATTGATCAAGTGTCTTTCTTTGCAGTGGAGCAGAGAAGAAAATGTTAGTAAATAAAAGTTTTATTTTTCTGTCTCCATGCTTTTCTTTCCACGAAAATATCCATTCATTTAGTTCCCCATAAAATCACTTACTACTGAACAATTCAAAAGTGCTATATTCCACAGATGTGTCCTTTGAGCAAATTTTATAGGGTTTTTTGTTGTTGTTGTTGTCGTATGTGGCCAGCACAAAGGATTATTTCTCAAGCTTTAAGGAAAAGAGTCAGGTAGGTGTCTCAAAAGGAAGGGAATGGCCTCAAGTAAAATCAATGTTCTGGGAAAGTTGGGAGAGTCCAACACTCAAGAGAAGCTAGCTGGGCACCCCTCTCACACATGAGATACTGTTCCCCAAAGCCTGAGCCTCTTTTGGAAGGTTGAGGGTTGGCTGTGGCTTCAAAGTCTAATGCTAAGCCGAAGGACTCGGTCATTCTACTCCATCAGCTTCAGTGTATGTTGAGAATCCATGTTTTATTGCCTTAAATTGTTTAGAAACACATGAGAAGAGTTTCGTGACTATTAGATAAGAAGAGAGTTTCTGCATAAAGTGAGGGAGTGTGAACCAGCTGGTGCCTCTGGCCTTTCCACAAATATTCCTACAATATCGACATTTAGGACAGACAGTAGAGAGACAGAGAGTAATATTGGGAGAGTGAAGACTCATCAGGCAATGTTTTACTTATGACAGTGCATTTACGAGCATGAGGCAAACTGGTAAGGTGGAAACAAAAACACCTGAGTTTCAGTCCATTGTCTGAGTTGGGGTATTGTCTCTGCCTGGAGACCTTCAGCAAATCACACACTCTCACTAAGCCTCAGTATCAATATCTGCAAAGTGAGGGTGACAGCTCTCTGACCTCCACCAGAAGCCTGATGAGAGGAAGTGCATGGAAATTCTTTGTTAACAGTAAAGAGCTCTATAATCTGAAGGTGTTATCAAGGCTTTGGAATTCATCCTCTAGAGGTGTACTACAGGGAAGAAAATAAAATGGAGTCTGGAGGGGCTTGAGAAATATTACGTTCCTCCCATGATTTCCTTTGTGTAACTGGATAGTTACTCTTGGCAGTGGCAATTTTACTGAAACAAGACCAACTAAAAAGTCTTCAGGAACTTAGCAAGCTCAATAGCCACCAGGGGCGGGGATGAAGGGAACTGGCCCTAGAGGACTCTGCCATGAAATTAAGATGCTGCGATGTGTGTAAATTATCGATGCCATGAAAAGTGCCTTCTGGCTCCACCCTGTAAAATGAGAGCTTAGGCAGGGCAGACAGGAAGGCAATGTCCTAAAAGAGACCTGCATTTTTCTTTAGGCTGTGCAGAGCAGAGAACAGACCAAGACCCCACTCCTACAGCAGGGAGGAAGGAGAGCAGCCGCCAGCCACTACCTGGAGCAGCACTGGGGGTGTTCTCTCTAAAATTTACTCCCAACTAACTTAGCCCAGATGGGATCTTGGGAAATTGAGAGGTAATTGCCTTCATATTCATCTTGAGTGCATTTTTATTATCCCTTTCCTCAGAGGATTATCAGGGAAAGAAAGCAACAAAGCTATTTTCTGGAAAAATAAGAGATGCACATCTTCTCAGGTGATGAGTGTTTTTTCGACAGAGAGATATTTTGATAGAAAAATATCCAGTGCAACCCAGGGGGATGTTTAGATGGTAGAGCCCCCGCTGTGGTCTGAGCTGCATGTGCTGAGTGTCTGGAAGGCCGGGCCATGTCAGTTTCCAGTGAGTAAAGCAAAAAAGTGAGCAGCACGCCACACTGTATGGCGAGCACTCAGAGGGAATAAGCATTTTTCACGTGGGCATTGCCTATTTCCACTGGGACAGCTCCTGTGAGAGCAGCTTCTGACTAGCCACAGACACTCACTGTCTGCATTTCAACACTGCCCAGGACCTGGGGAAAGTGGATTTCCCATTTTTATTTTTAACACTGCACCTATTTTCTTGATCCCAAGCTAAGCTTTATAAAGTAATGATGTGGATGACTATTTTGACAAACGTCAATTAAACTACTGCAGGTAATGGCCACAGGAGATTCAGCCATCAACACATGCTGTCTGCTCCGCCTGCTGCCCACTTTCTCTGCTAAATGATTGTTAAATGCCGTAAAGGTGGCCAGCTGTGCCCTGTTCTGTGGATGAGAATACTGAGCTAGAAAGACCATTTTAAGGAACATCCACTTGAAAGATTTCTCCAGAATGCCAACAACAGGAGAGCTCATGGATCTCTGGTATGTCACCTAAGCCAAAGCAAAAAGAAGAAAATGGAGGTTCTGTGGTCCCCTGTATCCAAGAGAGAGATTTCACACACATGTAGGGCACACATGCACACACATACACACACAAGCACATGCTGACACTTTCTATACACAACTTCCTAAATCTCAAACTTAACTTTGCTAAAAAAGAGAGGGAGATCCAGGTGCGGTGGCTCATGCCTCTAACCCCAGCACTTTGGGAGGCCGAGGCGGGCAGATCACCTGAGCTCAGGAGCTTGAGACCAGCCTGACTAACATGGCGAAACCCTGACTCTACTAAAAATGCAAAATTAGCTGGGTGTGGTGGTGCTTGCCTGTAATCCCAGCTACTCGGGAGGCTGAGGCAGGAGAATGGTTTGAAGCCAGGAGGCGGAGATTGCAGTGAGCTGAGATTGTGCCATTGCACTCCAGCCTGGGCAATAAGAGCAAAACTCTGTCTCAAAAAAAGAAAAAAAAAAGGAGCATATGAGTTGTGAAGTATTTAGTATAATATTTAGGTTAATTCATAGTTTCTACAGTAATAATTCATAATTCAAGCATATGTTGATTTTCTTTCTCTATTTTTTAAATCATAATTTCTTGATTTCCTGTCCACACTAAGGGAAGGCTGTCAGTCTGCAGTTAAGCCTGACCGGCTCCTCCTGGCTTTCTCTGTGAAACTACTCTTCAGACAGTTGTCTGTAAATGAACTTCCAAACCTTAACATAAGGCCTTTGTTGGAGCTTTGGAGAAGAGAGGAGGGCAGACAAGAATCTCTTAGTCAACTTCCCTCCCTCCCTGGACTCGTCCTTCTTGATCTAATACCATTTAAATTACGGTGACATCTCATTCTAAATGAGTTTTCAGAAACCAAATTTTAATCAATTAAGGGGCATTGCATTCTTAACCTTCTATTGAAGTGTATTGTATGTAGAAAAAATTGCACATGGTATAAATAAATATTCACAAATGCAAT
Source organism: Homo sapiens (assembly GCF_000001405.40). Taxonomy (NCBI): domain Eukaryota; kingdom Metazoa; phylum Chordata; class Mammalia; order Primates; family Hominidae; genus Homo; species Homo sapiens. The sequence continues at coordinate 107,290,505 of NC_000002.12, forward strand.
GTGCCCATGTAAACAACAGCTGATCAAGAAACAGAGTATTACCATAAACTTCAGACTCCCTCTTTTCACTTCTAGGGACCATTTCCCACCCACGGAAACCACAATTCTGACTTCAAAAAGTTTAGATTAACTTTATTTATTATAACTTTTTTGAATGTTTGTAGTCTAGTTTGTCTGGCTTCTTTCACTTAATACTGTTCGTGAGATTCACCCATGTTGTTTTTATTCACATTGCATTACAGTATTCAATTGAGTGGATATACCACAATCTGTCCATCCAATGAACTGCTGATGTCTACTTGGACAATTTCCAGTTTCTAGCTATTAATAGTTATAGCACGAATATGTCTGCACATGTCTTTTGATGAAAACACATAAACAACTTTGGGGGCTGTTAGCCCTAAGAAGGGGATGGCTGCATCATGGAGTGTGCAGGAGATCAGCCTTAGTAGACACTGACAAACAGATTCCAAACGAGGAATTTACTTTAGGCTGCTGGTACCCGCAGTGCCTGAGAGATCCAGCCACATCCTTAAACAACATTTAATATTTTTTGTCTTTTTCATTTTAGTGGCATCACATGATAGTTTTAATTCCCATTTCACTAATGACAAAGGAAATTCAGCATCTTTTCATAGGTCTACTGTCTATTTGGGTTTACTATTTCTTATTGATTTGTAGGCGTTCTTTATATATTGTGGGTGTGAGGCCTCTGTCAAATATATGTGGCTCACCCTATCATTCTCCCTATAATGGCTTCTGATGAACAAAGTCATTTATATTAATGTAATCCAATTTATTATATTTATGTATATTTTTGTTTTGTTTTATTATGTGTTTTTCTTTTGTTTTAGCCATAGGGTCTTGTTCTGTCATCCAGGCTCGAGTGCAGTGGTGTCCTCAGAGCTTACTGCAATCTTGAACTCCTGGACTCAAGTGATCCTCCTGCCTCAGCCTTTCAGGTAGCTAGGATTACAGGCATGTACCACTATACCCGGCTCATTTTGTTTTTTAGAGATGGAGTCTCCCTGTGTTGCCCAGGCTGGGCTTGAACTCCTGGGCTCAAGCAATTTTCCCACCTCAGCCTCCTGAGTAGCTAGGATTGCAGGCTATTTTCTTTTTACGGTTTGTACTTCTTGTATCCAATTAAGTAATTTTTATCTTTTTTGAGTTCAAGAAGATCTCCTAAGGTTTCTTCTGAAAGCTGTATTTTTTTCTTCGTATTTGCATCTGCCATTGATTTTTGTGTATGCTGTGAGGTACTAGTAGAGATTACTAGATTCTCCATAGAAATCTGCAATTAACCCAGCATCTTTTAGAAATCATCATTCTCCTCCTATTGTGATACAGTGTCATCCCACACATTTCTTATAAATTATTCTTTTAAAGAAAATATATAGAAAAAGTATCACATAGTTCCTTGCTTTTTCGAACAAAAATAACTGAGCCTGATTAAATCATTTCTTTATAACTCAGGTTCAATATTTATCAGTTAAAGTTTATAGCTCCCTAAGACGTATTGAAATATATACAGTTATCTGTAACTACACAAAATGGTCCCATATTGCTATTTTAAAATTTGTTAATCATTTTTCATAGTTTTTACTAATTACTGTCTTGAGCATACTCATCGGGACTCCAAGTGACAATTCCTGCTTCTAGAAGCACCAATCTAGCCATTCTAACATGCTGCTTCTAATTTTATGTGGACTGAAAATCAGATGTGGAAGGTCAGGTGTTCCAGGCCCAGACACAGAGCTGTGTGTGTAGGGATCTCATTGAGGAGTGCTGTTGGGTCAAAACTCTGGGGACGGGGAGGCAGCTGGGGGGCAGAGCAAGAAGCTCGGTGTAATTCTAACCACATCAGGGCCTTCAGAGGTTCCTACAGGAAGTGCTGGTGAGGGTTACCTCTAGTTGGGTAGAGGGCACTGGGCCTTCACACACTCTCATCAACCCATCATGAATTCAGGCTGATCCTGAGAAGGGGGTGTGGCCTTGGGCAAGGTGCTCTAGATGTGGAAAATGCTAGTGGAGCTCTGCTGCTGCATCCACAGCACGTGGAGAAGGGGGGCTGCAGTCTAAGAAGTCTTAACAGCCCACCGTAGGATGCCCCTCACCAGAATTCCAAGTTTCTATATGGAGTATCTAACATAAGAGTTTGTGGCAAACTGCACAAACATCTGTGCTTGAGTTTAAATTATGTAGAAGCATCTTTGTGTTGGCATTGTATTTGTGCATACCCTAGGTCTTAGCTTACATATTTTGATAATTCGTATTATGGGTATATGATTATATATGTAAATGAGATATTGGTCTGATATCTGTATTTCAGAGTAATGAGATATTATTCTTTATCTGTATTCTAATTGGTATTTTAGTTCATATAGTTAACAATGCTGATTAATTAGAGTGCTTCATTCATTCACAGACTAAGTTTACTCCTCTAAGTATTAAATTTATCCTTAAAGGTATCCTGTGATCCTGCACATTCTTAAGGGCCTTTTATATCTCACCTTTAAATTTTGTTTTCCTTAATGCTAGAGTCTCCTGGGGTGCTCCCTGGCTCCTACCACAATCTCTGGGGCTGCAGGAGCTCGTCCATAGAAGTGACCCACAGGACTTGTCTGGGCCACTCCTCTTCTTTCACACCAACCTCTTGCCCCGATAGGCTTATTCCTGTGGTCCATGGATAAAGTCAAAACAGGAAAAAAATGTCAAATGAGAACATTGTCAAGGTATTTGGTGTGAGGAGGAAGAGGCGGAGGAGGTGTCTGCATGTACATGGGCACTCCAATCACATCCGCCGTGGCAAGAAGTTGGAGCCTAGGCTGGTTACAGCTTCTGCAAATGGGAATGATGGACAGGGTCAACAGCAAATTGGCCTCCCATGAGGCATTATACTAAAGATCTCACATGCACTTCAAACATATCTTCTTAACAATTGCACTTATCCTAGTTTTACTGATGAGGACTTGCCTGGGATCATAGAGTTAGTCAGCAACACCACAAGAATTAACAGCCAGTTCAGGCTGATTTTGAAGCCTGTTTTCATCACCCTTATGTTCTGCTGTTCTCTTGGCCTCTGCTCTTAAAAACACACACACACACACACACACACACACACACACACACACAGATACATATTCAAAAAAACACACAAACACATACATATGAATACATACATATACAAACATGCAAACACAGGCATACACACAGACACACAGAGTTGTATAAACCTTCACACATGTGCACACACACACAGCATATTCTATTCAGTGTCTTGCTGTAATAGGTTTTTTTTCTTTTTTTTAAATTTTTTTTATTATTATTATACTTTAAGTTTTAGGGTACATGTGCACAACGTGCAGGTTTGTTACATATGTATACATGTGCCATGTTGGTGTGCTGCACCCATTAACTTGTCATTTAGCATTAGGTATATCACCTAATGCTATCCTTCTCCCCTCCCCCCACCCCACAACAGTCCCCACTGTGTGATGTTCCCCTTCCTGTGTCCATGTGTTCTCATTGTTCAATTCCCACCTATGAGTGAGAACATGCGGTGTTTGGTTTTTTGTCCTTGCGATAGTTTGCTGAGAATGATGGTTTCCAGCTTCATCCATGGGCCTAAAAAGGACATGAACTCATCATTTTCTATGGCTGCATAGTATTCCATGGTGTATATGTGCCACATTTTCTTAATCCAGTCTATCATTGTTGGACATTTGGGTTGGTTCCAAGTCTCTGCTATTATGAATAGTGCCACAATAAACATACGTGTGCAGGTGCCTTTATAGCAGCATGATTTATAACCCTTTGGGTATATACCCAGTAATGGGATGGCTGGGTATATGGTAATGGTATTTCTAGTTCTAGATCCCTGAGGAATTGCCACACCAACTTCCACAATGGTTGAACTAGTTTACAGTCCCACCAACCATGTAAAAGTGTTCCTATTTCTCCACATCCTCTTCAGCACCTGTTGTTTCCTGACTTTTTAATGATCACCATTCTAACTGGTGTGAGATGGTATCTCATTGTGGTTTTGATTTGCATTTCTCTGATGGCCAGTGATGATGAGCATTTATTCACGTGTTCTTTGGCTGCATAAATGTCTTCTTTTGAGAAGTGTCTGTTCATTTCCTTTGCCCACTTTTTGATGGGGTTTTTTTTTTCTTGTAAATTTGTTTGAGTTCATTGTAGATTGTGGATATTAGCCCTTTCTCAGATGAGTAGGTTGCAAAAATTTTCTCCCATTCTGTAGGTTGCCTGTTCACTCTGATGGTGGTTTCTTTCGCTATGCAGAAGTTCTTTAGTTTAATAAGATCCCATTTGTCAATTTTGGCTTTTGTTGCCATTGCTTTTGGTGTTTTAGTCATGAAGTCCTTGCCCATGCCTATGTCCTGAATGGTATTGCCTAGGTTTTCTTCTAGGGTTTTTATGGTTTTAGGTCTAACATGTAAGTCTTTAATCCATCTTGAATTAATTTTTGTATAAGGTGTAAGGAAGGGATCCAGTTTCAGCTTTCTACATATGGCTAGCCAGTAGCATTTTCCCAGCACCATTTATTAAATAGAGAATCCTTTCCCCATTGCTTGTTTTTGTCAGGTTTGTCAAAGATCAGATGGTTGTAGATATGTGGCATTATCTGTGAGGGCTCTGTTCTGTTCCATTGGTCTATATCTCTGTTTTGGTACCAGTACCATGCTGTTTTGGTTACTGTAGCCTTGAAGTATAGTTTGAAGTCAGATAGGGTGATTACTCCAGCTTTGTTCTTTTGGCTTAGGATTGACTTGGCAATGCAGGCTCTTTTGAGGTTCCATATGAACCTTAAAGCAGTTTTTTTCAAATCCTGTGAAGAAAGTCATTGGTAGCTTGATGGGGATGGCATTGAATCTATAAATTACCTTGGGCAGTATGGCCATTTTCACGATATTGATTCTTCCTACCCATGAGCATGGAATGTTCTTCCATTTGTTTGTGTCCTCTTTTATTTCATTGAACAGTGTTTTGTAGTTCTCCTTGAAGAGGTCTTTCACATCCCTTGTAAGTTGTATTCCTAGGTATTTTATTCTTTTTGAAGCAATTGTGAATGGGAGTTCACTCATGATTTGGCTCTGTTTGTCTGTTATTGGTGTGTAAGAATGCTTGTGATTTTTGTAAATTGATTTTGTATTCTGAGACTTTGCTAAAGTTGCTTACCAGCTTAAGGAGATTTTTGGCTGAGATGATGGGATTTTCTAGATATACAATCATGTCATCTGCAAACAGGGACAATTTGACTTCCTCTTTTCTTAACTGAATACCCTTTATTTCCTTCTCCTGCCTGATTGCCCTGGCCAGAATTTCCAACCCTATGTTGAATAGGAGTGGTGAGAGACGGCATCCCTGTCTTGTGCTAGTTTTCAAAGGGAATGCTTCCAGTTTTTGTCGATTCAGTATGATACGGCTGTGGGTTTGTCATAGATAGCTCTTATTATTTTGAGATACGTCCCATCAATACCTAATTTATTGAGAGTTTTTAGCATGAAGCGTTGCTGAATTTTGTCAAAGGCCTTTTCTGCATCTATTGAGATAATCATGTGGTTTTTGTCTTTGGTTCTCTTTATATGCTGGATTACATTTATTCATTTTCATATGTTGAACCAGCCTTGCATCCCATGGATGAGGCCCATTTGATCATGGTGGATAAGTTTTTGATGTGCTGCTGGATTCGGTTTGCCAGTATTTTATTGAGGATTTTTGCATCGATGTTCATCAAGGATATTGGTCTAAAATTCTCTTTTTTTTGTGTGTCTCTGCCAGGCTTTGGTATCAGGATGATGCTGGCCTCATAAGATGAGTTAGGGAGGATTCCCTCTTTTTCTATTGATTGGAATAGTTTCAGAAGGAATGGTACCAGCTCCTCCTTGTCCTCTGGTAGAATTTGGCTGTGAATCCATCTGGTCCTGGACTTTTTTTAGTTGGTAAGCTGTTAATTATTGCCTCAATTTCAGAGCTTGTTATTGGTCTATTCAAAGATTCAACTTCTTCTTGGTTTAGTCTTGGGAGGTGTATGTGTCGAGGAATTTATCCATTTCTTCTATATTTTCTAGTTTATTTGCGTAGAGGTGTTTATAGTATTCTCTGATGGTAGTTTGTATTTCTGTGGGATCGGTGGTGATATCCCCTTTGTCATTTTTTACTGCATCTATTTGATTCTTCTGTCTTTTCTTCTTTATTAGTCTTGCTAGTGCTCTATCAATTTTGTTGATCTTTTCAAAAAACCAGCTCCTGGATTCATTAATTTTTTGAAGGGTTTTTTTGTGTTTCTATTTCCTTCAATTCTGCTCTGATGTTAGTTATTTCTTGCCTTCTGCTAGCTTTTGAATGTGTTTGCTCTTGCTTCTCTAGTTCTTTTAATTATGATGTTAGGGTGTCCATTTTAGATCTTTCCTGCTTTCTCTTGTGGGCATTTAGTGCTATAAATTTCCCTCTACACACTGCTTTGAATGTGTCCTAGAGATTCTGGTATGTTGTGTCTTTGTTCTCACTGGTTTCAAAGGACATCTTTATTTCTGCCTTCATTTTGTTATGCACCCAGTAGTCATTCAGGAGCAGGTTGTTCAGTTTCCATGTAGTGAGCGGTTTGAGTGAGTTTCTTAACCCTGAGTTCTAGTTTGATTGCACTGTGGTCTGAGAGACAGTTTGTTATAATTTCTGTTCTTTTAAATTTGCTGAGGAGTGCTTTACTTCCAACTATGTGGTCAGTTTTCGATTAGGTGTGGTGTGGTGCTGAAAAGAATGTATATTCTGTTGATTTCGGGGGAGAGTTCTGTAGATGTCTATTAGATCTGCTTGGTGCAGAGCTGAGTTCAATTCCTGGATATCCTTGTTAACTTTCTGTCTTGTTGATCTGTGTAATGATGACAGTGGGGTGTTAAAGTCTCCCACTATTATTGTGTGGGAGTCTAAGTCTCTTTGTAGGTCATTAAGGACTTGCTTTATGAATCTGGGTGCTCCTGTATTGGGTGCATATATATTTAGGATAGTTAGTTCTTCTTGTTGAATTGATCCCTTTACCATTATATAATGGCCTTCTTTGTCTCTTTTGATTTTTGTTGGTTTAAAGTCTGTTTTATCAGAGACTAGGATTGCAACCCCTGCCTTTTTTTGTTTTCCATTTGCTTGGTAGATCTTCCTCCATCCCTTTATTTGGAGCCTATGTGTGTCTCTGCACGTGAGATGGGTTTCCTGAATACAGCACACTGACGGGTCTTGTCTCTTTATGCAATTTGCCAGTCTGTGCCTTTTAATTGGAGCATTCAGCCCATTTACATTTATGGTTAGTATTGTTATGTGTGAATTTGATCCTGTCATTATGATGTTAGCTGGTTATTTTGCTCATTAGTTGATGCAGTTTCTTCCTATCCTTGATTGTCTTTACAATTTGTCATGTTTTTGTGGTGGCTGGTACTGGTTGTTCCTTCCCATGTTTAGTTCTTCCTTTGGGAGCTCTTTTAGGGCAGGCCTAGTGGTGACAAAATCTCTCAGCATTTGCTTGTCTGTAAAGTATTTTATTTCTCCTTCACTTATGAAGCTTAGTTTGGCTGGATATGAAATTCTGGGTTGAAAATTCTTTTCTTTAAGAATGTTGAATATTGGCCCCCACTCTCTTCTGGCTTGTAGAGTTTCTGCTGAGAGATCCGCTGTTAGTCTGATGGGCTTCCCTTTGTGGGTAACCTGATCTTTCTCTCTGGCTGCCCTTAACATTCTTTCCTTCATTTCAACTTTGGTGAATCTGACAATTATGTGTCTTGTCATTGCTCTTCTCGAGGAGTATCTTTGTGGCGTTCTCTGTATTTCCTGAATTTGAATGTTGGCCTGCCCTGCTAGATTGGGGAAATTCTCCTGGATAATATCCTGCAGAGTGTTTTCCAACTTGGTTTCATTCTCCCTGTCACTTTCAGGTACATCAATTAGACGTAGATTTGGTCTTTTCACATAGTCCCATATTTCTTGGAGGCTTTGTTCATTTCTTTTTATTCTTTTTTCTCTAAACTTCTTTTCACGCTTCATTTCATTAATTTCATCTTCCATCGCTAATACCCTTTCTTCCAGTTCATTGCATCGGTTATTGAGGCTTGTGCATTCGTCACGTAATTCTCGTGCCATGGTTTTCAGCTCCATCAGGTCCTTTAAGGACTTCTCTGCATTGGTTCTTCTAGTTATCCATTAGTCTAATTATTTTTCAAAGTTTTTAACATCTTTGCCATTGGTTCGAACTTCCTCCTTTAGCTCGGAGTAGTTTGATCTTCTGAAGACTTCCTCTCTCAAGTTGTCAAAGTCATTCTCCGTCCAGCTTTGTTCCGTTGCTGGTGAGGAGCTGGGTTCCATTGGAGGAGGAGAGGCGCTCTGATTTTTAGAGTTTATGGTTTTTCTGCTCTGTTTTTTGCCCATCTTTGTAGTTTTATCTACCTTTGGTCTTTGATCATGGTGACGTACAGATGGGTTTTTGGTGTGGATGTCCTTTCTGTTTGTTAGTTTTCCTTCTAACAGTCAGGTCCCTCAGCTGCATGTCTGTTGGAGTTTACTGGAGTTTACTCCAGACCCTGTTTGCCTGGGTATCAGCAGTGGTGGCTGTAGAACAGTGGATATTGGTGAACCGCAAATGCTGCTGCCTGATCCTTCCTCTGGAATTTTTGTCTCAGAGGAGTACCCAGCCATGTGAGGTGTCAGTCTGCCCCTACTGGGGGGTGCCTCCCAGTTGGGCTACTCAAGGTTCAGGGACCAACTGGAGGAGGCAGTCTGCCCGTTCTCAGATCTCAGGCTGGGTGCTGGGAGAACCACTACTCTCTTCAAAGCTGTCAGACAGGGACATTTAAGTCTGCAGAGATTATTGCTGTCTTTTGTTTGTCTGTGTCCTGCCCCCAGAGGTGGAGCCTACAGAGGCAGGCAGGCCTCCTTGACTTGTGGTGGGCTCCACCCAGTTCAAACTTCCTGGCCACTTTGTTTACCTACTCAAGGCTGAGCAATGGTGGGCTCCCCTCCCCTATCCTAGCTTCCACCTTGCAGTTTGATCTCAGACTGCTGTGCTAGCAATGAGCGAGGCTCCATGGGCGTAGGACCCTCCGAGCCATGTGTGGGATATAATCTCCTGGTGTGCCGTTTGATAAGCCTGTTGGAAAAGCACAGTATTAGGGTGGGAGTGACCTGATTTTCCAGGTGCCATCTGTCACCACTTTCTTTGACTAGGAAAAGGAATTCCCTGACTCCTTGTGCTTCCCAGGTGAGGTGATGCCTCGCCCTGCTTCGGCTCACACACGGTGTGCTGCACCCATTGTCCTGTACCCACTGTCCAGCACTCTGCAGTGAGATGAACCCGGTACCTCAGTTGGAAATGCAGAAATCACCTGTCTTCTGTGTCGCTCACACTGGGAGCTGTAGACTGGAGCTGTTCCTATTCAGCCATCTTGGCTCCACACCCTCTATAATAGGTTTTAAATATCCAACTTATGACTCTAACGTTGGGTCTATCAACAATAAATGGATTTTACCTTATATTTGATACTTATCCTATAATATGTTAGACATTTTCCTCGTTGTGTATCTATAGAAATATATTTTTTAAATAATGATTTTCTTATTAGAAAGAAACAATAGCCACATACATTTGGGAAATGATAGAAAAAGAATCCAAACCACTAATTTCATTACCTAGAAGTTTTTGCTAGTTTATTACATTTCTTTTAGTTTATTGTCTTTTATTTTTTCCATATGAATGTGTTTTCAGGGATTTGGATGCTCAGGTTCATGTTTTGATGAATGTTTTGTTTCACTTAATATAATATCAGGAGTATTTTCTGTCATTAAATATTTCCTTAAAGTTATTTTTAATGGCTGTAAAATGCTTCTCATATGAATGTACCATAGCTTATTTTATTATTCACCTACTGTTCCGTGTTATAGTTGTTCACATTATTTTGCCGTTATATAAATACATATGATAAATACATTAACTCACAAATCATTAATCCCATTTCTGATTATTTCCTAATGGTATATTTTTAGGAGTAGACTGGCTGTGTCCAAGTGCATGGCCATTTTTAAGGACCTTGCTATGTCTCATCAGTGACACAGTCTGCACACAGGTGAGATGTGAAGCTTGGTCTCATACAAGCTAGCAGAAACTCATGCCTCATCTGGCTTACCCATTTACTTCTGCTGCAGCATCGTAACATGAATACGGGGTATAAATAATAGGGGCTGTACAAAAAGACTAGTTTTGGAGAATCAAGAAAAAACCAAGAGAATCTTTGGTTAATTCTGCAAAATAAAACAATACATTATTTTTAAGCCACTAAAAGAGAGGGGAGCTGTTTCATGGTGCTTCAACCAACTCTGACAGCATAGTCAAGAAAGTTTCTATCTTCCCAGAAAATAAAAACTTGGAAGTAAGACTCCTAAAGAGTTATTTTCTGGTTTTGTAGCCAAGCAGGTAATATGTGAAGTCTTTCAGAAAGGATAAGGGCGATACTTCCCATGCATAAAAATTTTAATTAACTTTTAATTTTTGTTCAAGAAGGCATACGATTATTGCCTGCATCCTGATGGCATTGTGAATTCATCTCAGCACCTATTATAAGTAAAAAGGAATGATCAAAACCAAGTAAGAAAATCTTTTTGGAATATCTAGTGTTTTTTTCTTTTTTTCCTACTTACCAAACAGAATAGCCATGAAATGGTCAGTCTACTTGCTAAAATGAAGGAAGCACTATGTTAAAGGGATGCTCCCTCTGCCTTTTTCATGTTCAGACTTTGGGTGAGCCCCTTCACAGGGCAAAGGCACAGCCCTCTTTAATCCTCAAGCTCCAAGTGGCAAAACGAAGACAATAGCACATGCCTTTCCTTTTCTAATCCCTCTGCAAAGACAGTCATGCCTGGGATTTTAAAATTATTCTCTCGTTTTTATAACTTTGTCTCCTTTATAATGTATAGTTCTGAAAACGTTAAAAAAATGCTGCCCTGGCACAATGACTAGTTAAGTTAAAGGCACTTGGAAAACAGCAGGTACAGAAAGGTCACTTTGACTTTCCCGCTGTTTCTTAAAAGCAGAAGTTGAAATTCCCAGGTGAAAGACACCCTCTTTAAACTAGAAAGATACAGCATCCTTATTTTCAAGGATGGGAAGTCGAAACGGAGAGAATTCTGTACAGACCTTGTTAAAATAACTCTTATCTTTTAAGCCTCCCATATAATTTAGTTGCTTCTTCACAACTTACTACTTTTTTGTCCAATTCTTTATACAAGCAACTGACTCTGTTAATTTGAGTCTTCATTTCTTTAGAGGGGCTCCTATGCCTTGTAAATCTTGTATTATGTTCTTCTCCTGTTAATCTATCCTATGTTATTTAATTCTTCACACAGCTTGGACCCTAAGAGGATAAAGGTGAAGTTTTTCTGCCCCTACCATTCACTATCGGATGTTCTGGAACTTCACATAAATAAAATCTGCCTTAATTTGTTTCATATTAAGCGTTTTTCATAATTCTGATATTAATCCTTTGTTAGTTACTTGTGTTGCAAAAGTTTCTCTCTCTTTGTGCCTGCCTTCCCTCTCTCTTCAGTAATGTAACTTAGTGCTTCCTTAAAAGCCTGGCTCCTGCTTTGTCTCCTCCATGAACTCCACCTTCACATTTCACTAGGCAGTATGAGACTGTCCTTGGTAAGTGAGGATGGTCATGGGGGAGCCATGAAATTAGATTCTACGTTAGAAATCCTTGTCATATTCCACAGAAGATAATTCATCATACATACGCTTCAATATATACATGTGTTTGAGGGCCAAGTGTGGTGGTTCACGCCTGTAATCCCAGCACTTTGGGAGGCTGAGGCGGGTGGATCACGAGGTCAGCAGATGGAGACCATCCTGGCTAACACGGTGAAACCCCGTCTCTACTAAAAATACAAATAATTAGCCAGGTGTGGTGGCGGGAGCCTGCAGTCCCAGCTACTCAGGAGGCTGAGGCAGGAGAATGGCGTGAACCCGGGAGGCGGAGCTTGCAGTGAGCCGAGATCGCGCCACTGCACTCCAGCCTGGGCGACAAAGCAAGACTCTGTCTCAAAAAAATAAAAATAAAAGTAAATAAATAAAAATAAAAAATACAAAAAATTACCAAAAAAAATTAGCTGGGTGTGGTAGCATATGCCTGTAACCCCAGCTACTTGGGAGGCTGAGACAGGAGAATCGCTTGAATTGGGGAGGCGGAGGTTGCAGTGAACCAAGGTCGCGCCATTGCACTCCAGCCCGAGCAACAAAAGCGAAACTCCGTCTCAAATATAAATATATAAATATAAATATATATAATATATAAATATATGTGTGTGTATGTATAAATGTGTGCATGCGTATGTATAAATATATGTACACATGTATACGTTTCTATAACATGGCAAGTGAATTTGTTTTTAATATATATACTACGACAAATGGAAGGAACAGTGATGCAATTTGAAGTGGACTTTGCTCATTCAGGTTTTTGGGGATACTGGGAAGTGTTTGTTCTACATTTCAAAAGAAAGAAATATACAGGAATTCATCGCTGTCTCCACACAAGTTACCATTCTCTGGAATTGCTGATGAAACCTGGACTTGTCCCTGGATATGGAGCAGTTTGGTCTTTTGTCTTATCCTGATTTCACCTGGGAATCTGGGGGCATAATAATAATAAAGAAACAACATCCTTGCTTTGTTCAGAAATGTTGGTCTGCTTGCTAAAATGAGGGAAGCTCCACGTTAAAGGGATGCATGGCTCATCCCAGAGCTCTGTCAAGAAATGCACAAGGCTCCAATCCAGCCATAATCTTCAGTTACTTGGGCAGATTGTGATTTTATAGGTTTGATAGAATTTGTGGTTGAGATGTACGTATGCATTGTACACGCTAATTGTACATTATTGTACTAACATTGTACACGCTATGTTTTTACTCTGAGAGGGGAACATGAATGCATGGGCTGTAATTATCTTGTGAATTCAGCCTTGATTGATAAATTTATTCATTTCAGAATATGTAAAGGCAATATGTGTGAGAAGTAAACATTTTGAAAACTGCTTGCTTTATATTCCTTACTTGCATAACCCTAACAAATAATTTATTTAACAATTACAACATAGCCAGAAAACTCCAAACTCTAAAATGCTTTCCAAATATAGGCTAGGAATAAGAGCTGTTATTATAAAAGATGAGGGCAAAGAATTAAAATGTACTTCTGTCTTGTTTTTATGGGTTTGGCACCATGATAGGCATTTTATAAAGGAATAAGTTAGAAATGCAATTAAATGTATTTGGTAAATTATTTTCTATCTAATGGGTCTGAGTTTTGACAAGGGTCAAAATTTACCAGGTAGCATTTAGATAGGTTGTGTCCTGCCTTTCTCAAGGGAGTAGGCTTAGAAACTTCTCCATTTCAAATGGACACAGAACAAATCATTAAAGCAGCTTGCTTGCCTGTTACTGGATTGTGGGCTCCTGTGAGGGTAACTTGTCCTAGGGAATGTTTCTCATTGGCTCTCAGGGCTAAGATTGGGAAGGAAGAAGTGGTATTCTGGGCTGAGAGACCTATAGCCACGTGGGTCTCTGTGAGAGAAGCTCACACATTATAAGGCTCAGTCCCATGAGGACACGTGGGCAAGTGGTTATGGCAGCAAGCACATCACATGATGGGATGACTCATCTGAAAGAAGTTAGGGGGATGTTTGACTGCCTATTTCTTTCTCTCCTATTCTTTTGTTTCAAATTGCTCACCTAGACACAAGCATTTTTCTTTCATGTATGACATCTCTAAAGCTCTCAGAGGGTAGTGACTCCTTGTGTTTTTTCAGGAGTTTGCTGGCAACATATATGAATGATTGGAGAAATACCCCATCATTGTATGGATATTTATGCCCCCATAAATTTTATCTGCAACTTTTCAAATACTCTAGAGGATAATGTGATTTGAACTATTTATCTCTCTCTCTTTTCTCTCTTTCTGTCAGATTCTTTTTTTTCTTTTTGAAGTTGACAAAGTCATGGTGTAATTCATGAGCTTACAGCTAAACTCAGGTTCCTTTTGACTTGTTTTCTTCCCAACCACAAGTCACAGTTCTTTGTAATTAAACCAGCAAATGCAGAAAAATTATGTTCGTGTTAGCCATACCCAGGAAGCTTTTTATCAATAAAGAGATAATTTGCAAGCAAAAAACAAAAAATGAAAACAACCAGCAGGAAGGAAGGAAGGAAGGAAGAAAGAAAGGGAGGGAGGGAGGGAGGGAAGAAAGAACATATGTTTTCCAAACTAGTTGACACAAATTCTAACTGAATTGAGTTGATGGCCAGCTGGGCTAACTTAAAAGTATACCCACAGGTTCATCAAAGTTAGTTTATTGGTCAGGATGGTGCTGTGTAGGACAATGAGCATTCCTTACAACAACAGAGTACATTCTTTAACTATTAGGAACAGTCCCTGACAGTTACAAATGTGGCCTTGGCCGCTGTGGGCTCTGATATCTGTGGTGGCCCAAAGCTACGCAGATTGACAGCACAAGATAAGCCGGCTCCCAGAGATCGTGGAGGGCGACACGCTCTTCCTTCTTGGGAGAACTGACAGCCTCCGTCACTATTTTCCACAATGTGCTTATCCCTCAGCGACCTTTCTTGAGACCCTCATTCGCACGGGGCTTCACATAAACTAAGTACTCCTTCAGAGGTAACTTGACAAACACACGATTCAGCTGTGTTCTGAAAACGAAAAAGCTATGTCCCAAACTTTGTGCTGGGGAGAATCCCAACAGCATCCCAGCCACCCCGGAGCCCCACGTGGATGTGGACCTAGGTGTGTGTTCTGCTCCCTCAGTGTGAACTTCTCAGCTGAAAGAGCTCTTTGAAGGAGAGGACCGGGGAAATATGAAAGTGGCTTTGTGAGCAAGCATACCCAGTGCCTTTTTAAGCCAAGCATTCACAGTCACCATCTAAATCTGATGTGATTTTTCTTCCTTAACTTTTTCTAAAGCCAAAAGAACATCGCAGAGTACACATATTGAATATACTCCAGCTCTCATTCCAGATTTATTTTAGGGCAAGAACTTCTGAATTTCAAAAGCTATCCACTAACACTCGAATAGAGTCTCTTTTTTTCTGTACCTGTCGACATTTTCAGTACCATCAGTAGGGAAACTGAAGGGAAGTATGGTACATGTGAGGGAACAGAGATGCTGGCAGGTTTGAACAGCTAGAAGACTATCAACCAGTTATGTTGACTGCATTTTACACAAAGGAATTTATTCAGCTTTGCTCCTTGAAAATGCAGAACAAGTTAAGTGATCTTATTGAAACAAGTTGGAAAACAGCTATTATCTATACTTTGATAAATTTGACATTTAACTGGAGAAAACAGGCATCTTGCTTCTTTCATTGTCATTTGTGGGGTTAACTAATGGCAGAGAGACGTAGGCAGCAAGGACTCTGAATGGGAGAGCAAAGCTAGGTGTTCACATAAACACAGATTCTGCTGCCAGGAAGGAGTGGACAGCTGAGGGGTCTCCCTCTGTCAGTAGCTGTGCGGGTAGTTCACCTGGCTTCTGCTCTCTGCATGCACTCAGACCCCAGAAACAACATAAAGCTCCCAGACACACAGATGTACCCGAGCACACACCGCAAAGTGGCACAAGTCAGAGAACAATTGAGACTTTGTTGCAATAGTTCATGTGCCTGCCTGCTAAGCTGTATCTTTAGAGATAAATCTACAAGCAAGCCTGTATCTTTTTAAGAAAACACCACCACCACAAAAAATTCAACCTTGTGTCCTTTTCCATAAAGGAAAAAAACACAAACAATAATACTCATCCTTGGGAAAGCAGTCGTTGATGTGCTCATACGGAAATTGTTTCTATTCCTATTGGGGATTTATGATCAGAACTCTCATAATAGGATCTAATAGCAGACAGTCAAATGAGAATCATTTTAAACTGGAATACCATTTTAACTAGAATAGCCACTTGACCAGGAAGCATAGTTAGTAGTGGTGTGAATATATATATATATATTTTACTTAGAATAAAAAGAAGTACAGGAAATACATTTACCAATTAAGGAGGCAATGATTTAATAAACATATAAATGCTCGTTGAAAGTATGGTTACATGAGATGGAGTGCTTTGTGTAAATTTTTATGAGAAATTAGACTATAGCCATTTGATTAAATAAAACAATTAAAAGCGTCTTTATAGATACATAAGCTGTAGGCTGAAGTCCCAGAGAAACCATTAGATCTGAGATTTGTTTCAAATGAAATAAGAGTATTGGAAATGTCACATCTTTTTATTTGAAAAATATTTGAGAGTTTTAACAGTATCAAATCTATTAGAGAGATCATTTATTTATTAAAAGGTCAGATGAAGATGTCCTTCATCTGACAGCCTTAAAAATTCCAATGATAAATGTAATTTAAAATGTTTAGCTTATATCTAAAATAAATGTGTCAATGCTTAGGGCTATATATCTTCCAGAGCCAGCTAGGTAATGAATGCTTTCTCTCTCTCTCTGAGTAGAGACAGACATATCACAGCATGTGTACCCATGGGAACGTGTGAGTTACTAAAGTACCCCTTAAGATGGCCATACATGTGCTGAGAATAACTGAGACTATTCCTCTTGAAATTCTATGCAAAACTTTATGTGCATGTGAGATTCTTTTCTGACGATTTTATTATTTTTACTTTTTTATGTATACATAACATTTGTAGATATTTATAGATGATTTTTAATATGTGATTATGTAATTTATATGTGATTATTTTACATGCATAGAAAGTGTACTCATCAACTCAGAATATTTGAGGTGTCTATCGCCTCAAGTATTTATCATGTCTATGTAGTGGGAACATTTTAAGTCCTCTATTCTAACTTTTTTGAAATATACGATACACTTGTGAACTATAGTCACCCTACTTTCTATTGAACATCAGAACTTCTTCCTTCTATCTAACTGTATGTTGGTATCCCTTAACCAACCCCTCTTCACCATCCCCATCACCACCCTCAGCATATACCTTCTCAGCCTCTGGTATCTATCATTCTACTCTCTACCTCCATGTGATCCACTTTTTAGCTCCCACATATAAGTGAGAACATGCAATATTTGTCCTTATGTGCCTTACTTATTTCAGATAACATAATGACCTCCAGTTCCACCCGTGTTAACATAAAACACATAATTTTATTTTTTGTGTTCAAATAATAGTCAGTTGTGTGTATATACTACATTTTCTTTATCCGTCTGTCTGTTGTTGGACACTTAGGTTGAGTCCATGTCTTGGTTATAGTGACTACTGCTGTAATAAACATGGGAGTGTAGGTATTTGATACACTGATTTCCTTTCCTTTGGATAAATACCCAGAAGTGAGATTGCTGGATCATATGGTAGTTCTAGTTTTAGTTTTCTGATAAATCTCTGTGCTTTTTTCCATAATTGCTGTACTAATTTTCTTTCTCACCAATAGTGTATAAGAGTTCCCTTTTCTCTGGATCCTCAAAGCATGTTACTTTTTCTTTTTATCAATAGCCATTCTAACAGGGGTAAAATGGTATCTCATTGTGGTTTTAATTTGAATGTCCTTGATAATTAGTGATGTTCAGTATTTTTTACATACCTGTTGGCCATTTCTATTTCTTATTTTAAGAAATATTTTTTCATGTTATCTGTCCACTTTATAATGGGATTATTAGTGGGTTGGTTTTCTTGTTGATTTGTTTGAGTTCCTTGTATATTTTGGATATTAGTTCCCTGTCTGATGAATTGGGTACAAATATTTTTTTTTCTGATACAACATGTTGTTTCTTCACTCTGTTGATTGTTTCCTTTTCTGTGCAGAAGCTTTGTAGTTAGTTCAGTGTAGTCCCATTTGTCTATTTTTGTTCTTGTTGCCTGTGCTTTTGAGGTCATGGCCATTAAATCTTTCCCTAGGCCAATGTCCTGAAGTGTTTCTCCTATGTTTTATCCTGGTAGTTTTATAGTTTGGGGTCTTACTTACATTTAAGTCTTTAATTCATCTTGAGTTGATTTTTGTATGTGGTGAGAAACAGGAATCCAGCTTAATTCTCCTGCATGTGGATATTCAATTTTCCCAGGATGCTTTATTAAACAGGATGTCCTTTTTCCATTATATGCTCTTGGTGCCTTTGTTGAAAATCAGTTGGCTGTAAATGTGTGGATTTATTTCTGGGTTCGCTGTTGGGTTCCATTTGTCCTAGTGTGCCAGGCTCTTTTGCTTATTGTAGCCTTATAAAATATTTTGAAATTGGGTAGTGTAATTCCTACAGCTTTGTTGTTTTTGCTTAAAATAGCTTTGGCTCTTTTGGCTCTTTTTTCATTCCTTACAAAATATAGATGTAGGCTGTAGAGATTGTTAGAAAATGGGGACTAAGAAGGTAGATGTGCAAAGGGGAAGCCAGGGAGACCTGACAGATGGCTATGAATAATTCAAAGGGATATCATCGTGATTCAGAGCTGGATTAGAGATGGCAGATGACAGACAGGGGTGAGTATAATATATACTTCAAGCTTGTGTAACTCACATTAGGTCCATAACATTATCCACTTTGTGTAGTCATTTTTTCTATTTCTGTGAAAAATGGCATTGGTATTTTGATAGTCATTACATTGAATCTGCATCTTGACTCAGGATAGTAAGGTTGTTTTAACAATACTTTCTTCTGATCCATGAGCATGGCATGTCTTTCCACTTGTTTGTATCATCTTCAATTTATTTCATCAGTGTTTTGTAGTTTTTCTTGTAGAGATCTTTCATGTCTTTGGTTAAATTTATTCCTAGGTATTTTGTTAATTTTGGGGAGCTATCGTAAATGAGATTGCCTTCTTGATTTCTTTCTCAGTGAGTTTATTATAGGTATATAGAAATGCTGCTGCTTTTTATTGACTTTGTATCCTACAACTTTACTAAATTTATTTTTCAAATCCAAGGGTGTTTTAGGGGTATAGTCCTTTGGTTTTTCTAGACAAAATATCATGTCATCAGCAAAGAGGGACAATCTGAGTTCCTCTTTCTCAATTTGGATGCCTTTTATTTTTTCTCTTACCTGATTTCCCTAGCTAGAACTTCCAGTACCATTTGAATAGGGGTGATGAAACTGAGCATCCTTGTCTTATTCCAATTATGAAAGAAAAGACTTTCAGACTTTCAGCTTTTTCCCATGAATATGATATTAGCAGTTGATTTGTCATATATAGCCTTTATTTTGTTGAGGACATTGACTAACTCAGTTGAACAAGATTATGTTAGAAAGAAGAAACAAACTGGAATGGGTTGTTATAATACTTAGGTGGTAAGATAATGAGTTCAGTTTGAGTCCTTGGCAAATCTCGGGAAATTAGCAATGGCTTAAGAAAGAGGGTCTTGGCCGGGCGCGGTGGCTCACGCCTGTAATCCCAGCACTTTGGGAGGCCGAGGCGGGCGGATCACGAGGTCAGGAGATCGAGACCATCCCGGCTAAAACGGTGAAACCCCGTCTCTACTAAAAATACAAAAAATTAGCCGGGCGTGGTGGCGGGCGCCTGTAGTCCCAGCTACTTGGGAGGCTGAGGCAGGAGAATGGCGTGAACCCGGGAGGCGGAGCTTGCAGTGAGCCGAGATCCCGCCACTGCACTCCAGCCTGGGCGACAGAGCGAGACTCCGTCTCAAAAAAAAAAAAAAAAAAAAAAAAAAAAAAAAAAAAAAAAAAAAAAAGAAAGAGGGTCTTAAAAGCAATTTTGAGTCCTCTGTTTTTTCCTCAAAGCCTCTTGAGTAGTTTGAAATGTGCAAGAAAATTATGGCTTGCCGGGCGTGGTGGTTCACGCCTGTAATCCCAGCACTTTGGGAGGCCGAGGCGGGTGGATCGCAAGGTCAGGAGATCGAGACTATCCTGGCTAACACTGTGAAACCCCTTCTCTACTAAAAATACAAAAAATTAGCTGGGCATGGTGGCGGGCGCCTGTAGTCCCAGCTACTCGGGAGGCTGAGGCAGGAGAACGGCGTGAACCCGGGAGGCGGAGCTTGCAGTGAGCCGAGATCACGCCACTGCACTCCAGCCTGGGCTACAGAGCAAGATTCTGCCTCAAAAAAAAAAAAAAAAAAAAAAAAAAAAAAAGAGGAAATTATGGCTTCACTCTCTTCAACTCATGTTCTAAGGTTTACTGAATTAATGTAAAGTAAAATAACTCAAAAATACGTCTTCTTTGAAAGTGATTAAGGCCACCAGATAGCAGTGTGAGATGCGTTAGTCATAGTGTTTAGCTTGTTCAATACGAAGTTCATGAATGAGACATAATTTAAAGGCTTCTTGAGGTTCACAGCTGGGCTTGGCCACATGCTACTTTGGTTTCTGTCATCTTTTGTGGAATTCAATCTGGTTTTTCTGCCTGTAGCATTACTTTCTCTTCTCTTATTTGAATTTTTGCTGAAACTCATCACTAAAGTGGACTCAAAGTCAAGCCCACATTGTCAGACTTCCTTATACAGACACAGAGAACAAGTAGCCCTGGCAATAACGTTTGTGACCTTGCCAGTTCAATGTGAAAATTGCAAAAATATACAATGAGAAATTATTTTTAGGCATTTTCCTTGAAAACGATGTCATCTTATGGAGCAACTAGATAAAATATACATTAGTCATTAAGCACGAAATCAGAATTAGAATAATCTCAAACATATATCTATGTTAATAAGTCCATAAATTAAAACAATTTTCCCTAACAGATAAGAATTTATGTATCTAAGGTGAATATTATCCATTTTAGTTGGAAGGACATGAGTCTATTCCTCTAAAATTAATAACCCTGCTTCAAAGCATAACATTCTATACATCAAAAAAGAATAATAAAATTTTATAACTGATGGAAATTTTATAAAATGAGAATACTGAGAATATTCAAATAAGCCATGTATATGTAAAGCATAATTAGCTTTGTGGAACAGAGCACAGTTACCATCCAGAGAGAAGAAAAGGCTAGCAAGCCTCTGGACTAAAGCAGCAGTTATCACCTCTGGTAGATATCTGGACCCCGTGAAGGACTTGTTGAATCACAGATGGTTGTGTCTCACCCAGAGACTGTGAGTCCATTGGTCTGAAGTAGGACCGCAAAATGTGCCCTTTTAACACGTTCTCTCCATCCAGAGTGATGGAGTAGCAGTTGGACATTTGGTCAAGGCACCAATTTCCCCTAGAACATTTATTAAAACACCTGAGTTTGTCCCATCCCTATAATTTTTGATCCTGTAAAACAGGAAGCAGAGTCCAACAATTTGCATTTCTAACAAATTCCCAGGTGGTGCTGGTCTGGGAACCACACTATGAGAGTTACTGCTTAAAATCAAACAGCACGTTTCAATTTCCTAATCAGTCTGTGCTAATTGTGTGACTTCAGGCAAATATTTAACTTCTCCTGTTCTTAATTTACTTGTCTTAAGATGAAAAAGCAATGGGATCTAATCCTTTACAGTAGATATGAAGGTCAAATGAGTTAAAATTAGGGTCAGGAAACTATAGCTCACAGACTCAACGCCTGTTTTAGTGCAACCCCCAGCTAGAAATAATTTGTGTATCTTAATGGACTATTTATAAGAAGGAGCATGGAGGAGAAGGAGGAAAAACAGGAGAAAAGAAAAGGAGAAGATTAAGAGAAAGGGGAAGGAGAAGAGGAAGATAGAAAGGAGAAAGATGAAAGAAGAGGAGGGGAAAGCAGCAGCAGCAGCAACAGAGTCTGTACTGTAGCCTGCAAAACAAAAAATATTTACCATATGGAACTGCAGAAAACATTTGCCAGCGCCTGGGTTATTTCATACAAAACATGTGCGACATCCGTAATATTACTAGCAGTCAATGAATGTTAGTTGTCATTATGATGAATCACCTTTTACTTAATTAAGTCTGTTTCTTCTAAATAGTCCAGATGCATACATTCACTATTCACCTACACGTCTAATAAAGGCAACCTTTGGAAAGGGTATAATCTGATCTGGTGATAATAATAATAGATGAGGAATTGAGGCAACTTTAACTATTTTAGATTAGAAAGTAAAGACCCAGCCATCCCATTACTGGGTATATACCCAAAGGATTATAAAACATGCTGCTATAAAGACACATGCACACGTATGTTTATTGTGGCACTATTCACAATAGCAAAGACTTGGAACCAACCCAAATGCCCAACAATGATAGACTGGATTAAGAAAATGTGCCACATATACACAATGGAATACGATGCAGCCATAAAAAATGATGAGTTCAGGTCCTTTGTAGGGACATGGATGAAGCTGGAAACCAACATTCTCAGCAAACTATCACAAGGACAAAAAAAACAAACACTGCATGTTCTCACTCATAGGTGGGAATTGAACAATGAGAACACATGGACACAGGAAGGGGAACACCACACATCAGGGCCTGTTGTGGGGTGGGGGGAGGGGAGAGGGATAGCATTAGGAGATATACCTAATGTTAAATGACAAGTTAATGGGTGCAGCACACCAACATGGCACATGTATACATATGTAACAAACCTGCACGTTGTGCACATGTATCCTAAAACTTAAAGTATAATTAAAAAAAGAAAGTAAAAATACCTATTCAGAAATAAAGTGTCTCTGCTTCATAACACTTTTATAATCTTTCCTTAGAGTCTTTAAGCCTCCTTTCAGCCATACAATTGTCTTTAGAATTGTTCACAGAAATTTGGGATTTTCTTTGAAATGCCCTTAATGATGGCATGTATCTCTTTCTGACATTGGCGGTGTTATTATTGCCATTTTTTAATTATGAAAAGGTAGTTAGAACCAAATATATTGATAAGTGCAGATCACATTTGGAAATGCATAATGCATATTGAAAACAAGGCAAGACCTAAAACATAAGCTTTATAAAATGTTTTTGGAAATGGTAGCTGACTCACACTGTGGGTGGTGTCACATGTGATTACTTCAAAGGGGCATAGCCTGTGTAAATACAGAACAATGACATTCTTTCATTTATTCGTGCATTCACTTGGCAAGAATTCCATTAAAACCTGTATTAAACAGGATTCTCCAGAAAAACAGAACAAATTGTGTGTGTTGAGGTATGTTCCTTTGATGCCTAGTTTGTTCAGTTTTTGTGATGAAGGGATGTTGAATTTTATTAAATGCTTTTTTTGCATCTATTGAGATGATTTTATGTTTTTTGTCCATCTTTGATGTGATGTATCACATTTATTGATTTGTATACATTGAGACATCTAACCATCTTTGCATCCCTAGTATAAATCCCACTTGATCATGATGTATTATTTTTTCATGTGCTGTTAGATTCACTTTGCTAGCATTTTATTGAGGATGTTTGCATCTATGTTCATCAAGGACATTGGCCTGTAGTTTTCTTTTTTCATTCAGTCGGTATCTAGTTTTGGTATCAAGATAAGGCTGGTCTCACAGAATGAACTAGGAAGAAATATCTCCTCCTTCATAGTTTGAGGAGAATTGGCATCAGTTCTCTTTGTAAGTTTGGTCAAATTTGGCAGTGATGCCATTTAGTCCTGAGCTTTTTGTGGTGGGAGACTTTTTATTACTAATACAGTCTCATTACTAATTATTGGTCTGTGTAGGTTTTCTGTTTTTTCCTGATTCAACATTGGAAGGCTAGATGTGACAATTTATCCATTTTCTCTAGGTTTTCCAGTTTGTTAGTGTATAATTGTTCATAATAGTCTCTGATGATCTTTTGTATTTTTCAAATTTTCTTGTGTCATAAGACCTCTTTCATGTTGTATGCCCTTGATTGACTTTCCTAACATGCTTAGTCAATATTAATATCTTCCTTTGTTGAACATAACCAACACTTACTGGATGAAACACCATTTAGGAAATTGTTTATATTCAGTGTAAAATCTTACTGCATACTGCATACAATTTTATGACATAAGCTCCTTGAGGTAAGGGACTGTACTGGTTGTTTTGTGGACCTATCAGCTTTGAGTAATGTGATTTGCATGTGAGGCAAGTGCCTATACCAGGCACTGAAAAAATTAACTCATGCAACAAACATTTGACCACTCTTATGTTCCAGTTTTATTTGTAACAAACTGAAACCAGTGCTTGAATAGAGGGGATTCTTTCTGATGTCACTATTTTAGGGGACCTACATTTATCCTATCACTTAGGTGACAAAAATATATTAAGGAAGAGGGACTTAAAAATGTAACCACTTTCTTTTTCCTTCTCTATTTTTTTAATAGAATTTTTATTTTAGGCCAGTTTTAGACTTACAGGAAAATTATGAAGATAGTACAGAGAGTTTCCATATATCCCACACTCATTTTCCCCTATGAAACATTTTACTTTAGTGTGGTACATTTGTTACAATTAGTGAACCAATATTGATATGTTATTACTAACTGAAATCTATACTTTATTCTGATCCCCTTAGTGTTTAACTAATGTTTTTTTCTTGTTCCGGGATTCCACCTAGGATATCACATGTATTCAGTTGTCGTGTCTTCTATGGCTCTTTTAGACCTTGATAGTTTCTCAGACTTTCCTTGTTTTTGATGGCCTTGATAGTCTTGAAGAGCATTGGTTAGGTATTTTGTAGAATGTCCATCAGTTGGGATTTATCTAATATTTTTCTCATAATTAGAGTGTGGTTATTACATTATTTTTTGGAAGGCCACAGAGGTAACATGCGATTCTCATCACATCTTATCAAGGGTACACACCATCAAAATGACTTACTCCTGTTTGTATTGACCTTGGCCACTTGGCTGAGGTTATGTTTGACAGATTTCTTCACTGTAAAGCTTTTCTTCTTCTCTCCCTTTCTGTATAATACTATTCAGAAGACAGTCACTAGGGTAGCTCATACTTAAGGCCAGGAGTTATGCTTCACCTCCTTCAGGGCAGAGTAGTTACATCAATTATTTAGAATTCTTCTGGATGGAAGATCTATTTTCCCCCACTTATTAATGTATTAAATTATTTATATCAGTACGTGTTCATGAATATTTATTTTAAACTTTGGACTACTATATTTATTTTTGTGCTCAAATTATTCCAGCTTTGAGCATTGGGAGCTCTTTGACTGTTATGTCCCTTTGATCTATCCAGATTGTTCTCTGTGTGTGTAGGTGTGAGTGTGTGTGTGTGTGTGTGTGTGTTGAGCATTTTCTTACTTTCTGACACTATTTTCTTCCTAGTCCTGGGATCAGTTATTTCTTCAAGAAGCCCTGGCTCTTTTTGTCAGATAGTGGTTATTAGAAACCAAGACCTTGGCAGGTGTCATTCTTCCCTCCTTTTTGTTCCTCTCCTTCAGCAGTGACCAGCATTAGTGTTAGAGTAAGAAAGGATGTGTAATTATCATTCTAGTAGTGCTTGGGTAAAGGAATACATATGCCCATACAAAGACTTGTATGCAAATGTTCACAGCCATTTTATTCATAGTAATAAAAAAAATGGCAACAGCACAAATGTCCCTTAACTTGTAAATAAAGTATGAAATATTTATTTCAGAAAATGGAAACGGACTATAGATATATACAACAACATATATGCATCTCAAAAGCATTATGCTGAGTTAATTAACTTAGATATAAAAATATAATGTACTAAATAAGTCAATTTATATGATCTTCTAACAAAAGAGAAAACCATGGGGACAGAAAACTGGTTACGATTTACAGGGGTTGGAAGCAGAAGACTGGCCTCAATGGGAACACAAGGAAAACCTTTTGGTGTATTGAAAATTTAAATATTAATTGAGTGGTAGCTATACTGGTATTCATTTGTTGAAAGCCATTGAGTTATATATCAAAAGGATGAATTTTAACATTGTATATTATACTTCAGAGAAAAGAAAAAATATGCAATACATTTTAAGATTTTGTTTGTTTGTTTTTTTGTTTGGGGCAGAGTCTTATTCTGTTATCCAGGCTGGAGTGTGGTTTTGAGAACAGGGCTCACTGCAGCCTCTGCTTCCCAGGCTCAAGTGATTCCCCAACCTCAGCCTCCTGAGTAGCTGAGACTACAGATACATGCTACCACACTTGGCTAATTTATTAATTTTTTGCAGAGACAAGGTCTCACTATATTGCCCAGGCTGGTCTTGAACTCCTGGACTCAAGAGATCCTCCCACCTTGGCTTGGCTTCCCAAAGTGCTGGGATTATAGGCATGAGCCACTGTGCCTGACCAAGATCTTTTTTTTTTTTTCCTCTTTTTTTTTTGAGACAGAGTCTTGCTCTGTCACCAAGGCTGGAGTGCAGTGGCGCGATCTCGGCTCACTGCAACCTCTGCCTCCTGGGTTCAAGCAATTCTCCTGCCTTAGCCTCCAGAGTAGCTGGGACGATAGGCGCGTGCCACCACGCCTAGCTAATTTTTTTGTATTGTCGGTAGAGACAGGGTTTCACCATGTTAGCAAGGATGATCTTGATCTCCTGACCTCGTGATCCGCCCCCCTTGGCCTCCCAAAGTTCTATTTTTCAAGCAGCCTTTATTGTTAAGCCTGTTGTGAATCATTTGAGAGTTTACTTATAATGAACTTCCACATAATCTTAGGTCAACATTTGTGATTTCAGAATCATCAGCAGCAAGCAATTTGCCTTTGATATCTCTGTCTAATGAGAAAAGAAGAAATGGGAACTGATAGGAAAACGATGTCATGCAGAGTGAGAGGGAATGGCTTGCACAAGTTGAGCATGGCATCTGGTACAAAACAGGTGTTCAAGAAAAAGTGAGTACTATGATTAGTGTTGCTATTGTCACAATTAGGTATTTATCAGTACATTATGCAAAACAATGCCAGTCCCTGGAATATGGCAAATGCTCAGACAAAACTTCTGAGTGCTTTATGAACTTATTATTGAATTTATTAATGTTTAGGAAGAAGAGCATAAAGCAACCTTCTGGTTATCAAAAAATATACAGTAAGAGTGAAATCAGAATAAAATTGAAAATTTTATTATCTAAAATCAACTCCTATTTTTTCTGTTAGCTTTTCAACTGCAAGGTTTCAGATAGTTTGTGAAAGTGCTTTTCAGAAAACTTTTTTTAGTTGAGGATTTTTAAGTTAGTATATTATTTTAATGGGGAAAAGGAAAAGAATACTAATAAACATTGGCAAGTCCTGAGCGCTCTATTATTTTAACGTAGGTAATTTACATAAAATAAAGTACCAGAATGTTCCATGTATAGCTTGATGAATTTGCAAAGAGAAATTATTTCATATAGATAACTATAAAATGAGTTGTATTAGAGCATCAGGATAAAAATGGAAATGAGAAAACCGTAGCCATGATTATGCCTCAGGGAAAAAAAAAATTCCAGCAAATACTGGATCAGGTACTTGAATTAAATTTTTTAATTTTTGAAGTGTCTCAGATGTTAAATGCACTCCTCAATGAGTCCTCACAAATAGAAATAAAAACAGTAGTTGTTTTAGGGCTTGGAATTAGGAGAAACTCATTCAGATTTGCTGTATATTGCTAACACATGATCCTTAGACCGGGTCTGTGAGCGAACTCCAGGCATATGTGAACTCATATGTGAACTCAATTGGGAGAAGACATTACACCTTGATTTTCACTATTTCTTTATGAAATATAGTAATTACTACAATTAAAATCGCAAAGTCATAAAATAACTGTGACTTTGTCACCATTAGAATTCAGAGATAATTCAATATCACATTTCCTGTAGATACCTCAAAATATTATGTATATGCACCTCCACTTTAAAAACACAGTTACTTGACCCTCTACTAGATCTTATTTAATACATTAATAATGAGACATATAAGTACCAATCTGTTGTTTAAAATATTTAAATAACATTATTTTAATATAATTTTTTTCCTATCCTATGTATTTTATTTTATTCACTTAAATACACATGTATGCACACACACACACTGTTAGGAAAGTTTTTTCTGATTTTGGACTCATCTCCTTTGAAGTGTTTACACAGGGCTCTCAGCCAGAGCATTTATTCTAAATTGCAAATCCATTGAGTACATTGAGTCAAACAACCAGTTTGTTTCTGTCTGGAATCAATCTCTTTACTTTATGCCTTGGGCAAAGCACTTCTCTTTCTGTTTAAATTGGATAATGATACCTCCTTGGCCAAGGTTTTTAGAAGAATAAAATGAAAGGGCATGAATGATGGGGTAGGGGCAGGGCAGTTCTGGTCCAGGGAGATGCTATGAACCCATCCTTTAATGGAGAGATTTTCTCTTCTATGGGTATGTGGACAGTGCCTCTGCCTGACTGGGAGTTAACCCATCAGCAGGCTACAGCAAACAGCACAGGTCTCCCAGTGCTTTCCAGGAATGAGATCCAGAT
The DNA here is from genome assembly GCF_000001405.40 of Homo sapiens. Classification (NCBI taxonomy): domain Eukaryota; kingdom Metazoa; phylum Chordata; class Mammalia; order Primates; family Hominidae; genus Homo; species Homo sapiens. Next base: position 107,318,883 of record NC_000002.12, read on the forward strand.
GCATGAGTTAGAAGAACATTACGGTCGTTTGTATGTAGTTTGCATAAGATTTGGAATTTGTTCCTAATACCATCTTGGCTACTTTCAAGTAATTTTCAGGTTCATTTCTCATTGCTGCACTGAGGGCTATGACATCTTGATTTCTTCCTCTGTCTTCCTTTGCCCTATTACTAGAATTAACATAAGAAACTGGATTGGGCAATTCAAAGGATGAGAGAAAGCACAGGCCATAGGAAAAATGAAACAGGGTTGTAAAACTTGCTCCATCCTGCCTCCAATAAAACTCTATGGACCATTCACAATATTCAGTACTGTGAATGCTAAGACACCAAGTGATATGGTTTGAATCTGTATCTCAATACAAATCTCATGTGGAACTATAATACCCAGTGTTGAAGGTGGGGCCTGCTGGGAGGAGATTGAATCACAGGATAGGATCTTCCTCTTGGTGTTTCTCTCGTGATAGTAAGTGCTCACGAGATCTGGTTGTTTGAAACTGTGTATCACCTGAAGTCCACCTTTCTCTTCCTGCTGCTGCTACCAGACCATGTGAAGTGCTGGCTTCCCCTTCTGCCATGATTGAAGTCAAGCAGATGCTGCCATGCTTCCTGTACAGCCTGCAGAACTGTGAGCCAAAGAAACCTCTTTTCTTTATAAATTATTATCTAGTTTCAGGTATTTCTGGTTTTGTTTTTGTTTTTTTTTTTTGATGGAGTCTTGCTCTGTCAGGCTGGAGTGCAGTGGCATGATCTCAGCTCACCACAACCTCTGCCTTCTGGGTTCAAGCGATTCTCCTGTCTCAGCCTCCTGAGCAGCTAGCACTACAGGCGCATGCCACCATGCCCAGCTAATTTTTGTATTTTAAGGAGAGACGGGGTTTCACCATGTTGGCCAGGCTGGTCTCGATCACTTGACCTCATAATCTGCCTGCCTCAGCCTCCCAAAGTCCTGGGATTACAGGCAAGAGCCATGCATCCGTCCCAGATATTTCTTTATAGCAGTGTGAGAATGGTCTAATACACCAGGCATGTCATTTCTTGATAGTCCTTGAATTCACCAAGGATCTTCTCAGGCCTGTGTACTTGGTATTGGCTCTACCTAGAATATTCTTCCTCCAGATATTCATATGGCTTATTGTCTTCAAATTGGAATTGGAAGATTTTACAAATAAAAATATAGAGCATCCTGTTAGATCTGAATTGCAGATGAATAATGAATAATTTCATTTGCATTAGTATGTTCCATGCAATATTTAGGACATAAACTAAAACAATATTTATTGTTTACCTAAAATTCAAATTTAGATGGTCTCTTGTATTTTAGTTGGCAACCCTATTTCAAGTTATTTACATCTTTATTCAAATGCCACCTACTATGATAGATCACTACTGACTACTCTGAATCTAAAAGATCCCTTCCTAGTGCTATGTCTACTGTGCCCTGTTTTACTTTTGAATTCATAATTTTTATCATTGCCTGACATAATACTATATATTTCTTCATTTGGCATAGCAGTCAGGGTCCTAGTAGCACATAGAGGGCATGTTCAAAAGAGGTGAGTTTAATAGGGAGTTATTTACAAGGTATGGGCAGTGTCAAGGGAGACTGCAGAATGACAAAGCAAGACAGAGGCACCACCAGAGCAGCAGGGCGTAAGGGGGCCAGGGAGAGCAGTCTCCAGCACCCAGAGACAGCTGTGACTGTAGGAGAGGACTGTCTGACAGGAGGGGTGAGTCTCATTGGCCAAACCTAGCTGGAAGCCTGGGGGCAAAGGAATCAGTTGAAGCAGTCTGCAGAGTTCAGTATCTAGGGGACATAGAAAGGCGAGAGGACGCAGAGAGTCAATGGAGAGTCAAATTGATTTGAGGGGACTGAGGGCAAAGATCCAACACACTTGGCTAATTTCAGTCTCTCCTGCTAAAAGGTTAACTGCCTGGTGGCATCAATTTCATTCTGCCCACTGCTCCACCTGCAGCCCCTGAGCAGTGCCTGCCATATAGTAGATGCTTAGTAAACATTTGGTAAAAGCATGGATTTATTTGCCTTGTGTATCCAGCTAAGCCATGATTGAATTTGGTGAAACAGACCAGGCTAAAAAGAGCTGCATCCAGTCTTGTCTTTATTAGAGTGAGGCTGTCACTTAAGGACAAAAACAGGGTTAATTTCTTGGAATATGCCTAGTCCATCCCTCAGAACTTGATCATCAAAGGATAAGAACACAGACAGCAGGTTCAGTCTAGACAGTTGACACCAGGTCATTTAGAGATATAATGGATATTCATAACAGGATAGAATGGTACTCAGAAGCCCACAGGAGCAGTCATACTACCAATCCAGGCAGGACCCATGCATCAGGGAGGTGACAGTGAGTAGCACCGCCCAGCCCCTCAGCAATTTCCAGAACTAAGACTCCAGGAGGGCAGTATGAGGGTGGAATAGATAACACAATGGAGGGTTGACATCCCCAATAAATGGCTAGTCTCTCTCCTGGGACTGCAACTTTTCCACCCTAGTCAGGGATCTGGATATCAGAGCTCAGCTAAAATGGAAAGATAGTATCTGAGTATCCTGGTAGAAATCAGGGGGTAGGTTTGAACTTGGAGGTCAGGAGTGGCCCCACAGTGAGGGAGACTTCATGTTGAGCCTCACTGTGGGTCTTTATCTCACCTTGTGCTCTCCCCTAAAAGCTACCTTAGGGTTGAGCCTCCAGGTGGGATGGCCATCACCTCAGAAATGCAATGCAAAGAAAGGTGGGTGTGTAGCAGTGAATTCTTTATCTTTTTTTCTCACTAAATCCTTATAACTACTCTGTGGGGTGTATACTATTATCCTATTTTATAAATGAGGAAACTGAGACTCCAGTTGAAAGCCTTGCACAAGATCTACTGCATGGCTGTCTTTGTATTTCTTTCAGAGGAAAACAGAATCTAGGTTTCTAAAGAGAATTTTCTTCAGGTACTTACTTGTACCCATTTCTATTGAAATGAAGCTATTCCTTTTATGATGACATAAGGCTGGATAATTTCCTGTATATATCAAATAGTGACAGAGTACAAGTACAAGAAGGATGGCTTAAAAGATTTCTCGTCACTGATTACAGGTGATTTATGGGAGAGAATGTTTCAACTATATTGCATTAAGGAGATAATGACATTCAAAAATAGTCCAAGCAATGAAGAAGGCTTGCGGGTTCAGATGGGTAAGGGGTCACCCTCACACCTGGATCCTAGCATCTATAAATATTGAGTGATGGCTTTTGTAACTAAAGCCTGGGAACCTCTGTATGAGTGATTTTAAATTCAGCTCAGGAAATCACCTTCCAAATCAATGGATGTGGTTCTTGGGGTCTCCAGATACATTCCACAAAGTTTCCATTTTTCAATTGGCTTTAAAAGAAAATTATGCTTGTCCTCCCTCAACCCCAATCTGAGCAAATTTACACCTTTACCTTCCTCTCAAAAAGGGAAAATTATTTGAAAGAAATTTTTTTTAAAATAAAATATCTGCCCAAGGTATTGTTAGCTCAAAGTAGCCGCCCTAATTCTTCAATCCTCTCATGGTTTATAAATTAGAGAAAACACAGCACTAAAAGTGGCCGAGATGGAAACAGTGATTATTTGTTCTTGTAGAAACCATTCATCTAAATTCTTTAACACTAATCCAGATAGACGGCTTTTAAAAAAGACCTCTAATTACTTTCCCGTTAATTATTTACATTCACCAAGTGTTTTGTGATTGTTCCTTAGTGAGTAGCCTCCTGAGGTATGTCACGGTATTAACTATTGATTTACAAATCTGGCAAAGGTGCATTATAGCTGGCTTGCCTACTCTACCCTTGGCTTAGGCCATTCCTCCCCAAGATAGATCTTCATCGCCAGTGACTTATCATTATCAATAGTGCCAAAAATGGAAGAATAATATAATAACTTATCTTTCTATGGTACCTTCCATCTAAAAATTATTGGTGTTAATCATAGATATGTGATATATGTATATATATTTTTTGTTTGTTTGTTTGTTTGTTTGTTTTTTGTTGTTTTTTTTTTTTTTTGAGGCTGAGTCTCACTCTGTTGCCCAGGCTGGAGTGCAGTGGTGCAATCTTGTCTCACTGCAAGCTCCGCCTCCCGGGTTCTCACCATTCTCCTGCCTCAGCCTCCCAAGTAGCTGGGACTGCAGGCACCCGCCACCACGGCTGGCTAATTTTTTGTATTTTTAGTAGAGATGAGGTTTCACCATGTTAGCCAGGATGGTCTCAATCTCCTGACCTCGTGATCTGCCTGCCTTGGCCTCCAAAAGTGCTGGGATTACAGGCATGAGCCACCGCGCTGGGCCAAAATTTATATTTCTAAGAGATCATTTAGCATAATGCAACCAAATGCTTTGTCATCACTTGCCAAGGTAAGTCAACTACAGGTTACCTGTATTCCTAGTTGTTACACTCAAAGCAGACACCACTAATCCACATTGGAATTGTCCCTCTGGTCCCATATCTAATTATAATGCTTCTTAACACAGTGCTCCAAGCAATTTCCTCCAATTGACTGTTTTTTATCTCCAGGGCCAATTCATATTTATCATCTACTATCCACAATTAAAATACCTTAGTGAGAGTAAGCCTATTACCTCTCAGGACAGCTCATTCCATAATTAACTCTGACTGTGAGAAGAGTTATTTTTAAATACTCAGTAATAGAGCCTATTCAGTTCCAAAATTTCTCCCTCTTACTTATCCTTTTATGTACGTTTTTCTTATCTACTCTGTATGTTTTAGCTCTTTTTTATCTTGTACCCTGATGGTGTCGATTCCAATCATGCTGGAAACAAAATATAATACAGCTGCTCATGTTTTATATGTTCTGTTTTATTTGCAAATCATTCAAGTTTTAAAAATAAGCAATTTCTGTTGTGGGTTTGGTGGCAGCATTGAGGAACATCCAAGCAGGAAAACAAAGACTCTCAAAACTGTTCTTAGAACTATTGGCAGGAGATCACCATAAGAGTCCCAAAAGATGAAGAATTAGAAAATAATTCAGAGTTGAAATTGGAGTTGCATTTTGAAAGGCCAGGAAGGATTTTTCTAGACGGAATAAGGGAAGCACAGTTCAAGGAGAGAGATGGGACGAGGATGTTGTGGCTGGCTGTAAAAGATCTTCTAGTTCAGTTCTCCAACTTAAGCTGGAGGAGTCATGAAGCCACAGGTTGCGAGGCTCCATTCCAGTGTCTGATTCCATAAATTTTAGGTGAAACTTCAGAACTTATGTTTCTAACAAGTTTCCACGCAACACTGATGCTATTGGTCCAGGGACCACACTTTGCGAATCACTGTTCTAGCCTTAGCACACTCCTGCGTCCCTGCCTGCAATTCCAATAGGCTACGCCTTCTTGTCTGCCTGGCTTGCTTTCTTAGCAGTGAGCATGGAGTGGGCTCAGGATGAACATATGGTTCTCATTAAACCTTGAATCTTTGTCAGCCCCACAAGGTTATCTATGTCAGCCTGGCAAATGTGCACTTACAGTGGGCCCAATTGACAATTGTCAGGAGTAAGGCTGCAGGGGTGGAGGGAGAAAGTGGAGCTAGTATAAGAGGTGGTGAGGAGATTGCAGAGGGCAGCATGGGGGCAGGGTGGAAGGAGCTTCCTTTCCAAAGCTCCGTGGTGGGGTCTAGAGCCATTCTCAGCAGTCACTGAGATTGGGGGCACTGAGTTTGCAAGAACACATAGTACAGTGGCCTCATAAAAGTTATCATCACCATTGCTGGGTAAAGTGATTGCTGCAACTTCTTTTCTCCTTCCCTTGAAGAATTGCACTTTTTATTTATGTAACTGATCACCTTAACAGCCATTCAACCCAAAATTCTTTTATGTTTCTTTCTATATATCCCAAGCCATCCTCCTGGTTTCAATTCTCATTGTACCTATCCTTTAATGAGATTCCAGATTAATTAATCCTAATATTTTAACTCTATAAATGATCCCTGTTTTGTCAACACTAATGCAATGAAAAATATTTTTCTTTGTATTGAGACCATTCTGTGTAATTAGCTTGGCCTCATGAGTCAGTCTATTTGCAAATTTGCAAATCCGCAGGATTGACTTCACTCTTTACAAGCTTCCTATCATGCATACAGCTCTAGAATTTCATTTCGCTCAAGCAGTTCTTTCCTTTCTCCTAATCTTGTCCTCAATTCAAAGATCACAGAACACTGATAAAGAAGATGATGCCAGATCTGTCAAAGAGAGGGAGATTAAAGAGAGGAGAGAGCTACAGAGAGATGTGATGTGGGAAAGAGGTGGTGGGCTGAAGTAGCTGCTCACTATGTTGTTACATTTGCTTTGGGGACACTTGTTATGGACACACTTGGCAAATTCCTAATGGGCAACCTTTGCAATCCCTTATTCTTGCTGTGTTTTTCCTAGAAGGAAAATTTGGGGGACATGTCAATTCATTTTACCAGGGAACTTGAGAAGCCCCATGCTCTTTCATTGACGGTTTGGACGCTGAGGCTGTCTTGTGCATCCAGGTGGCATTTGTCCTCTTAGTACAGCTTGATGGGCTTTCCTTTGAGGACCTCAATGTCACTTCCTTATCACCTCCAAGGCTTTTTCTATCCAGAGTTCACATGAGCACGTACTGTTAAAAATCTACTCCTCTTCTTTGATGGTGCCCACATACCCAAGCAGAAGGATCATGTATCTATCAGCCAAGAGGGCAGACCACCACAAGGGAGTTGGAGAGAAGAGGAAACATTCTTGAAATGTTGCAGAAACATTATCTACAACCAATTTTTTAAAATAAACAATTGATTTCATTTGTGGCTCAACAGATCATATTTGTTTCTATTCCCATGCCCTCATAGTTATTTCTGTACTTCTCAATAATTACCCCAATCTAAACTAGTTTTATCACATGACAACTTTTACAACCTATGAGATTGTATAGGTACTTATTGATTCCACCAGATTTTCTTCCCTTTCCCAAGTATTAAAATGATGTTAGGTACATGTTTTTATTTAAAGTTAAGGTGGGTTTTCATTGGTTTTGCTCTAAGCATTTAAACCATCCCTTAAATGAGTTGGGGACACTCTGAGGGTATTTCAAAGCCCCAATCAAGACATGCTAATCAGAGTGGCTCAGTTTCTGAAGCGCGCCCTTTTATTCCCTTTGCCTGGCTAATTACAAATGGATCCTAAGTACACTGTGGGTCAAAAAAATTAGAAAAGGCCAAAGACACAAGTGAACTCTGACAAGAAGGCTCTATGTTTTCACTTCTCTTAGTCACTGGGCCTTTGTGGTTGGGAACAGCTGTTGCAGAGAAGAAAACAGGACATCTTGAGCCTCAGGGGAAACACCAACTGGAATATGTTAATCTTTTTTGCCTAAAATCCAAGCAGCTTATCTTTTCTGAAGGTTCTCCTGGCTAATGAAAAGTATGCTTAATATTGCAAATTTTGCTTTGCAAGGCCTTTTGTCTAGTGTCATTTTCTATTTGTGAATTTTCCTTTTGTTCCCTTCACCAACCCTCCTACCAAGCGAACCCAGCACATGTTTGGCTTCCAGTCAGTTCTTCTTTGAGTCTAAAAGTCTTGGCATTTCTGTCTTAGTTTTGGCCATAGGAAAGAGCATTTTTCAATAATGCTGCTGAAATGCTGCTTTCTCTACTCCAGAGCTTTATCTGGCAAAAGGATTTACTGGGACTAGACCCAAAGAAAACAGAAAAAGAAAAAGGGAAAATGGCTCTGGAAGGCAAGATGCCAGCTTATTCGCTCTTGAGATTTTGCAACTTCCCACTACTCTTTCCATAACCTCAGTCCTTTACCCTAGGGTGTCTTTGCATTTCTTATGAGTAGAGCTGGTCCCCCCAGCACTAGGCCATGGAAACTCCCTTTAACTGTGCTTTCCTTACATGCCAAACATTTGGAACTGAGGCAACCCTCATGACAGGCAGAAGCAGTCAACTTAGTGCTGAGTCCAGCAAGATGATCAGCTTTGACCAAGACCCCTACAGAAATTGGACATCCCAGGGTTATGTATAGCATTATATGAGGCTACGTTTCCACCTTATTTGTCTCTAGTGTACTTCAAACATTCTTTGTTTTGTGTCCTGTCTCATGAATCATTCCCTCTTCCTTTATGCCAATTTTTACTCCATGTATGTGAGCTGCTCTCTCAGACCTGCTTCTGCTTTCCAGTGTTTTTGATTGCTTGTCATGGGCAGTGTTGAAAAGAGAGCAGGTGGTGGAGGTGAAGTGTTGTAGTGGAAGTGGAAGCTTCTTGCAATTTTTCTGAGAAAGCCTAGGCTTTCTATTGCATGTGGATGAGCTGAGAACTCTCTACCACCTTTTTCTTCCTTTTTGTCTTTGGGCTCCAGCGAATAACCCACTGCAATCTCCACTTCTGCACCTGAGCTATTACTTCTAGCTGGTTGTTCCCTGCTCCCCACACACCACTATCAACTGTCATACAGGCTGAAGTATGCAAAGGACCATTTGAGGTTTCCTAAAGTATTTAGTTAACAGTTCATTAGCAAAAGAGAAAGGAGGTAACAACAACATGTGTGCTGAAATTTCAACTGGTATCATCTCATAATCAAATTAGTCTTAATGGATGTAGCCAGCTGGGCCTTGATTTCATTTTCAGAGAAGTACTTTAATATTTTCCTCCACAATTTCTAGATAAATAGATTTTTACCACAATAGATGGATAACACGCATTGTTCTTCCCCATTCCAAAATGTTATATTTTAATACTTACTTGAAAACTATTTCTATAAATAGCTCAATATATTTCTAATCATTTACATAGTAATTGTATTCTCAGAAATCTTGCTTGTTGGCCAGACAAGGAACAAAAAGCCTGTGAATATTACTATGAATATTCCTCAAAGTATAGATTTGTCTATACTCCTTATTAATATCTGATGAGTTTGAAGTTGTATATTTCCTCTCTAAGCCAGTTGTTTAAAAGAATTATACATGTTTAAAAAAATCCAAGTGATTGGAATTTGAAAGTTTAAGCATTTGTTATAAATTTCCAGTTTTCTCACATTTTAATTAAATAATAAAGCCTATAACTTTATGTCTTGAGCAACTTATTGGAATTATCTTTCTAGTCTGGTACATGAATTACATGTGTAAATATCCTATAAATTGTTGAAATGGATGTTTATTCATGATTCTAGGACACAAATGTGAAAATATTTCCACTAAATATTTGATATTAATGGTAGAATTGACTCTTCTATGTCCTTGTTTATCGTCTTCTTGAGATATTAGGTTAAGAGTAATATTATACAGATTCTCACTTCTAATACGTCAGTCAATAAATCATTGCATTTGCAGCTTATATTTATTTAAATCTGACATTTTCTAATTATTGCCTCAATTTTTTTAATTGGTAGGTATTTTCCACAGTTTTAGGCTTACAAAAAAAAAGTCCAATGGAAAGTACAAAGAGTTATCATATACACCTGTCCCCAAATTTCCCCTATTCTTTGCATCTTTCAAATAGTTCATTTGTTTTGTGGACATTACACCTTTTGGAATTGTCCCACAATTCTTGGATATTATTTTCTTTTTCATTCTTTTTTAAAATTTTTGCATTTCAGTTTTGGAAGCTTTAATTAACATTTCTTCAAGCTCACTAATTTTTTTCTTTGGCTGAGTCCAGTCTACTGATGAGCCTATAAAAGGAATTCTTTATTTCTGTACAGTGTTTTTGATTTCTAGCATTTCCTTTTAATTCTCAAAGTTTTTATCTCTCCGCTTACATTACTCCTCTGTTCTTGCATGTTGTCCTCTTTTTGCATTAGAGCCTTTAGTGTATTAATCATAGTTGTTTTAAAGTCTGGGTCTGATTATTCCAATACCTGTGACACATGTACAGCTGATTCCAGTGATTGTCCTGCTCTCCAGACTGTTATTTTTTGGTCTTTCAGTGTGCCTTATAATTAGTTGTTTCTTAAAGCCAGACATGATGCACTGGGTAAAAGGAATAGAGATACATAAGACCTCAGTGTATTGTTTTATGTTTTTCTGCCTTGGAGCTAGGGCTGTGTGCAATGTTTACTATAGCTGTAGATTTCAGAAGCTAAAATTTATCCTGATGTTCTTGCTTTTGTCCCTTTTGCTCTTGTTGGAATTTTTTGGAACTTTTTTTTTTTTTTTTGAGACAGAGTCTCGCTCTGTTGCCCAGGCTGGCTGGAGTGCAATGGTGCCATCTCGGCTCACTGCAAGCTCTGCCTCCGGGGTTGACACCATTCTGCTGCCTCAGCCTCTGGAGTAGCTGGGACTACAGGCGCCTGCCACCAAGCCCAGCTAATTTTTTGTTTTTTTTTTTTAGTAGAGACAGGGTTTCACCGTGGTAGCCAGGATGGTCTTGATCTCCTGACCTCGTGATCCGCCCAACTCGGCCTCCCAAAGTGTTGGGATTACAGGCGTGAGCCACCGCACCCGGCCTGGAACTTCTTAAATAAGTTCTAAGACATGCAGTTCTTTGGTTGTATTATTCTGATATTGTTCAGGAGCCTTACTAATATGATAGTAAGGTGTTGGGGCAGGGAAAGTCTTCTATATTTTTATGATTAGGTCTCAGTCTTTCAGTGAGCTTATCACCGGGTCTATGACCTTCACAAAGCTTATCAGGTTTGCCTCCCCTCTCGCCCTTCCCTAATGTATGACAGAAAAACCAGACAGAACTGGAGTTGGGGATTTCCCTTCTGCCATGTCGATTAGGCTTTTTGAAACTCCAGTCAGTTATAGTCTGCTAAAATAGCTTCTCTTGATGATGGGCCTCATTGAGAACAAAATACTCTGAGTGTATTTGAAATTTATTGCTTTTCTACTCTTCTTGCTGAAAGCATGAGAGAAGTTATTTTCATTGTGAGAACCTAGTAAAGGCTCCTGGAGGTAAAAACTCACAAAAGCTGCCCCTCCACCAAGTCTGCCCTCCCTGAAATTTTTAACTCTCAAACTTGTCAACACCAAGCCTCTAAGTTTTCCTAGCCTCATGAACCCCAATACCAGTTCCTACAAAGGTTTCTGATCCCAGGCTTCTGCTCTGGTAAGTTGTAATTCTCTGCATCTTCCTGTCTGTCTGCCAGTGTGAGGGGCACTGTTTCGCCTGGTGACTTCAATTATCTGATGGATCTAAAGATGGTTATTTTCAGTTCCTTCATCTTTTGTCTTGCTGTGAAGATGGAAGTGATGACTTCCAAGCTTCTTCTTTCCCATACTGAAAACAGAAAGTCCTCCTACAATTTTATTTTTGTTGCAAAGTTAATTCATGTCCATTTTGTTAAAAACCAAACCTATCTCCAAAACATTTAAAAATATCTGAAATTTCATATCCATTTTAGTAAGAGCCTGTGTTTTGCATGCATAAATAGAAGCTATTCTGATGGTGTTTCAGCAACAAAAATTGTCTATTTTTTTAACTTTTATTTTACAGTCAGGGGTACATGTGCAGGTTTGTTGCAAATGTACATTGTGTGATGCTGAGGTTTGGAGTACAAATATATCCATGACCCAGGTAATGAACATAGTGCCCATAGGTCATTTTCTACCCCTTGCCCTTCCCCCATCTGTTGGTCTTCGGTGTCTGTCATTCCCACCTTTATGTCCATGTGTACTCAATGTTTAGCTCACACTTATCAGTGAGACCATATGGTATTTTCTACCCCTTGCTCTTCCCCCATCTGGTGGTCTCCAGTGTCTATCATTCCCACCTTTATGTCCATGTGTACTCAATGTTTAGCTCACACTTATAAGTGAGAACATATGGTATTTGGTGTTCTGTGTCTTTGTTAGTTCACTTAGGATAATGGACTCCAGCTGCATCCATATTGCTGCAAAAGACATAATTTTATGCTTTTTTATGGCTGCATAGTATTCCATGGAGTATATGTACCATATTTTCTTTATCCAATCCATTGTTTATGGCATCTGAGTTGATTCCTTGTCTTTGCTATTGTGAATAGTGTTGTGATGAACATATGAGTGCATGTGTCTTTTTGGTAGAATTATTTGTTTTCATTTGGATATATACCCAGTAATAGAATTGCTGGGTCAAATGGTAGACTAACTCTTAGTTCTTTGAGAAATTTCCAAACTAGTTTCCACAGTGGCTGAACTAATTGACATTCCAACTAAAAGTGTATAAGTGTTTACAATATCCAGAAAAAGAATAAAATACTTAGAACACAGCTAACTAATAAAGTGAAAAATCTCTACAAGGAGAACTACAAAACACTGCTGAAAGAAATCAGAAGTAACACAGATAAATGGGAAAACATTCCATGCTCATGGATTGAAAGAATCAGTATTGTTAAAATGGCCATGATACCCAAAGCAATTTATAGAGTAAATGCTATTCCTGTCAAAGGGCTAACATCGTTTTTTACAGAATTAGAAAAAAAGTTCTAAAATTCATATGGAACCAAAAAAAAAGAGACTTAATAGCCAAAGCAATCCTCAGCAAAAAGAACAAATCTGGAGGCATCACATTACCTGACTTCAAACTATACTATAAGGCTACAGCAACCAAAACAGCATAGTACTGATACAAAAACAGACACATAGACCAATGGAACAGGATGGAGAACCCAGAAATAAAGCCACACTCCTACAACCACTCAATCTTTGACAAAGTTGACAAAAATAAGCAATGAGAAAAAACTTCCTATTCAATAAATGATGCTGGGATAACTGGCTAGCCACATGCAGAGATTGAAACTGAACCCCTACCTATAACCATATATAAAGATTAACTCAACCTAGATTAAAGACTTGAATATAAGACCTTAAACTATACAATCCTAGAAGAAAACCTAGGAAATACTTCTCTTAATATCAGCCATGGCAAAGGATTTATGGCGAGGCCCTCAAAGGTAATTCCAGCAAACACAAAAATTGACAAGTGGGTTCTAATCAATCTAAACATCTTCTGCACAGGAAAAGAAACTATCAAGGGAGTAAACAGAAAACCTACAGAATGGAAGAAAATATTTGCAAACTATGCATCCGTCAAAGGTTTAATATCCCAAATCTACGAGGAATTTAAATCAACAAGCAAAGAAACCAAGTAACCTCATCAAAAAGTGTGCAAAGAACATGAACAGACACTTCTAAAGAGAAAACATACAAGTGGCCAAGAAACATATGAAAAAAGGTTCATGATTGCTAGTCATCAGAGAAATGCAAAGAAATTGTCTCTAAAAGGGTACGTATCTTTTGGTTAGAGATTCCATTTTAAGGTAATCTTATATGTTGTGGGTATACACACACACACACACACACATATATATATACACACACACACATATATATATATATTAGAAAAATAGATCTAGAAGAACACACAATAAATTTTAAGCAATAGTAACCTCTGTGAAGGTAATCATGTTGGTAATGGGGCTGTGAAGAGGGACTTACATTTTTTTACTTTGTATACGTTTTATTTTTTAGAGCTTATGAAATGAATAGTGATTTACTAATCAAAAGTATTAACTTTTTTTGAAAACCATATTTTCACTGTGGATAAGTTTTTATTATAAGTTCTACCTACCAAAGATTCAATAACCTTAGGTTCTAGTTTTTTTCTGGGTACGGAAGACCCACTCTGGGAGCCCTCCCAGTACACAAGTCCCTCTATGAGGCCTAACCTCCCTCTTGGCCCTCTCTGCCACCTGTCTTCTTATTTCTTCTGCCTCTCTGTAGCTCCTGATGCTCCACCGGTGAGTGGTAAAGCCTGGGGAAAATAAATATGACTTCTGTGACATCAGTTATATTAATGGGGTGAGTTGACAGTTGTAAAAACCTTGACTTTTTTTCATAGGATTTGTGTTTTTAATTTCAGAAAAAAAAGTTATGAAAGGCAGGACTAGCATCTTTAGATAAGCTGAATCCAGAATATCAGAAAATGATCTTTCTCTTCCTTGGGATGATGTCTGAAATTTTACCAGTTAGAAATCTACTGGGATGCGAAATGGAGGGAGAGACTCTAATGTGGTATTTGGCTTCTGTGGAATAGAGACTCTGGAGCACTATTGAAATAGTTCCTTGCGGGTGTGAGAGGAAGGTCCTCACTGTGGGAGGATGGAACACGGAAGAGGAAAGCAAAGCAGGATGAACACAGAGTGAGACAGCCAGGCACAGCAAGGCAGCAGCTTCTGTTTCCTGCAGAGATCAAGGAATACAGGTGTCTGAAGCTTAAGGACAGGTGGCCTATTGACTCTGCGTAGAGCAATGGTGCTCACTTGGCAACACTCACAATTGAATCAGTGTCAAATTGGTATGTGTGGAGTAGAGTTTGGACAAGGTGAGTTCTACTCTACCTGTAACTGGCAATGTCATCTAGGGAACTGTGTAAGTACTTATGTACCCTCTATAGGCTCCCCTTTATGAGATCCCAAGAATTGAAGAGTACTGCAAGTTTGATCCTACTTACCCTAACTGGATTAACCAAATCTTGCCGACCTGTGTTTATTACTAGTACTAAATATGATCTATGGTGATATTCGCTCCTTTTATTAATTCATATTAAACTTATGGTATACTAGAATTTTGAGTATTATCTCACACGTAGCATTTAAATTTGTCGTGGATTGATACCTTGGACCCTGGAGTCACAGTGCTTCATTTCAATTTTGGCTTACCTGCTGGTTTTTGTTTTCTCATTAGCAAACTGTGGGGTAGTAATGACAATACTTCCCACATAGATTGTGAGGATAAGTTGTCCAGGTAAATCACTCAGCACAGAACCTGATACATGAGAAGAGTTCTTTAAACATTATCAATTAATACTTTTATTATCATCTTTACTTTCTTCTGAAACTAGTCTATTGATTCAAGACCATGGCATGTGACTCACTGTTCAAGCACATGGATTTTCTCCTGGCTATTCATTCATTTTTACAGTATATTGACTATCCCTGCCACCATAATATAAACAATATAGCTGAAGAGCTCTCCTTGGTGTTTTTCTCTCTGCCTTTTCTATCTGTATGTAGAATGTTACAGTAACATCGTAGGCATGGATAATTAACATTTACCAATGGCCAAAGGCATTAGAAAATGCAGACAAAAATCTTGGCTACTCATTTCTTGGGCATAAACAATTTGGTTCTTTCGGATGTCAACAATTTTGCATAAAATGTTAATTTTCAAGAAAAGAGAATCTATATTGTATACTTCACTTAGGTTTATAAGAAAGAAAATCTCACTTTTAATCCCTTTTTGATGTGTAAACATACTGCAAACCCAAAGAAAAAG
This sequence comes from Homo sapiens, assembly GCF_000001405.40. Classification (NCBI taxonomy): domain Eukaryota; kingdom Metazoa; phylum Chordata; class Mammalia; order Primates; family Hominidae; genus Homo; species Homo sapiens. Next base: position 107,334,149 of record NC_000002.12, read on the forward strand.
AAAAGTGAGATTCAGCAGTATTTACATTCCTTCTCTTAAGGTAATTGATTCCAAATCCTTATTCATAGGTGTCTTCAGTTTTCACTTGATAAATCTGTCTTTCCAGTTTTGTCTTTCTTTTTTTTTAAGCATCGTGAATAGTTTGATGCATTTTCCTAAACCTTTCCATTTGGCAAATCCCTACATACTCTTTAAGATCCATGTCCAAAATGACTTTGAAGTAACATTTCAATTAATTGTTTTTCCTTTGTGTCTTCTTAATATTTCAGGCACACATTGGCTTTAGTTTTTATCATACCGTCTGTACTGTAATTTTTCTATGTCTTGCTCATTAAACTGTGACTAATCCTTGAAAGCTGGACTCATTTCTTGGGAATCTCTTTATGCTCAGTGTCTAGTATATTGCAGGGACTTAAATAGTTCTTGGTGAGGATAGAGAGGAAGAAAGATGAGAGAGAAATCTTATTATCATGAGTTGCTTCGGATCAGTAAGATACACTGTGCACAACCACCACAGGTTGTATGAAATAACTAAATACATACTTAATCATTCCTTAATTCCTACAGGATTCTTTAATATAAATGAAATAAAGAAAGATGGACAGAAACCTAAAATAGAGAATTTTGAATAGAAGGAAAATGAAGACCATCTGTTGTATAATTTTGCCAGGGTAAGATGACTTTCAAAGAGATGCTGGAATAGGTGAGAAGTGACAATTGATTAAAGACTACATAGTTTTAGATGAGAACACTTAAAATCATTATGGTTATGCCCATACCTGAAAGTGGCACAAACAACCAATATTAAGTAGTTGACAGCATTGGGATGAATACTTACTAAATAAGAAATCAAAACTTATAATTCATACTTCTTTGGTTTATCGTCAAAGAAGTTAACAATGGGAATAAAGATTGATTGAAAATCTAAGCCCTTTTAGCATCTTATTCAAAATAATAAGAAAATGGGTTGATTTAAAGACATGAGAAAGTCAACTGTCATTTCATAATCTTCTCTGCATATTTATCAAGAGAAAAATAGATTAATTCTTAATTTAAGCCATACAATGAAATTAATCAAATTTCAAGCTTCGTGTCATTTTTACCCTTTTACTCTCAGTGATGGTTAAAATTTAAAATGAGCTCTGTTAAGTAAAATGAACAAAATTTAAATATTGCAGTTTTCCCATTATACTTGTTTTGACTGCCTGGATAAACAAACAGCATGGGTTGATATTTGCATATCTGCATAGCATTAATAATTATGAAGATGGAATAGAACAGCAAATGGTTCAGCAGGCAGATAAATCCTAAGTCAATAGATGCTAACGTAGATTTTTGTGCTGAGCTCTTATTTAAAAATCTTGCTACAACTGCAAGTTAATAATATGCAATATAGTCAAACAGCACTGTAAGAAAAACTAAAACATAAAACTTTGGTATTAGAGGTATTATGATTTAAATTTATGTTTAAGTAAATGGATGATTTTTTTATATTCTGAAAGACTTTGACAGTATTGAGTTATATAGTGAATACTGAAGTACATGTAAAATATGGTTTGATTTAACATAAAAAAATCACATATGACTTTTTAGGAACACATTTATTACACCAAAGCTGTACATCTGCATTTAAGATTTGATGCATCAAGATGCAATTATTAAAATTACTACTGACTAGTGTTGTGACTCTTGATGTGAGAGCAAAATAATTACACAGTCCCTTTGTTTAAGGACTTTAAAAGTGTGGCGTGGTAGTTGAGGTATGTATAACAATCAGAGAAATTTATGAATATAAATACAGTCACTCAACTGCAGCAACTCACAGAGTGCTCTGCCTCTCTTTTATCCAGGGAAATTTATTTACTTATTTATTTTTGCTCATCAACAACTACACATTCCCTCTCAGTCTGAAACATAAGAGTTATGGGTGTGGGGTTGGCTTGGAGCTCAGGTTGGAAGGCAGGAACGCCTGTCGGCTCCCACTGTGCCACACGCAGTGCTGCATGGTTCATTCCGTTTAATCCACAGGTAGGGACAGCATTATCCCCATTTAAACAGCGCAAGTATGAAAGTCAGAAAAAAGGTAACTTAACTGAGTAATTAGTGGCAAAGACAAGATTGGAATCCTAGTCTGTTACAGAGCTTACCAAGCCCCACACCTTCCCATGGTCTAAAAATTGTCATCGTCATCACCATCAACCTAACCTTTCTTCAGGGCATGCCGGGCTCCAGGCAGTGAGCCAGGGGCATATCTCACGTATTTCATAGCTTGCTGGGGGAGGTCTCTCCATCTCCATTTTACATGCCGTGGTGGAATCTCAGAAACTTAAGTAACTTTTAAAAAATCATACACATCTGCAACTGTGTGGGGTTTTTACCACTAGGTTTTGCCTGCCCTGGTCTGTTTAGCTCTAAATCCTGTGTTCTCAGCTAGTAAATGACACTTTTTGATATTAAATGGCTGTCCTCTGCTCCTCTCTCATTTGCTTTCTGTTTCTCTTCTGCTGACAAATTTGGAATAAACTAAATACATAAACATTGCTCAGCTGCCAACTAGAACCATTTTTCATGCTTCCCTCAGGAATTCTGGAATTTCACAGAGGAACACTGGGGGTTAACTTGCATAATGACACTTGATCTATGTAAAATACAGAGAGAGCCAGGCCTTGATAGGTTCTTCACTTCTAAGTTCCAAGAAAGGGAAACTTTCAGCCCTTTCCTTGCGGCTTTGTCTTCTCGATTCTGGGAAAATTGTGGTTAAACCTGAGTTAACAAGGCCATTGGAGGTAAAGAATTCAAGGGCCTGGGAGAATTCAAGGGCCTGAGTGGAGTTTCCTTGTGATCACAGACATCACTGTGTTAATGGCAGTACTTGGGGTGCAGAGAAAGAGTGTAATGTTGGACTGAGTCTTCAGAGAATGGGACATCATAAAAGGCCCATATGAAAAAAGATGCAGGGGAATATAGAATTGCATCGTGTCTCAAAGAAGGGCTCCTCATCCCCAAGATGAGGCCCACAAGTATTTCTTCATGTAATCAATATGTATTATATATGAACACTTGTTACATAAAGAAATCTCATGCTAAGCATTGTCCTAGAAAAATACCATAAGGTCAGAAGGACGAAGAGCACGCTCCACTTGAGAGGCTAGAATGGATGTGGTATCCTCTAGAGAGGCAGGCACCTGTGAGGTCAGAAGGAAAAAAGGCACATTTAGTGAGAAGTTTGAGGTTGTGGGAGAGTGTGTTAATCATCAAACAGGTCTTTTGAAAGGAGAGTTTTGAAAGGGGAGTAACTGCGGGAGATCAGTTATCAGAGGATAATATGACAGTGGGGCTTCCATCTTGGGGCAAAGAACAAGGAAAATAGAAATGTGTGACATGAGGCATTTATCTGAATATAGTTACACAACCAACAATCACCAGTCCGTAAGTGGAAGGGATGTTCTCAGTCTTCTCTGGAGTTGGGTGTGGCCAAAAAGTGCTAACTTTGGAGAGGATTCAGGCCTATGAATCAGGAACTTCTTACTTTTCTGGAATGAGTCAGCTGTGGTTTTGTTTTTTGTCTATTCCCACTATGTTCATGTAACTCAGAGCTACTAAGTTTAGAATCCTAGGGAGTTTGGATGGGAATGGAAACGAAACAACTTTCAATTACATCCCAGACCAATGATTCTCCCCAGGCCCATGATTCTCCCTACGATGTCTGGAGAGGCTGGTAAAGAAGAGCTGATGTCATGTCCACAGAGCCTTACATCTCTGTGGGAAAGGGGGAGGTGGATTTTAAAATATTCTGATAATTTTATTTTCTAAACTTTATATATTTAATCTGAAAAGTTTAGTTTAAAAAAACTTGTTTGTACTTAAAAAATCCCCAAACACTTATATTCTAAAGTGGTTTGGTAAGGCTATTTTTCATAGATAGAAAGGAATGTTGAAAAAGTTCTGAAGTTCTTAAAATATTGATACACTGTCTTGTAGGCACTTCTAAAGGTCAAACAGAGAAAGACTTCTTTATGTGGTAGAGAACATTGTTAGTCTCAATAAATGTTCCTTCTTTCAGCCAGACAAAATAGCTTGTAATCTAACTATGCCTCAACTCTCAGAGGATATCTTTTGTTTTCTTTCAGCTAGCAAAAGTGGTGATACAGCCTCCCGGAGTTTCCAGGGAGCTTTGTGTAAGTGCCTTATGCAAGTATGTTTTCCAGGCAGGAATGACGGGTGTGAGGAAGGACCCCACCAGTTCTAGTTGCCAAAAGCAAAGAAAGGAAAATGAGTTTAACTTTACCGATCTTATTTGTTCTGCCAAATATTTAAAGAAAATCCAAAGAAAAAATGATTCCTTAATTGTCCTAATTTACAGAGATGGAATTCATCATGCACTCTTTTTTTTTTTTTTTTAACCAAGATGTGGTTGAACTCAGCGTGAGAGTGCTGAAATCATGTTATCTATTTGAGGTATCCAATGGAGGGAGCAAAGCTATTTGCTTTTTGAAGAAAGTGCTTATATAAACATTAGATACTGACTACCTATTTGGCAGCACGGGGTCTGTAAGTTCTGTTCTTCAATCTCCCAAGATCCTTTTGTCACTGAGGTCACTTTCCTGACTCACAGACCTCCTGGCAACTTCCAGACCCCTGTGGAAGTACACTGAGCTTTCACCGGAAGTGATCGAACCTGTAGACACATATTAACACGTACCACCCTTTGCTACTTGCAGCATAAAATGTCTAAGAATAGTATACATTGGTAAAATGAACATATTCTATAATTCAAAATGTTGAAATGTATGCCTCTCGTACTACAAGGATGGGCAGTCTCTATCAGTGATCTAGTCAGAGTTTATTGTATTACAAGAAAGACCAAATTGAGTAACTTTAAAGCAAGAGGAAGAGAACAAGAGTAGCTGCTAATATTTGCCACGCACCTACTTCGTGACAGCAATGCTTACACTCACTTGATCCTCACAGCAACCCCATGAGGTAGGTACATTTTACAAATGAAGCAGTAGAAGCACGACCAGATTAATCTCTTGAGTGAGGCAACACAGCTAATAAGTGGCAGAGCCAGCACTGGAATTCAGTTGGTCCAAAGGTCTTGGAAATCTCGCAGGAGTTAAAAGATGTGTATGAAATGCAACTAAGATTCCTCATAATCAGAAGAAACAAAGGCTATCATTTTCTTATTTCTACATAGATTTTACTGCTTACCCTTTTGCCATGACATAAAATGCTTGTCCCAACTCCATGGTCACATAACTTTTTACAATCCTGTACTGGGTTGAACAGTGTCCCCCCAAAGTTCGTGTCCAACTGGACTTGTGAATGTGACATTATCTAAAAATAGGGTCTTTTCAAATGTACTGAAGTTAAAATGGGATCATACTGGATGAGGGTGAGTCCCAACCTGGGTGGGTCCCAACCCAATGCCTGATGTCCTGTAAGAAGAAGGAAATTTGGACACGAACACACAGAGAGGGAAGATAGCCACATGGTGATGAAAACAGAGATTTGAGTTATGCTGCTGCAGACCAGGGAGTACAAAGGATTACTGGCAACCATTAGAAGCTAGATAAGTCAATAAAGGATTTTTCCCAAGGGCATTTGGAGGAAACATGGCCCGGCTGACACCTTGATTTTAAATTTCTAGCCTCCAGAACTGCAAGAACATACATTTCTGTGTTTTTTAAGCCACCTAGTTTTAGGGCCTTAATTTCAGGAACCCTAGGAAACCAGTACAATGCTAAAATTCAGGATACAGTTTAGGAAGCAGAGATTATTGTGGTAGGCTAATAATGGCTCCCAAAAATATGCTTATGCATGTCCTGATCCCTGGAACATGTGAATATTGTCTTATTTGGAGAATTTTTGCAGATGTAATTAAATACAAAATCTCTGGGTTAAGAGATGATTCTGAATTATAGGAGCAGGCCTTAATTGCTATCATAAGTGTCCTTATACATGAGAGGCAGAGAGGAACTTGGCATACACACAGAGGAGAAAGTGATGTGAAAACAATGGCAGAGATTTGAAGGATGTGGCCACAAGCTAAGGAACGCTGGAAATTGCAGAAGCTGGAAGAGGAAAGGAATTGATTCTCTTCTAGGGCCCATAGAGAAAGAACAGACTTTCAAACAACTAAATTAACACACTACAGCCAGTGTTTCAAGCAGAAAGATATTCAATACAGAATATAGGCACTCACAAAATCATTGGGGGAGCTTTAGCTGCAGATGTGAGAGGACTGCCACTCAGTCATCCAGAAGTCTAGACACTGCAGGAGATTATGCCTGAAGTACCATGGTCCCTTAATTCTGGAACTGGTGATTAGATGGGGAAACATGAGGTCTGATGGCTGCAGTGTTAGCTGTCACCATTACAAAGGGGGTGAGGCAATTAGAAGGGACTTATAGGGAAAAGGGAGATGCAAGGAGGAGAAAAACTGATGGAGAATGCAATGAGCAATATCTAACACCACACAAGGGATGCTGTTCTAAATATTCCACAACCGGTAGCTATGGGCAATGCAAGTCAGAATGCACACTAGTCCTAAGCAAATGGTATGCACATAATGACCCATACCAGCTAAATATGAGTTCTCACAACAACCTGTTTTAATGAAGTGAGAAAGAGATTGTGATTTCCATAGTTCTGAGCAAGGCCATATAACTTTTGGAGGAGCTTACTGGTGGGCCTACTCCTGGTTAGGTGTTGGCCAGTTCCACACTAGTTGGAGCAGGCGGTAAATAGTTAGCCAGATTCATATTTGTGGGACATTCCCCTAAAAGAAGGTAAATGTGGTGCAGCTTTCTCAACTATGTACCATCTTTCATCAGTTTGAAGATGTCATCCATTTTAAGACATATCATTACTTTATGCACCGCTGGGAAAGAAGAAAATAAATGATGCCAATTTAACTATGACATGACATGTATTGTAATATGCATTCCATACTGAGAAATGTTAAAATGTGGAAAGGTGCTGGTCATAGAAGCAGTGAACTGTGGTAACTCAAAGGCAGTGTGAAATGACCCGTCATGTGACTCATTGTTTGTGGGCACATTCTTAATAGAACTCTTGACAATGGAAAAATCAAATACAACATAAAACCAAATTATTCCACTTTTATTTTTTGTCTTATTCTTTATGATTATAAATGTAATAGCTTATTGTAGAAAATGCAGTGTTCAAAGAAGCAATCAAAACCATGCATGGAGCACACAGACACCATGGAAACTCATTTTAATGAAAGCAAGAGCTAGAGACATGCATATAATTCTCATAAAAATAACTTCCTCTCTACCACCTTAAAGAGAAATTTTAAAAAATATTAAAGACTTGCTACTTTTGGTTTTGTTTAATAAGTTCCTCTTGATTCCTCTGGTACTGTGTAACGTAGGCCATCCTTCAAGCTATTTGCATTTTAGTGAACAGCTACATTTATAAAACATTTATATTATACATGAATGAATGGGATTTGACTGCACTGTCCTTTCTGAAAACTTTTGCTAACTTGGCATAGGCCATTTTTACTAGGATTATTTCTACATATTACCTGATTTACCTTATCTCTGCCTAGCCATGCTAGAGTTTTTAAAAATAATCTATTAGTGAAATAATGTGTAAAAATTCTGATTCAATGTCTATTGCATAGTACATCCTCAGAAAATGCTAGTTACTGTTCACATTATTAACAAAAGTGTAGGAATTAATTTAGTGGTACTTCTGCAAATGAGTGATACTGAAATAAATAAAACAGGCCTGACTTGACTTGCCATCATTTATTAACTGTGGAAACTTTTACAAGCAACTGCAACTTTATAAGCTTCGGCTTTCTTATACATAAAGACAGTGTAATAATTTCTTATAAATCTCAAGGAGTTATATTAATTGAATGGAATATATGAAAATGCCTAGAACAATACTTAGCACAGCTGGCACTCAAATATTGGGTTCCATTTTTTCCTTAATTGTTCATTTTCTTCTCTTTGTTAGAGGTGCATACTAAGTTTTATAGAAAATGGGATAACTTGATTCTAAGCACCATAAGAGTTGAGACTTGATCATTACTATGGATATAATAAAGAGTATAATGGCCAGGACAAAATAGAGTAAATGAACAAATGAACAAATGAATGAATGACTCACATGCTTATTGCTTTTACTTCAAGACTGCATCATAAAAATGAAAGATGAACACAGTCATAGTATGTGCCTCAATATATTAGTTACATATTGCTTCATGATAAATTACCCCAAATGGCTTTAAACAACAAACATTTATTATTGCATAGTTTCTATGAGTCAGTAATTTAGATGTGGTGTAGCTGGATGTCACTGGTTCATTATTTTTCCTGAAGTTGCAGTCAAGCTGTTGGCCTGGCTGTGGTCTCATCTGAAGGCTCTAATGTGTCAGAGGGGAGTCCACTTCTGAGCTCACACAGGTGGCTGTTGGCAGCCCTCAGTCTCTTGCTGTGAGAAATTGTAAGACTGCCTGATGACATGGCAGCTCGCTTTCACCAGGCAAATGATCCAACAGAGGGCAAGAACAAACTGAGTGGCTTAAAAACCACAGAAATGTATTCTTTTGCTATTCTGGAGGGTAGAAGTCTAAAATGAAGATATTATCAGACCATGTTCTCTCTGAAGCCACTAGAAAAGAATTCTTCCTTTCTTCTTCTAGCTTCTGTTTGATGCTGGGAATTTTTGCCATTCTTTGGCTTACAGCGACATTACTTCAATCTCAGCCTCCATCTTTGCATGGCATTTCTCTATGTTCACATTTTCTTCTACTTATAAGAACACTGATCATTGGATTGAGCCTCTCTAATTCAGTATGACCTTATCATAACTTGATTTCATCTATAAAAGCCTATTTCCAAATAAAGACAGATTCACAATTTCTAAGGCTTTGGACTTCAATATATTTTTAGAGAGTCACAATTTAACCCATAATAGGGAATAAGAAGGACTATTTGGCACATGAAAACTTCCTCAGTCCTTTCTCAAATTTCCTACAGGTGTTCACTTTTGGCAAGAACTTCTCTAGCAATCACTGCTATCCTTTTTCTTTTACAAGTCTACCTCTTGTGAAGGAGACCAAGGGGGAAAGTAGAGGTGGCATAAGCCAACCACGCAATGGGCTTCCACTGGAAGCAGAGATCTTGGCGCAGGGATGTTTTCCTTAGTTTTTCAGTCATAATTAATAGGAAACAGGCCCCTAGATTCTTCCTACTTCATTTGGATCTGTAGACACCAACCAACCAATTGCTGACATACTTTATCTCAATTCTTCCTTGATTATAAAACAATATAGATATTCATAGATCTCCATATTAAGAGAAAGAGAACAGAAAAAAATGTTATACCCATGAGAACGTACAGCTATTCAAAAGGAGAAAATACTCTGAACACTGAGAGTAAATCTCCCTGAAATAGATTTACTCTAAAAAAAAGAGAAAAATTTTAGAAATTGCTAATAAGTCTTCCTACCAAGAAAATGGAACTGAAATTCAACTGAAAAAATTGAAAAAAAATTCCCCTCATTTTAAAGAGGAAAAAAGTCTGAGACCAGAGAACCTCAGGTGCAACAAAAAAACATGAATTCTACATTAAAAACATTGTAAAATTACTTCTTCCAAGAAAAATTTTGAGAATTTAAATTGTTTAAAGGAGTTTAAGAGAAAATAAAGAGAGAAAACAATGGAAAAGATGAGACACAAAGACAGACCATGGAAATACAGTTTAATATTTTGTGGAATTGTCAAATTAATAGGTGGAACCTTTTTTCTGTAATGTGCAAAGCACAAGGGCTTGCAAAGTACCAATTAAGATGAATAAAAAGGTAACAATTTGCAACCTGAGAATTTTTAAATTTTAAGGCAAAAAGAAAGAAAAAAATCCCTGTGGTTATCCAACTATGATTCAACAAGCTGGCCTAAATCTATATTCTTTGGTACTAAGTATTGTCCACATTATTCTACATTGATCTACCTAGTCCAATGCAGAATTTTCAACTTGCTATTCATGTAAAAATAAAATAGAAAAATAGTCTTTACCATTGGGGGATACATAAAGTATGCCATCAATGAATACTTCTGGGAAAAAATGTATAGTTCAGCCAACTAAAGTAATAAATCAACGGAACCAAGACTGGGAAAAGGTAGTAGATAAAAATAACAGAAACAAAAGAAACCAGTAAAGAGTAAATGATAAATATTTGTTGTTACAAAATTGTACAGATACATGTACCTCTGAATCTAAAATAGAAGTTGAAATTTTAAGAAAGAAAATTGTGAAGACGTATATATTTTTGAATGAGAATATAATACTTTGATATCTGTAATAATGCCATTTATTAAGCATTTATAATAGATAAAAAGTTTTAAGTGCACAATATCATATAACAATTTGTCTGAAAATCCAAAATGATAGTAATAAAACAATAGAATTGTCCGGAGAGGTAGAGGAATGGGAGAATATATCATGCTACATTTATTTTTACAGATATGGCGAAGACAATGGACACTGTTTCATTCCTTGCTATTGCCAATTAGGAAAAAATAGATACAATTTCATGCATACATATATATATATCTATATACACACACATAAATATACACACATATGTGTGTGTGTATATATATTCTATATAAGTATATAAAGATATATAAATAGATCATATAGATCTATCTATAGATATAGATATGTCTATATTTCTATATCTCTGTCCATATATAGCATGTATATACATGCACACATATATGTATATATATAGATCTATATATCTATCTCTTACACTGTATGTGTGTATGTGTGACATATATATGTGTCATATATGTATATCACACATAGACCTATATATGTATTATATATAGATCTATATCTCTCTATATCTCTCACTCTCTATGTGTGCGTATAAATATATAGAAAGAGTGTGTATATATGATATGTGTATATATACGTGTGTATATATATGTGTGATTATATGTACACACTCATATATATACACACATAGAGAGTGAGAGATAGATATAGATATAGATCTATGTATACACATGTATGTGTGTGTTGTATATATTCATGAACTCATATCTATTTTTCCCTAACTGGCAATAGCAAGAAATGAAGCAATATCTATTGTCTTTGCCATATGTGTAAAAATAAATAAAATATCTGTATATAAAGTATCTACATATATCAAATAAATAAATACCTATATATCTCTATGTATCTATCTATAAATATATATATTTAGAGAGTGAGTGTGAGAAACAAATACAAACAACTAGATGCATACATTGCAACTCCCTATGTTAGAAAAAATGAGCCAAAAATAAACAGTTCTGAAGAGACAAAAACTAAACAAGAGCCATTTTCTTGGGGACCACCCTCTACATAGACATCTATCCATTTTCAGGACTGCCCTCAGACCCACCAGCCCGGAAGCAGCCACACCTGTGGTAATCTTTGCGTATTATAAATTACATCAACAGAGTATTAAGGAAACAGTGTTCCTTCCTTTTCCCTCAAAGGTGTCTGGTGACTGCTAAGATTTTTCATTCTCAGATTTCTCTGTTACTTATACCTCTGGTCCAGGTCAGGGCCCCCAGTAGTAATAGAATAATTTTCATTAAGTCAGATTAATCTTGAGCATGGCTGGAAATATGACCTCTGACTATGTAACCTGCCTTAATGGAAAGAAAATACTGAGCTGTATTAAGCAATTAAAAAAATCCATTCCTAAATCCCCAACAGCGCAAATCAAGGAGTCAAGCAAATGGAATCCAATGCCTGCAAACCAGTCAGCATACATGATATAGAATTTTCAGTAGTGAACCAATCTATTTCTGGACAGAACTACACTTAAACCATCACTAAATAACTGAGAAATCTAACCTGTGTTGGAGATTTCATAACACTCCAGTGTATAGAAACTTTCATGTTAAAGATTCCAGCGTTTTTATACTTTATCTTAAAATGTAGTAAAATGTCAGGGAAGGTGAATAATGGCTAGCTATTATCTTTGGAGTCAAACAATATCTCTAAATGAAATTTGTTTAGTATTTTTATCCTTCAATCGTGGGTGGAGTAGAACCTACAGCTATACTTGTTTTGCTTAAGATTTACAACCAGAAATATATTATTTAAGACAAGTAGAAAATGTTTTGGAGAATTAATCTTCCATGATGATATTATGTCCTTTTTTTCACTGCTGGTCTATTATATTCTGTCTTCATCAACCTCTGAACATAATTCTAGATGACTGATTGAATAGTAGAGACAAGGTGGAGAGATGAGTCCATGGAAATGCAGGAAAGCGTGTGGGACTGGCAACCTGACCCAAGATGTCCATACTTTTTCTCTGGACTCAGAAGATATCTACTGTTTCTTCTCTTGCAATGAACTGAGAGCTGGAATGCCTTTCAGACCTGAAATAGGAACTTAGAAGGAGCCCCCACAAGAAAAGAGCTTTGCAATAAGAAGAGATGGGTATTGAAACCATTTGTGAAAGTTGGTTAAAGCAGCCACATAGGCTGTCGTAAAATAAAACCCAAGTAGCAATTTACAAATGATAGGGAACAGCTAAAATCCACCTACAGAAAAGATGCACAGGAGAAAGCCAACCAAGGTAAAAAAAAAGTGAGGACTTCAGGGGGAAGAGCCATTTAGACTTCCAGAAATAACTGCAAAATCATTTTAGGAAATTCTAAAGACAAAGGAGTTTTATTTGAGGATCAGGAAGGCATTCACTTAATTACCCAAGAAGGTACCCACTGTTATTTAATCCCTTTTGATTTTCCAGCACTTGGTATGGTGTCTGACATACAACAGTCACTCAATTCCATTTAGAAATGAATGCAAGCATAAGGTGTCTGCAGTGTGGAGGGTGGTGCTGCCAAGAGAGGATTATGTGGAGATCCCTTCTCAGTAATAAGCCAGTAAGTATCTCACTCCTTCCTAAAATTGCCAACTAGAACAAAAGCAGAGAGAGTTAGTCAAGTTTATCTCATGTATCTTAGAAATTCTCCATTCCATAGAAAGGTACCTAAAAAGGGAACCTTAAGAATGCAGGTCTAACTATCCTAATGCTGGAGTGGGGCTTTTCTGTACTGCGTAAGGTTTTCCTGCAGTTATTTCAGTTTTATACTTTTAGTTTTGCTTGCCCAAGAATGCTACCTTGCTTTAAAATTGAAGAAACTCCTCTAAAACATAAAATAACTTATGTTTGTTCCAGAAACACCTGACTGGGGGAAACCTGAAGAATCTTTTATTCTTTTTCTTCTTTCCTTTTTTTTTTTTTTTTTCTTTTTTTGAATGGAGTCTCGCTCTGTTTCCAGGCTGGAGTGCAGTGGCATCATCTCGGCTCACTGCAATCTCCGCTTCCTGAGTTCAGGTGATTCTCCTGCCTCAGCCTCCCGAGTAGCTGGGACGACAGGCACGTGCCACCACACCCAACCAATTTTTATATTTTTAGTAGAGACGGGGTTTCACCATGTTGGCCAAGATGGTCTCCATCTCTTGACCTCCTGATCCTCCCGCCACAGCCTCCCAAAGTGCTGGGATTACAGGCGTGAGACACCGCGCCCAGCCAAGAATCTCTTATTCTAATCTACAGGCACCAGCCTGGAGTTCAGAGGAACCAGGTGGGAGCAGCTGATAGAAATTGAAAAAGAGAAGCAAGTAGGTCAAAACCTGAGGATCTGGAGGGAAAAGCAGTGAACTAGCACATGGCCTGAAACAACAGAAAAACTGAAGTTTTACTGCAGGAGGCCTGATTTTTTCAGCAAACATGCACATGTGTTTTCACCTCCTCTCTTGTAAAAATGTTAGCAACAGTAAATTAGGGGAGAGTAACTTATCTGATGTCTGCGTTTGTGAGGATAATAATTATTATAATTACACACAAGTTAATTCTGATCCAGAAACACCTTTAGTAATGTATGCACTGAAAGCTCTCATGCTTTGCTTTCTTATTACATAACAACAATATTCACAGGACTATTTATGAGAAGGAAGGGACATTCAACAACAACAAGAATAACCCAAATGCTCTAATTAAAAAATAGGCAAAGGACCTAAGTAGATAGTTCCCTGAGGGAAAATACAAATGTCTGTATCAGGCCATTTTTTCACTGCTATAAAAAACACATGATCCTGGGTAATTTATAAATAAAAGATTAATTGGCTCATAGTTCTGCAGGCTTTCCAGGAAGCATGTTGCTGGCATCTGCTTGGCTTCTGGGACCACCTCAGGGAGCTTTTACTCATGGCGGAAGTCAAAGGAAGAGCAGGTGTCTCACATGGAAAGAACAAGCAAGAGAGAAAAATGGGGAGCCCGGTGCAGTGGCTCACGCCTGTAATTCCAGCACTTTGGGAGGCCTAGGTGAGTGAATTACCTGAGGTCAGGAGTTCAAGCGCAGCCTGGTCAACGTGGTGAAACCCCATCTCTACCAAAAATACAAAAATTAGGGGGTGTGGTGAGGGCACCTGTAGTCCCAGCTACTCGGGAGGCTGAGGCAGGAGAATGGCATGAACCTGGGTGGCGGAGGTTGCAGTGAGCCGAGATCATGCCACTGCCCTCCAATATGAGCGACAGAGCAAGACTCCATTTCAAGAAAAAAAAAAAAAAAACCAGATTCTTGGGCCCCACCTCCAAATTCCTGGGCATGTTGTATTTTAGAACCATTGCCGTCATCTGCAAGGCTTCTGCTCTAAGAGGAGAGTGCCCACCTTCAGGAACAACCACCTTGAACTGTGAACTTTATTCTGTTGATTTTGACTCCACAGTGAAGGGAGAGTTGACTAGTTACACAGACAGCAAAGCGGGAGCTGCAATGTGTATGGAGTCTCTTAATTAGATGTTTGTTCGGTGTGAAACATTTATTAATGCAGGCTCAGTGTAGCAATTCTTTCCTTTCCTTTTATTTTCAGTTGCTTTTTCTATTCACATGATGACTAAGGTATTGGAAGATCCAAAAATCTTACATAGCACCATTTGAGCTATAATAATTAGCTTTTCTTTGGTATCCTAGAGATGTTCTCATCCTAGAGTCTATGGATAAGATGTGATTTCATTGGAAATGCCTACAACCCAACTAGCCGCTCAACTTGGTTTATGCTTCTTCTAAATGGGATGGTCAGCTGAATTGTCCTCTACCTCTTGTGTATTTACACCATTACTGCTTTTTCTGAAACTTAACAAAACTTTTCCCTGCTTACCTAAATTATACTCATAACTATTCTACCTATAACAAGCATTGTTCTCTTGTAAATTTACTGGGCTATCTACAGACTATACTATTTTATTGGCATTTAATCATATTTTCAATCATTGCATCCGATTGCTTGTAATAGCAAAAACCGCAATTACTTTTGCACCAACGTAATACACAGTTGCCCATACTACAAAGAACAAAATCTTGTAACATGAGAGCTGGTCTATAAAATCTAAGCTTTGTCTTCTCTGGGTTTATGGAATCAGTCAAACAGAAAACTCTCCTGCTTGGGGAAAGCATGATGAAGAGGTGATGGTCTTAAATGAAGGAGACGAGGGACAACTGAGTAAACAGTAAGGAAGGGTCTAAATGAAATAAAACATCTTAACACTGAGAACGAGCCAGTAGCCATAAAGCTATTATGAAGACAGGCAGGTAGGCAAAATTATAAGGGATCCACATTTAGGTTGAAGTTCTTGGGAGAGGTAATGTGATGTGTTTTGTTTTTGTTTTTGTTTCTGTTTTTTTGTTTTGTTTTGTTTTGTTTTGTTTTTTCTCAGCTTAACAGTCAAGGTTTAGGTCAAATCTCAAGAGGGTGAATCATGGCCACTATGTTCAAAGTTGGGAACAAGTCTGCAAAACCTTGATCCTCAGATGGTCAGAGTAGACTCAGGAGGCAAGGAGGCAGGGCAAGTCAGCCCCTATTGAGCGCCCTGTGGACTGGACGAAAGGCTGGATCTGATGGAATCAGTGCCATCCCCTGAAGTGGTGATAAAAATGTGAAAGTACTGTGCAGGAAGGAACTGAACCCAGCTCTGTAAGTCCAGATGAATGCTGCCCTGAGGGTGGGCTGTCTGGAGATTTGGGTGAAAGGTTGGTCAAGAAACCTGGGAGACAGGGGGCACCCTTAGATAAAATGTGTTAAGTAGAAACCTTTATTAGGAATAAAGCGAGGAAAGAGGAAGGCAGTTAAATGCAGCCCTTATATAGCACATGCAAGAACTGTGTGGACCTGCCATGCAATGGTGCCAGTGCCACTAAAGAACAAAATGAGGGACAATATGAACCCCAGAACATAATGGGTAGAAATCAGTTACTTTTCCTCTTGGTTTTTGATTTCCCAGGTGGGTGTGCAGTCTTATTTCTGGGTTCTCTATTCTGTCCCATTGGTCTATGTGTCTGTTCTTGTACCAGTACCATGCTGTTTTGATTACCTTAGTCCTATAGTATAGTTTGGTAGTGTGATGACTGCAGCTTTGTTCCTTTGCTTAGTATTGCCTTAGTCCTATAGTATAGTCAGGTAGTGTGATGCCTCCAGCTTTGTTCCTTTGCTTAGGATTGCCTTGGCTATTTGAGCTCCATTTTCATTCCACATGAATTTTATAACAGTTTTTTCTAGTTCTGTGAAGTACGTCAGTGGTAGTTAATGCAAATATCATTGAATCTATAAATTGTTTCGGGCAGTATGGCCGTATGTTCATTTTAATGATATTGATTCTTCCTATCCATGAGCATGAAATATTTTCCATTTGTTTGTGTCATCTCTGATTTATCTGAGCAGTGGTTTGTAGTTCTTCTTGTAGAGATCTTTCACTTTCATTGTTAATTGTATTTGTAGGTATCTTATTCTTTTTGTGGGAATTGTGAATGGCAGTTTGTTTGTGAGTTGACTCTTGGCTTGACAGTTTTGGTGTGTAGAAATGCTAGTGATTTTTGCACATTGATTTTGTATCCTGAGACTTTGTTGAAGTTGCTTATCAGTTTAAGAAGTTTTTGGGCTGAGACGATGAGGTTTTCTAGATATAATATCATGTCATCTGCAAACAGGGATTGTTTGACTTCTTCTCTTCCTGATTGAATGCCCTTTATTTCTTTCTCTTGCCTGATTGCTCTAGCCAGAACTTCCAGTACTATGTTGAATACAGATGGTGAGAGAGGGCATCCTGGTGTCAGTTTTCAAGAGGAATGCTTCCAGCTTTGACCCATTCAGTATGATGAGTTTGGCCCATTGAGCTGTGGGTTTGACATAGATTGTTCTTACTATTTTGAGGTATGTTTCTTCAAAATCTAGCTTATCGAGAGTTTTTAACATGAAGAGATGTCAAATTTTATTGAATGCCTTTTCTGCATCTATTGTGATAATCATGTGGTTTTGTCTTTGTTCTGTTTATATAATGAATCACATTTATTGATTTCTGTATTTTGAACCAACCTTGCGTCCTGGGGAAGAAGCCTACTTGATCATGGTGAATAAGCCTTTTGATGTGCTGCTGGATTTGATTTGCCAGTATTTTGTCGAGGATTTTCACATTGATGTTCATCAAGGATATTGACCTAAAGTTTTCTGTTAAAAAAAAAAATCTCTGCCAGGTTTTGATATCAAGATAATGATGGCCTCTTAGAATGAGTTAAGGAGAAGATTTAACTATCCTAAATACTCCCCCAACATTAGAACACCCAGATTTATAAAACAAATACTAGATCTAAGAAAACAGATAGCCAAACAATAATAGTGGGGGACTTCAACACCCTACTGACAGGACTAGACAGATCATCCAGGCAGAAAATTAATAAACTCTGAACTTAAATTGGAATCTCAAAGAAATGGTCTGAATAGACGTTACAGAATATTCCACAAAACAACCACAAAATATACATTCTTCTTATTTGCACATGGAATGTTCTCTAAAATTGACCACATGCTTGTCATAAAGTAAGTCTCAATAAATTAAAAAAAACTAAAACCATATGAAACACCTTCTTAGACTATAGTGGAAAAAATTAAAAATCAATAACAAGAGGAACTCTAAAAACCACACAAGTATATGGAAATTGAACAACTTCCCCAGGAATGACTTTTGGGTAAACAATGAAATTAAGGCCAAGACCAAAAAAATTCATTGAAACAAATGAAATAGAGACACAACATAAACCTCTGAGATACAGCAAAAGCGCTGTTAAGAAGAAAGTTTATAGTGCTTAATGCCTACATCAAAAATTTAGAAAGTTCCCAAATTAACAACCTGACATTGCATTTCAAGTAACTAAAAAAAAATAACAAATGACAACCAAAGCTAGCAGAAGAAAAGAAATTACTAAAATCAGAGCAGAGCTAAATAAAATTAATGCATCTCATGAACATCAATGCAAAAATCTTCAATAAAATACTAGCAAACCAAATCTAGCAGCACATCCAAAAGATAAGTTGCCATGATCAAGTAGGTTTTATACCTGGATGCAAGGATGGTTCAACACACACAAATCAATAAATGTGATTCCCCACATCAATATAACTAAAAGTAAAAAACATGTGATAATCTCAATAGATGCCGAAAAAGCATTTGCTAAAATTCAACATTCCTTCGTGATAAAACCCTTAACAAACGAGGCATCAAAGGGACATACCTCAAAATAATAAGAGCTGTTGATGAAAAATCCACAATTAACACCATGCTAAATGGGGAAGAATTGAAAGCACTCCCTCTAATAACTGGAATAAGACAAGGATGTCCACTGTCACCACTCCTATTCAACATGGCATTGGAAGTTGTAGCCAGATAAATCAAGTAAAAAAAAGAAATAAAAGGTGTTCACATAGGAAAAGAGGAAGTCAAATTATCTCTGTTTGCTGATGAGATAATCCTACACCTGAAAAACACTAAAAATTCCTTCAAAGTATTTCTAGACCAGATAAATGACTTCAGTAAAGTTTGAGGATACAAAACCAATGTACAAAAATTAGTAGCATTTCTATACACCATTAATGTTCAAGCCAAGAATCAAATTAAAAAAATCAGTCCCGGCCAGGCATGGTGGCTCACACTTGTAATTTAAGCCCTTTGGGAGGCCAAGGCGGGCTGATCACTTGAGGTCAGGAATTTGAGATGAGCCTGGTCAACATAGTGAAACCTTGTCTCTAAAAAAAGAAAAAAAAAAAAACAACTCAATCCCTTACAAAAGCCACAAAAATTAAAATATCTAGGAATACATTTAACCAAGGAAGTGACATGTCTTTATAAGGAGAATTATAAAATACTGATGAACTAAATTATAGATGACAAAATCAAATGTAAAAACATTCTATGCTCATGGATTGGAAGAATCAATATTTTTAAAATGACCATAAATCCCAAAGCAATCTACAGAGTCAACACAATTTCCATCCAAGTTATCAATGACTTTTTTTCATAGAATTATAAAATAAAATTTTAAAATTTGTGTAGAACAAAAAAAGAGCCCAGATAGCCAAACAATCCTAAACAAAAATTTAAAAAGTGGGAGTCATAACACTACCCAATTTGAAATGATGCTACAAGGCTATAGTAACCAAAACAGCATGGCACTGGTACAAAAATAGACCATAGATCAATGGCATTAAATAAGAGAACCCAGAAAGAAAGCCACACACCTACAATCACCTGATCTTTGAAAAAAATCAAGAAAAATAAAAAATAGGGAAAGAAAACTCTATTTAGTAAATGGTGCTGGGAAAACTGGCTAACCCCTTGCAAAAGAATGAAATTGGACCTCCTACCTCTCACCATATAAAAAACTATCTCAAGATAGATTAAAGACTTAACTCTAAGTCCTCAAACTATAAAACCATGGAAGAAAACCTAGGAAAAACTCTTCTGAACATTGGCTTAGTCCAAGAAATTATGACTAAAACCTCAAAAACAATTGCAACAAAAACCAAAATTGACAAATGAGATTTAATTAAAGAACTTCTGCACAACAAAAGAAACAATTAACAGAGTAAACAGACAATCTACAGATTGGGAGAAAATATTTGGAAGCTGTACATCTAACAAAAGACTAATATCCAGAATCGATTAGGAACTTAAACCAATCAACCATACAAAAAAATTAATAAGCCCATTAAAAAGTGGGCAAAGGACAGCAAACATATGGAAACATATTCAATGTCACTAATATTTAGAGAAATGTAAATCAAAACCACAATGAGATACCATCTCATACCAGTCAGAATGGCTAGTTAACACATAACAGATGCTGGCAAGGATGCAGACAAAAGGGAATGCTTATTCACCATTGGTGGGAACGTAAATTCGTTCAACCCCTATGGAAAACACTATGAAGATTTCTCAGAGACCTAAAAATAGAATTACCATTTGACCCAGGAATTCCACCACTGGATATCTATGCAAAGGAAAAGAAATCATTTTATCAAAAGACATATGAACTTGTGTTTGTTGCAGCACTATTTACAACAGCAAAGTCATGGAATAAACCTAAGTGTCCATTAACAATGGATTGAATGAATAAAATATAGAACATATACACTATGGAATACTATGCAGTTATAAAAAAGAATAAAATTATGTCCTTTGGAGCAACACGGATTCCAGCTGGAAGCCATTTATCCTAAGTTAATTAACACAGAAATGGAAAATCAAATACTGCATGTTCCCCTTATAAGTGGGACCTAAACAATAGGTACACATGCATATAAAGACAGAAACAATAGGCAGTGAGGATTCCAAAAGAGGGGAAGAAGGGAGGAGGGCAAAGATGAAAACCTACCTATTGAGTATTATGTTCACTATTTGGGTGATGGGTTCACGAGAAGCCCAAACCCCAGTATCACCCAATATACCCATGTAACAAACCTGCATATGTA
Organism: Homo sapiens; assembly: GCF_000001405.40. Classification (NCBI taxonomy): domain Eukaryota; kingdom Metazoa; phylum Chordata; class Mammalia; order Primates; family Hominidae; genus Homo; species Homo sapiens. The sequence goes on from NC_000002.12 coordinate 107,355,008, forward strand.
CCCCCAAATCCAAAATAAAATTATTTTTTAAAGACCTTGAAATGGTACTCATTCATTTCTCCCTTATAAGGCTTGATGCTATTTTTATCATATATTTTACTTATACATATAAAACTCAAAATACATTACTTTTCATTTACAAAGTAAACTGTTTTAAAGAGATTTGAGTACTAAGAACAATTCCATATATTTATCTATGTATTTACCTTATCCTTTGTTCTCTATTCCTTTGTTTAGACTTATATTTCCTTCTGGTTTTATTTTCTCTCTGCTTAAATTACTTTCTTCATCTTTTCTTGTAGTGCAAGTGTGATGCTAATGAATGTTTCTTCTTTTGCATGTCTGAAAAATTATTTATTTCACCTTCTTAAAGAAATAATACCTTTATTGAGATATAGTTCATATCCTATAAAATTTATCTCTTTAAAGTATGCAATTAAGTGCTTTTTAATATATTCATTGAATGGTACAACAAACGACCACTGTTTAACTTCAGACTGTTTTGAACATATGTAATATAGTTATAATAACTGTTCTAATGTCCCTAGCTGCTAATTTTAACATCTGTGTCATTTATGGGTAAGTTTTATGTGATTGATATTCTCCTTATTATGTTATATTTTCCTACTTATTTTATATTCCTGGAAATATTTTATTGAATGCTGGACACTGAATTTTATCTTGCGTTATGTGAATATTTTGGTATTCTTATAGATATTCTTGAGATTTGTTCTGGCATAGCTAAAGAGTTGGAAACAGTTTGATGTATCTGTGTCTTGATTTTAGGAATTCCTACCGAAGATCAGAGTAGCCTTAGGTTTAGGGCTAATTATTTTCAAATATTGAAGCAAATACCTTCTTATTATGCAATCCAATGATCCATAAAATTTGAGGTTCTCCAGCCTGGATCCTGGAAACAGATTCATTCCCTTTTGCATGTCAGCTTTGGGCATTGTCCTTAATAGTTTTTCTTTTTTCTAGTTTTTAGTAGGTTCCTCAAAGAATGACTATTTTGCTGAATGCTACAATAGGATTCTGTACAAATTTCTGGGCTTCTTTCTTAGCGCAGCTCTCAGAATTCTGGTAATCTCACCCCTAGCTGCCTTGATATTCTCTGACTCGCAGCTTTTTCTTTTCAATTTAGGGTGTCTGCTGAATTCTACCTAGATTTTTGCCCTCATTATAGTATCCCACAAACTCCCTTTTATTAGTAAACTCAGGAAATCCTAAAATATACCTCGTTTGTTTTCTATCTCTCAGGGGTCACTCTCATTCGTATATCCAGGGTCATGTTTGATGTTCAGTCACTTGAAAACTATTGTTACCCATATTTTGTCTCAGTTTAGTTGTTGTTGCTTCAGGCAGGAGAATAAACTCATCCTCATTAATCCAGTTTATTTGGAAGCAGAAATCCTTCAATGCCAGTATGCAAGTTCTTAACCGAAGGAAAGTGAATCCCAATTCTTAAAAATCTATTATTTACTGATTTATTAAGTGGAGCTTGGTATCTCTTCTCTCCTATCAAAATATGCATGGGAACATTATGGCAGGTGAGAATTTTTCTTCTGGTATCTATTTTGTTTTCCTTTAACTTTCTACTCTTTTCATTTTAAAATCCTAGTGCTCTGCTCTCTGTGGATGTATAAAATTCTGCTGGTAGGTAGGGAATGAAAAGGGACACGTGGTTTAATCACATGCACTGCCAGAATTCGAGTGATAATGTTTCTCTTCCATAGCTATTTGCATCATAACACACACGTATTTTGTAATAAAAGATTTAGTCTCCCATTAAATAAATTTCTGGCATGAATTAATAGATGGCAGAAAATTACAAGGGAGAATTTTGGTCAGATTTTCTCAGAAGTTCTCAACCCATCATTGAGAGGGAGTGGTTTCGGCCTCCCTTGCCGACATACCCACCCTTCCTCCTGCTCCAGGGAAGGCAAATTGAGCTGTGTCTGTGAGGAACCACCTGAGCCAGAACACAGAAAATTCGCGTGTGTCTGACCCTGCAATTCCAATTATAAAAATCTACCGTAGGAAAATAATTTTAAAATAAGGCTAGTATTCACATATGTAAGTGCCTATTGAAAAAATCCCTTATATTAACAAAAAAGAGAAAACGACTTAATTGCCTCAAAATGAGGTCAAACTCATGCAGACATACCCATCCACTTCACTGAATGGATTCAATGTTGTGGCGACATTAACACTGATGTTGTAGGAAAATATATGGAAACATAGAAAATTACTAATGATATGGGGTTAGATGAAGAAATAATGGTTAAAAACTCTCCCCTGACACTAATATTTAAGAATTCATAATACAAAATTTGAAGAAGATCCACTAAAACTTTTAGCTGTTATAATCTTTAGGTGATATCATTACAGGTGGATTTTATACTTAATGTTCATATTTTGTACTTTAAGATTTCTTTCTGTAATGGATATACATTGCATTTATAATCAGTAAAACATCAATAAATGAGTATATAAATAAATAAATATTTAAAACGGAGGGAAAACACTGAGTCAAGGTAGCTCTGGAGCTTCCTCTGACAAGTTACTGTTACTAATATTTACTCTTTTTGGTTCCACTCCCCGTAATAGAGAAGGGGTATGTGTATTATCATCTTTGCAGCGACCCATCCCAGCTACACACTCATTACATACTCCTCTTAGGAAACGTAGACAATGCCTAGCCTGCCAGTCTGTCTGATGAAGCATGGCCTTTTGCAGGTGTGTAACTGCCTTTTACTAGTTTTCTGAAAACTGTCTCAAAGCAGCAAGAAAATAACCTGTAACTACGAGTGAAGTATAAAGATCTGTACTTAAAAGCATGCCTGACTAGGCTCTGTGCTTAGGGGACCCAATTAAGAACATGTAAACAGTCTTCCTACAGTCGTATCCAGTGCTCCCGTACACCCACTGGGCTGTGCAATGCAGTCACTGCAAGTGGGAAGGTGGAGGTCACCGTGCTTGCCGATCGACTCACCATCATGGCCTACATTTTAGTCCATTGAAAATGCACAGTTTTATAAATCATCTGTTTTGATGGAGCAGCAAAAGCAAACTTTCATCACGTTTTGGGTAATTTGTATTTTAAATATTAAAACGTATTCTACCTTGTGATATTCTTCCTGACTGTCATGCAAATTCAGCCCCTGTCTTCATAAATAGATTTTGGGAAACATCTCAATGCCAGTCACAGCACAGGTGAAATGTTAAATTTCACTGTGACTGAGCAAGGGGTTGTGGAGCTCGGCGCCCTTATCCTCATCCCCTCTGTGTTTCCTAAGCTGTAGAAGCAAGACAGAATAATTCTCCTTTTTGACACAGTTTGCTCAGGGGCTCACATTTCTGCGGCTGTCAAGCGTGAACAAATTAAAGTTTCTTTATTTTTCTATCAGGCATAAGTGGCCTTGGGATATGCTTGGCTGCCTCATTTTCTCTTAGCTTCAAATTCTCATCATCGGTCTTGCCTACTTTTGCATTCCTTGTCCACAACAAAGCCTTCACACAAGACTTTTGCTTTTGATGGGGCGGTACTGAGGGTGGAGGGAAGTCAGGCATCTGTGACGGATTTCTTACCACAGGTAATACATACCAAACTGGTAGAGATACTGAGTAATTATTCCCTTTTCCTTGGAGTAATACCTCTGGGCCTTTGCCCCAGCTATCTCTCACCCTTATCTCCTGTGTGCTTATTCATTCTGTACGCTTCTAAAAAATGCACACCCAGACACACAGGCTACAAGACACACAGGCTAGAAGAGCACCTCCCTGGAAATAAAACATTTAAAAGGCTTGCCCCCACCATCTACAGTTAAATCTTTAATCATCTTCCTGCCTACCTGTGCCTACATGTTTTTCACATCTTATTTTTAAACGTTCTGTCAACTATGACATGTTTTAGGATCATTCAGTAGGATGATTATGGGGATCAGATGATATTGTAGATATAGGAGTGCTTTGAAAATTAACAAACAGCCTATATGGGAATGAGTTTGTTTCACATCTAATACATTAGTCCCTTATCAGAACGCAATGCGGAATTCTCATTTCATGCTCTTCCACAGAGTCAGAAAGTGGCAGAGTGTGAAAGGCAGTGAGAATTCCTCTGCAAATCCCATTACTCATTCCAGACCCTGTTCTAAGAGCCTCCCAGTGTTTCTTCCATGATCTCATTTTACAGAGGTGGATGGGTAGATGACTAGAGTTGTTTGTCCAGTGGGAGCAACTTGCCAGCCTCTTTGTGCCCTTCCTCTTGCTAACACCCTTAGCCCAAAGCTTTTTTGACCTGAGCTTGCTGCAAAACGTATTCTGGATTTCCATACTTTGAAGAGGCAGGATGATGTCAAGTGGCACGGAGGGTGGTGGGGGGCCCTTAAGTCACAGAGTCTTTTTCAAGCTGCTGTTGCCCTTGGGTGACCAGTTGAACTCTAGGAGGACAATCTGTGTATTAATGGGGACTTAGTTTTAAAATTTATGTTATGATTATATTGCTTGTAAATGGACCAAAGTAATGCTTTGTGGATTATGTGTTCAGATATACACACACAGGCTTTCTTTATGAATGTAAGTGCTTTAACTTTGAATATCTTCATAAGGAGCCAGGAATTCTAAAGTATACCACATGTTTTATATACATGTGGTATAAATACCTTTTCAAATATCTGGGTCTATTTAATGTGCCTTTAAAAATATTTTCAACTCTCTCTTTTATTTCATATAAAGAAAAAAAAATCCAGCTTGATTTTCTCTTCCTATTTCTGTTTTTCCAAGGTTTAATTGATGCATGCTTAGTGGAGAAGCAATTGATATAAATATTAGCAAACAATGAACATGTACTAAAAAAGTCTACTGTGTTGAGATCAACCCACCTCCCTTAACGATTAATAGATATTAACTTATCCTGTGCTTTCTTGAGGAAAGTGGTATCTTGTACGAAAAAATGTCAAGAACAAGGCCCTAAGAAAAGGAAATATAGCATATGATATGGGCTAATGACAGTTGCTGCCCCTGAATATCTGTATCCTCCAGCCTATTCCAAGATCACTGATCACACTGGAATCATCTGTTTACTTTCTTTTTGCTAGACTGGACTCTGAGCTCCTTAATGGCTGGGGCATGCATTTGTCCCCACAGCCCCAATCCACAGCACCGTGCCTGGCTCAGAGTATGTCTCATGAATGAGTTAATGATAACAATCATGGCCCAGAGATTCTGCCTGATTCTCATACATCTAAAAGAAAATGAATCAATTTTGGTAAGTTTCATGTTGATTAAGGTAGATGGAGACATCACCATATTGGGGTAGAATTTCCAGGACCAATGGAGATCTGATGTCTCTGGAGTATTTTCTGATTAGCACCACAGTCTTCCGCCATTTTCTACTCTCATTACTAAGGGCTTTCCCACCTTCCAGGGGATCTTGTGGCTCATTACGGCAATGGGCCTCAATGAGGAATGAAACATGTTTTGTGTGTATAGTGAGAAAATTCTTTTGCAGTAAAAGAAAGTGCTTAAATACTCAAATTCTGGACTTGAAATGCCTGGATGGAAACCTTTGCTCTGCCAATTACCAGCTTGTTATATAGGTTTCATTTAACCCTCTATGGGAATGGCAATGGTAATTCTATAGATTAAAAGAGATAATGCCTTCTGAAGTGCCTGACACACATGGACATGGCAATTTTCATGTCTGCCTAAAGCATCATTCCAACACAGTAGCTAATCCTCAACTGATTCTTGGTGACTGGACTGCCACCATTGCAAAGTCTCCATTTTCCAGAGGGTAGCAACGTCACAGATGCTTCAATGAGCTTGTTGTTTTTGAACACCTGGTCATATTTTAAATTTATTTCTTAGGATGGATCTCAAAAGCAAACTTACTGACTCAGGACCATTTCAAAAACTGCTTTCCAAAAAGCCTTCTCCAAGCAGAGACCTCTTGCTTTCTACATTCCTACTGTACCTAATAGTTTCCCTTTCTCTGGACTTGAGAGTATTCTACAAGGAAATGTGAAAAAATAATGTAAAATCTAGGCATAGAATCCATTACAAAATATCAGAGACTGTGAAAGAGACTGTGAATAGCAGCAGAGGTTCAGCCCAGCAAGTGGACACAGGTTAAAATGAGAAGTTGTAGGCTTGTCCCTGCCCGAGTTAGCAGCCCCACGCAACTTGAGTGTGAAACGAGAGGAACGTCACAGCTGCTCTCCTTATCTAAAGCAAGAATGTTCTCAAATCCACAACAATGTCTGATTCTAGGTATTGTCTTTTCCTTCTATCTTGACTTTATGCTTGGACAAATTCTTTAGAAGACAGTTGAGCATTTCTGGCTCAGAGTCAGATAAAACTCCCCATGTCTCTGTTTCCATCAATAAACACGGCAAAAATAACATAAAGAACTATTGGCCTTGTTTGTTGTTTGTACAAATTTATTTTCATCTTTCTGTGTTTGCAGCTACAAGAGTATTAAACATTTTTACAAAGGAAAAGCTAAAACTGTATTTTTGGTCTCACTAGAGTATCTGTGTTGCAATGCTTCATGTATTTGCCTGCCGAAAAAATGCACCATAGTTCCTCATGAGAAGAGTGAAGATTTATATCTTGTATTTGTTCTATGCACATCAACTCTAGTTCATGGATTCAATAAGCTACAACAGTAAGAAACTTTAGAAATTATGAACTGGAAGCAACAGATAATTTCTGCATTCAATCAAAAGACAGGCCAACCAAAGGCATCTGGAGTTCTCTGAAGCCCATAAAAGCTTCCCTAGAGTGTGCTGAGCTGATAGGACAATTTTTTTCCAAACCCAGTGAGGCAGAGTCCTTGAGCTCCCAAAGGCTTATGCTTAAGGAAGCCCAAAAATCCATGCATAAGGCACTATGCAGCTGATCTATAAATTAACATCCCTTGGATCTAAGCTCCCATCAGTCAAGTTTAATCATATGGTGCCTGGAAGCCTAAGAAGGAGACATTCAGGATGAAGTTAGCAGAAAATCTTCAGTTCATAATCAGAAGGCGCCATCAGCTTATTTTGTTTTTGTGTCAGTGATTTGATAATCAGGCCTTTTGTTCCAAATAGTGCTCTCACGGAGAAATGAGCAATCAATCATTTGGTTCAGACTCTCAGCTGACACTTATTTGTACCCTGAATATGCAGTTTCCATGAATAGCCCTATGTCCAGACAAAGAGACTAGCTGACTGGGGTTTCTGCCTCCCTTAGTAATCATGGATTGGTGCTGTCAGTGCCTGATGGATGAAGGGGACGGATCAGAATGGACTGGAGGGGATTGGATCTGCCTTGCAAATCATGAGGGAATCCCAGGGAAAGAAAACACTCCTCGGACTGATAGTGAGGGTGAGTAAGTGGTGCAAGTTTCTCATATTGCACTGAGGTTTTTGATGCTTGATTCATGCATTCACTAAGCAGAACAGTTCTGAACTTAATAAACAATTTTTCATTATGTATATCCTATTGAAACTTTACAAATTTTTTGAGTCCAGTTTGGTTGAATAAATATTTATTGAGCATCTGGTATATGCAGCCTGTTTTGTAGGGATCCAGGAAAATTTTAGTGATAATGACAGAGTACAAACTCATTCTCTGGTAGGCCCCAGCCCAGCCAGAGGGATATTAGTGTTCACATAGCCAGAACACAAGGCAGAAGGTGTTAAGTTATCATAAAACGTTCCAAGGACTTGGAGAAAAGAGGGATCAGGTGGGATGAGAAGGGCTTTATGAAGGAGCTGGAATTTGAGAGGGGGCTTGAAGTATCAAGCAGACGGTTGGCTGTGGCTTGCAGCAGGTCGGCAGATGCTGGGGCTGCAGAGGACAAAACTCCTGGTTGGAGTTTGTCCATGGCATGTCCAAAAATAAGTGGGAGATCAGAGTAGAAGGTATGTGGGCAGACATGCTGGATAACACTGTGTTGAGATGTTTGTGATGAATTCCACTGGCAGTGAACCTCTATTAGACATCTTCATCTGGGAAATTACACGCTTGGAGGTACTAAAGCCCCATAAACTTTGTAGATATGTGTTTTTCATAATGTCTGAGAGAAGGAGGGACATTTCTTGTCTCTGTTTCATCAGTATGAGGGTCCACTGTTCTGCTTCCAGCTCAGAGGACACAATCTCAGATCATGTGACCTACCCCACATTCCTCAAAGAAGACAGGAAATGAGACTGAAAAAGATTTGCATGACTTCCCTTATTTGGCTTGGCAGTCAGATTTATTTATTTATTTATGTATTTATGTATTTATTTATCTTTGAAACAGAGCCTCTCTCTGTTGCCCAGGCCAGAGTGCAGTGATGCAATCTCAGCTCACTGCAACCTCCAGTTCTTGGGTTCAAGCAATCTCCTGCCTCAGCTTCCCAAGGATCTGGAATTACAGGTGCGTGTCACCATGCCTGGCTAAATTTTTTTGTATTTCTAGTGGAGACGGGGTTTCACCATATTGGCCAGGCTGGTCTCAAACTCCTGGCCTTAAGTGATCTGCCTGCCTCAGCCGCCCAAAGTGCTGGGATTACAGGCGTGAGCCACCACCCGTGCCCGGCCTGCAGTCAGCTTTGTACCCTCTTGCCATGCCTTGCTCTTGTTAACATCCTTGTGCCCATTTCCAGGCAGCATTTATTTCTACTCTCCTCCACCTTCATGGGCTCAAGGGCAGCCCTGAGTATGATCCAGTACACCGGAGCTTGGCATTAAACTTCCTGCTGACCTCTCTTGTTGCTCTCCTGGCTTCAGTCTAGTTTCTCCAGATCCACATATGTGTCTCTGTCATTTAACCAGCAGTTTCAAACCTTAGTGCCATGGAGAGTCACCTGGGATAACTGGCTATAATGCATATTCCCAGAGACTCTCACTAAGTGGGAGAAGGCTCAAAAACCTGCTTCTTAAATGAAGACTCCCCAGTGATGCCGATGTGCATGGTTCCTTGGCCACCCTTGAGGGAGTAACCTTCTAACCTCATCACTTAGTCAACCAAGCCTTACACAGACTTCATATTGCCACATCCTGGACTGCCCTCCCTCCATCAAATACACAGCTATAATTCCCCATTCTCTGTGAATTATGTTCTCTTCACTTCTCTTGCTACTCTTATCAGCCACTCATCCCCTTTTCAGATGAAGGCTGCGCCTCAGTCTGTAACATTTATTACACCCTCTCATAAATGTTTTCAGGAACACTTTGGTATTTTACTGCCCTATCAGATTGTATAACAGTCAAAGGTAGAACCACATTCTCTGTAGTCTTTGCTCTCCACTGTGCCTGCACACTGTGAGGGGCTCAACAAAGTCTCTTCTGAGATGGCTATTCATCGAAGACACATGTAGGACACCAAGGAAAAGCAAACACTGAAAAACACATTGCTCCTATATAAAGAGACCATCTTACTACTATGAACAAGATGGTAACTGGTAAACACAGATAAAACTCTAAGTGATGCATTTCCTGGATTACATGGGGATGAACACTACATTGCACATCTCTGTACCCTGCATTGTGTAATAGTCTGTACCTTACACTGCACAGTAATCTACTCCCTTGAGTGCACAGTCATCCACACCCTGCACTGTACAGTGATCCACTCTCTGCACTTCACAGTGATTCCCACTATATGTTGCACAGTGGTATTCATCCTATGGCACAGAGATCTGCTCCCTATGGTGCACAGTGATACACTCTCTACAGTACACAGTGATACAATCTGCACAGTGATACCCGCTATACTGCACAGTGGTGTACATCCTATGGCACTGTGATCTGCTCCCTACACGACACAGTGACTGACACCTTATACGGTGCAGTGATCAACACTGTAATCCACATAGCGATCTACTCTCTATACTGCATTCTGATGACATCTTCTGCTGCACAGTCATCTACTCCCTCCACTGCTGTGTTCTCTTTATATTGTGTGGTTATGTAGTTCTCACACCAACACAGTGATCTATACCTTACAATACATCAGTACACTGCACAGTGATCTTCTTACACTGTATAGCAATCTACACCTTGTGGTGGGTGCATTCCCTAGTCCTTTAGTTAAAGCTCCTTAATAAGAAGGCTCAATAGGTCTTTGTGAATACTGACCCCACTTAAGGTAAAAGACACATTTTGTTGGTTCCACTAATGTTGTCAGGGCACTCTGTTTAAAGACTTACTAGAGAGAATGATCTTTTCAAATAATGACCCCTACTTTTCAATCCTCACTTGACCTTTCATTTGTGAATTTCTCAAAGAAAATAAGTGATCATATCAATCTTACTCTAAATCTAGTAATTTAAAATCTTAATCACTAGCAGAATATATATCAACTTAACTCACCAACATCAAGAAATGTAGGATTCTTAATCTTGTTCTGAATTAAAATTATGTCTTTGACATAGTTACCAGATAGAGCCCTAGCAGACATCTGAGCTGGGAAGAAAGATGAGTTGGAGGCAGACTCACTGTTTATGAGCTGGATGTCCTTGCCAATGTGCTACAGTTCTCTAAAGCCTCAGTTTCCTCTTCTGCTCCCACAGACTCTCAGCCAACCATGGTTAGTAAAGTCTTCCAGGTGATGCTAACTTGTACTTTGGTTAAGAGTCACTATCTAAACTTGTTCTACCTGAGGGTCTGTTGTGCAGTGATCTGCAAAACAAGAGGACCTTGGACGTTGCCTGCACTTGTTCTCTCTTCCTGCATGTAAAAACTATCTCGGAAGCCCTTACCAGAAGAGGCTTAGAGAAGTTTGTTTACCACCCACTGGAAAAATTAAGAGGAGGTAAATCTTTACTTTAACTCCCAGGAAAAACCAAAGAGCTCCCTTACGTGACTTGTTATGCCTTGTCATTTCTGCTGTGGTTGTGAAATTTCAAAAACATGAAACAGTGTCTCAACTTAATTCAAATTTTGGGAATCATTGACTTCAACCCTAGTGTCACTAGGTTTGTCTGCTTAAATATAAACTCTCATTCTTTACTCACCATTGCCTCAGAAGGGATTTATAATTTCTTATTTTCAGAATTAAACATTTATATGTGTGGATCCATAATTATAACCAATGATGTTTGCATTTTTATAGAAAATGTGAGAAAAAACTCAGTCTCAAATTGTATGGATGTGTCCCCTGAATTTCAGTCACATGTAGAGTTAGAAGAATGTACTTTCCCAGTGTGTATATATATATAAATAATTTTTATTTCTTGTTTCTGTATATTCTTCTTTCCCTTTTGTACCAATTAGACATACAAATGATCCTAGATTATGTGTGGAAATTGGCTGGAAAAAATGAAATTATATTTCAACTGAAGATTTTCCTTTCTCAGAAACGGATGAGGAAATGGAGAAATGCAGTTAATATTTTAACAAAAAGCCATTTCTGGGCTGGGTGCGGTAGCTCACGCCTGTAATCCCAGCACTTTGGGATGCCAAGGCGGGTGGATCACTTGAGGTCAGGAGTTCAAGACCGGTCTGACCAACATGGTGAAACCCTATCTCTACTAACAATACTAAAAATTAGCCAGGTGTGGTGGTGCATGCCTGTAATCCCAGCTACTTGGGAGGCTGAGGCAAGAGAATTGCTTGAACCTGGGAGGAGGAGGTTGCAGTAAGCCGAGAGAGTGCCATTGCACTCCAGCCTGGGTGACAGAGCGAGACTCCGTCTCAAAAACAAAAAAAAGCCATTTCTGAAAATGATTTGAAGTTCTAGTACTGAACATTCAGATAAAATTTTAGTTGTCATGTGAAGTTTGTGCTACATGTGGGAAAACTTTAAATTGTATTGGCCAGGTTTTTGCCTTAACTCTCCAGCAACTTTCTATAGTTAGAATACACTATTTATTCAGATTTGTGCTCTACTGTAATGTCTGCTATTATAAAATCATATCTATTTATATTTCTATTCTTTTTACAACCTGCATTTTAAAACTATAATGTATGTCTTGATTTTATGGGCCTTTAAAAGGCTATACAGATACAGGCACGCTATAAAATAATAAGACCAGTGTTTTGGAACATGTTATGGAAATTATGGGTCACTGTTTATAGTTAAATCACAAAAGTCTTATTATTATAAAAAATAATTTTAGAGATTCTACCATGCGTATGTTCCTTTGCTCAGTACTGGGCATCAAAATAAGGTTGAGAAAATGGTCCCTACCCTTAAAAATATTAATTTTAACTTTATTTGATGTTACAGGAAGAAAAACAATGTAGACAATAGAATGCCCCCCTCCCATGTAGTGTTATATGGGTAATGAGAGTGGGGTGAGGAAGGGCAGGGCTCCTCAGAGGGTGGTTTGGGGCCAAGCTATGGAGAAAATGCACTGGGATTAGAAGTACCCCCATGTTTCATTTCTCTCATCTCTCCCTCACATTGATTTCAAGTTTGTTGTTATTTTATTTTATTTTTATTTTTTAAATTTTTGACCTTATTTATTGAAAATATATTTCTTAAAAAATGATGTTGTTAGTTTGATAGGAATTGAATCTGTGTATTGCTTTGAGCAGTACGGCCATATTAACGATATTGATTCTTACAATGCATGAACGTGGAGTGTTATTCTGTTTGTTTGTGTTACCTGTGTTTTCTTTCAGCAATGTTTTGTAGCTCTCCTTATAGACATTTTTCATCTATTTGGTAAAAAAAATTCTAAAATACATATGGATCAAAAAACAGCCCAAATCACCACAGCAATCCTAAGCAAAAAGAACAAAGCTGGAGGCATCACACTACCTCACTTCAAACTATACTATATGGCTACAGTAACCAAAACAGCATAGTACTGGTATAAAAACAGGCACATAGAGCAATGGAACAGGATAGAGAAGGCAGAAATAAAGCCACACCGGTATGACCACCTGATCTTCAACAAAGTCAACAAAAATAAGCAATGGGGAAAGACTTCCTTGTCAATAAATGGTGCTGTGATAACTGGCTAGCCATTTCAGAAGAATATAACTCAACCCCGGGTTTTCACTGTATACAAAAATTATCTCAAGATGGATTAAAGACTTAAATGTAAGAGCTAAAGCTGTAAAAATTCTGGAAGAAAACCTAGGGAATATAGTTTGGGACATCAGCCTTGGTGAAGAATTTATGACCGAGTCCTCAAAAGCAATTCCAAAACACAAAAATTGGTAAGTGGGACCTAATTAAACTACAGAGCTTCTGCACAGTAAAAGAAACTATCAAGGGAGTAAACAGACAACCTACAGAATGGGAGAAAATATTCACAAACTATGCATCTGACAAAGGTCTAGTATCCAGAATCTAGAAGAAACTTAAACAAATTGACTAGCAAAATACAAGAAATCCCATTAAAAAGTGGTCAAAGAACATAAACACACTTCTCAAAAGAAGACATACAAGCAGCCAACAAATATGTTTAAAAAATTCTTGGCCGGGCATGTTGGCTCACGCCTGTAATCACAGCACTCTGGGAGGCCGAGGAGAATGGATCACTTGAGGTTAGGACTTTGAGACCAGTCTGGCCAACATGGTGAAACCCTGTCTCTACTAAAATACAAAAATTAGCCAGGCGTGGTGGTAGGCGCCTGTACTCCCAGCTACTCCGGAAGCTGAGGCAGGAGAATTGCTTGAACCCAGGAGACAGAGGTTGCAGTGAGCCCAGATAGTGCTATTGCACTCCAGCCTGGGCGACAAGAGCAAAACTCTGTCTCAAGGAAAAAACAAAAAAGAAAAAAATTTTCAACATGACTAATACTTAGAGAGATGCAAATGAAAATCCCACAGAGATACCATCTCATACCAGTCAGAATGGCTATTATTAAAAAGTCAAAAAACAACAGATGTTGGTGAGGTTGCAGAGAAAATCAAATGCTTATACACTGTTGGTGGGAATGTAAATCAATTCAGCCACTGTAGAAAGCAGTTTGGAAAATTATCAAAAAACTTAAAACAAAATTACCATTTGACCCACCAATCCCATTATTATTTATCTACCCAGAGGAAAAGAAATTGTTCTCCCATGTAGGTGCATGCACTCCTATGTTCATCGCAGCATTATTTACAATAGCAAAGACATGGAACCAATCTAGATGTCCATCAAAGGTGGACTGAATAAAGAAACCATGATACGTATACATCATGGAATAATATGCATCAATAAAAAAGAATGAAATCATGTCCTTTGTAGCAACATGGATGCAGCCGGATACCATTATCCTAACTGTATTAAAACAGACACAGAAAACCAAATACCACATGCTCTCACTTATAAGTGGGAGCTAAACAGTGGGTACTCATGTATATGAAGATGGTGACAATGAATACTGGGGACTACCAGGGTGGGGAGGAAGGGAAGGGAATAAGGGTTGAAAAACTACCTAGGTGTTGGGATCATTTATACCCCAAATCTCAGCATGACACAATATATCCATGTAACATACCTGCAAATGTACCCCTGAACTTAGATAAAAGCTGAAATAAAACATGAAAATATAATATAAAATGAAGAGAAATTACTTCAAGTGGTGTGCAGCAAACATGACATTAGAAATAATTTTAGGCTGGGCATGGTGGCTCATGCCTGTAATCCCAGCACTTTGGGAGGCTGAGGCAGGTGGATCACAAGGTCAGGAGTTCAAGACCAGCCTGGCCAATATGGTGAAACCTCCGTCTCTACTAAAAATACAAAAATTAGCCGGGCATGGTGGCAGGCGCCTGTAATCCCAGCTGCTCAGGAGGCTGAGGCAGGAGAATCACTTGAACCCGGGAGATGGAGGTTGCAGTGAGCCAAGATCGCACCACTGCAGTCCAGCCTTGGTGACAGAGTGAGACTCCGTCTCAATAATAATAATAATAATAATTTTAAATGTACATCATCAATTGAATATAGTCAAAGGCAATATAAAGATGCTATTGAAGTCGAATTGTTTCTCTGGAAAAGTTTAATTCAGCTATCTTTTTTTAGTTTTATTTTATTTTTAATTGTCAGATAATAATTGTACATACTTATGGGATACAATGTGATTTTTTGATGTGCTTATATATTGCATAATAATTAAATCAGGATGATTCAAAAATCCATCATGTCAAACATTTGTCATTTCTTTGTAGTAAGAACATTCAAAATCCTCTCTTCTAGCTGTTTTGAAATATACATTATTGTTAACTATAGTTAACAATATATAGTTAGCAATACCCTTCCGTGCCATACAAAACCAGGACTTATTCTTCCTAACTGTAACTTTGTACCTGTTGACCAGTTCTCTCCTGATCCACCCTACCTCCTATCCTTCCAAGGCTCTTGTAACCACTATTTTACTCTCACTTCTCTCAGATCAATTGTTTTAGATTCTACATGTAAGTGAAAGAATGCAGTATTTGGCTTTCTGCGCCTTACTTACTTCACTTAACATGATATTCTCCAGTTTCAACCATGTTGTTGCAAATGAAAGAATTTTATTCCTTTTATGGCTGAATAGTATCCTCTTGTGTGTATATACCATGTCTTCTTTACTTGCTTACCTATTGATGAACACTTACGTTGATTCCCTATCTTGGCTATGATGACGAGTGCTACAATAAAGACAGTAGTGCTGGTATCTTTTCAATATACTGGTTTTATTTCTTTTGGATATATAACCAATAGTAGGGTTGCTGGATCACATGATAATTCTATTTTAAATTTTTTAATGAAACATCGTATCATTTTCTATAATCACTGTACTAACTTACATTACCATCAACAGTGTGTAAGCATTCAGGTTTTTCCGTATCCTTGCCAACACTTGTCAGATTTTGTCTTTTCAATACTAGCCCGTCTAACTGGAGTTAGGTGATACCTCATTGAGGTTTTGATTTGCATTTCCATGACAATTGATGATGTTGAGTATTTTTGCATACACCTATTGGCCATTTACATGTCTTCTTTTGAGAAATATCTACTCATGTCCTTTGCCCAATTTTTAATGGCACTATTTATTCTTTTTGCTATTGGGTTGTTTGAGTTTCTTGTATATTCTGGAAACCTCTTGTCAGATGTATTGTTTGCAAATGTTTTCTACCATTTTGTAGGTTGTACCTCCACTCTGTTGATTGTTTCCTTTGCTGTGTAGCAGCTTTTTAGTTTCATGTAATCTCATTTCTGTATTTTTGTTTTTGTGACTTATACTTTTAAGATCCTATCCAAAACAATCCTTGCCCAAACCAGTGTTATAAAGCATTTTCTCTGTGTTTTCTTAGAGTAGCTTTATAGTCTTAGGTCTTAAATTAAAGTCTTTAGTCCATTTTGAGTTAATTTTTGTATATGTTGAAAGATAGAGGTTTAGTTTCATTCTTCTGTATGTGGAGATCCAATTTTTCCACCACCATTTATTGAAAAGTATCCTTTCTCCATGTCTGTTCTTCATACCTTTGTTGAAAATCAGTTGGATGTACATGCATGGTTTTGTTTCTGAGTTCTCCATTCTCTTCTGCTAATCTATGTGCCTGCTTTTAATGCCAGTACCATGCTGTTTTGATTACTATAGCTTTGAAGTAGAATTTGAAGTTAGGTAGTGTAATGTCTCCAGCTATGTTTTTTTTTTTTTTTCGTCAAAATTGCTTTTGCTATTCTGGATCTTTTGTGGTTTCATGCAAATTTAGTATCTTTTTTTTCTATTTCTGTGAAAAGTGTCATTAGTGTTTTGATAGGGACTGTGCAGAATTTGTAGTTTACTTTGGGCAGTGTAGACATTTAATGATATTAATTCTTCTAATCGGTGAACTTGGAATATCTTTCCATTTATTTATGTTCTCTTCTATTTCTTCCATACATGTTTCATAGTTTTCAGTGCAGAGATCGTTCATCTTCTAGGTACTATTTTTCTGTAGCTGTTGTTAATGGGATTTTTTTTCTTGATTTCTTTTTCAGATAGTTCAGTATTGGTATAACAAATGCTACAGACTTTTGTGCACATTTCTAAATTTAACAACTGCAAAAGCCTTCGCAGCAATGTTTCCTGCTTTCTAACCCCTCTGTTCTATTTCTGAAGCCAATCAATGCCACCAGTTTCTTCTGTCATTCTAGATAATATGCATATGCAAGTAAAATAATTCTTCTCCTATTTTCTTTCTTATATAGTAGCATTCTGTATGTACTGTTTCACATCTTGCTTTTTCAATTAATATATTTTGGAGATAATTTCCTATCAGTTTAAATAACTTCCTCAATTTGTTTTTTCTTAACTGGTTACACAATATTTTATTATGTCAATATGCTGTAATCCAAAATATATTTAGCCATTTTTCTTTTGATGAACACTTATGTTGTTTAAAGTTTTTGATATTAGAAATATGCTGCAAAGACCATTCTTATTAGAACCATGTGTAGATATATCCAGAAGGTTCTTTGCTGCTGTTATGTTTCCCAAAACAGATCAGGTGGTGTTATTACCCTCAGAAGAATATCCTCCTTGTCTACTTTAAAAACAAAATCTAAATACTTAAATAAGATCTGGTGCTTCGCTTCCTTTGATGGTTTTCTGTGTCAACATGATTGGGCAATGGGGTGCCCACACATTTGGTCAAATATAATTATGGTTGTGTTTGTTAGAGTATTTCTGAATGAGATTAACATTTGACTTAGTAGACTGGGTGAAGCAGATTGCCTTCCCTGATGTGAGTGTGCCTCATCTAGTCAATTGAAGACGTAAATGGAACAAAAAACACTAAGTAGCAGAGAACTCCTCTAACCTGATGCTTGAGAAGGGACCTTTGTCTTCTCCTTCTCTTGAAGAGGAACTTAACCATCAGATCTCCTGGTTCTTCAGCTTGCTGACTGCAGTTCTCCATAGTAATGTGGGTCCATTTCTTATGATAATTCTCTTTACCCTTACTGCTCTGCATACTCATCTACTTTCTGTATTCAGTGAACACAATTCCAGAAGACAGCAGTGTTGAAACTATCGTAGACCAGTGAGAGGATGCTGGTTTGGAAGAGCTATAATTTCAACAAATAAAGCATAGGAGGAATAAGTGGATACAAGGAAGAACCCTGGTAGCAATACATATTGAGAACTGTAGATTTTGGACAACTCTTTCTGCATAAGTTGTGAGAGAACCAGCAATGCTCTTCAGAAGAGATGCTCTAATTTCAATGGGAAAATGTTTGAAAATGTCAGGCTTAACACTGGACACTAGCCTAGAAACAAAGCATATCTCCCTGACATCCAGTGCTAGATCTAGAAAGTGGGACCAGGGGAAATAAATACATTTTATTGATTAACAAACGCTGATACCTCACAGACCTATGTTCATTCAATAGAAAAATAAAATAGAAGGATAAAT
Organism: Homo sapiens; assembly: GCF_000001405.40. NCBI lineage: Eukaryota > Metazoa > Chordata > Mammalia > Primates > Hominidae > Homo > Homo sapiens. The sequence continues at coordinate 107,373,308 of NC_000002.12, forward strand.
GATCATCTTGACCACTCAAATGAAGATTGGGCATCTGAAAATGATTTATCATGGTTAGTAGCAGAAGATATGGAATGCTAGTTAGCACCTTCAATAGAAATCAAGAAGAGATGACCTTAATGAAATAGTATCAGAATATTATAGAAAGAAGAGGTTTGGAAAACATATAAAGAAGACAGTTGTGAAAGAAAAGAATGATTAAATGTAATCTGACAAGTGCAATAATAGATTCTACATTGTCAACTATAAAAAGAACAAATGATGCTGCTAAAAATGGAAACACTAACATGAAGAACAGTGCTGTGAATTCTCTCAATGGCAGATACAAAAAGAGAGATAATGGTACATTCACTATGAAGGAACAGATTGGCAGTTTTTAAAAAGTTAAACATAGCCTTATACAACCCAGCAATTGCACTCCTAGATACTTACCCAATTGAGATGAAAATGTTTAAGTCCATATAAACCTGCGTGCAAATGTTTATAACTGTTTTATTTACAAATACCAAAAAACTGTAAGTAACTATGATGCCCTTTAATAGATTAATGGACAAACACAGTGTGGTACTTCCAAACAATGGAATATTATTCAGCAATAAAAGGAAATAAGCTATCAAGCTACAAAAAGACATGAGTGAATCTTAAGTGCAATCTAAGTAAAAGAAGCTGTTGGAAAATGCTTCATAGTGTATGATTCCTATTATGTGATCTTCTGGAAAAAGCAAATCTATACAGACAATAAAAAGATCTGTGGTTGCCAAGGGTTTGAGTGCAGAGGATGAGGGTTAAACGGTTGAAGCACAGAGGGTTTTTAGAGCAGTGAAACTATTCCGTATGATACTATAATGGTGGAGACATGACATTATACATGTTTCAAAACCTGTAGAACTGCACAGAACAAATAGTGAATCTTAGTGAATGCAAAGTAAAAACAAAATCATTTTGAGTGTGAAGGGATCCCAGGGAGGAATACAGACTGTGACAGGGGAATCCGATTGTATTTAAAAAAGTGTATGAAACAATCTCACTGAAGGGTCTGTAAAGGAAAGGCACTGACCTAAGTAACATTGGAAATAAGTGCTGTCTGTAAGATTAAAGGCAACGGTACTCGAGTTGTTAATGTTGTCTCCCATGGGGTATGAGTCAACAATCCTGATGCTGCTATAAATGGATATCAGAATTGGACACTTAAATAAACAGACAGCAGAGGGTGGGAGTCACGTTTTTCATTGTTGGAGTGGGAAATTTACAAATAAGCAATAGAGGAAGCTAGAATGAACTATGTGGTAATGGATTAGAGCTGGAGAAAACAGTATAAACTCATGTTTAGGTTAACATACATACAGATAGTCGCATATGTAGAAATATTTGTACTATGTGTACATACATGGGTTAGTATATACATATATATTTATTTACTTTTTCAGCTGAGGGGGCCTAAAATAAATCATATACCAGTAGCAATGAGAGCACTTCTAATTGCTCAGATCCTGGGTTTTGACACCATTGTCCAATAGCTTCTTGGAGAAACGGCTGATTCTAGGACTGGGCAAGAATTATGCAAGATGAGCCTGGAGCCCCTTGTAGTTTCAGAAAGCAAGTGCCTCCCTCTTCACCAAAAACTCCTACACTGATGACTCTGTGTCAAAGGGACATGGAAATCAATTTAAATAGCTTCCAGTTGCTTAAGTGGCAACAATTTTAGCAGCAAAATTAACAACAAAGTAATGAATTATAATCCAAAGTATGAAGTAATAACCATGAGTTTATACTGAGAATACGTAAATGATTAAATAAATAAATAAGAAAGAAGAGTCAAATCTCCTTTGCAGTAGAACTCCAGATTATTTCTGAAGATACTCCACCCTCGAGAGAGTGCCATAAATTCACACTTTGGAAGTGTGGGCCATGCATAGTGGCTTCTTTCTGAGGACTGGGGTATGGGGAGGGCCACCTTTACAGGGTAACTTTAGAGTAACTTTCCAGTGGGGAAACTGACAAACACTGTCTCAGCCAGGTTGTCTATCAAGGCAATAGAAACAGTAATAAATTATATTGACTGTATGTATTTTGACATGATGTGATAAAAATGCCTCTGTGGTCTTCCTCTTAAAAAACTATAACTCTGATCTAATCATGAGAAGAATATCAGATAAATTTAAACAGAGAGGGTCTCCTTTAAAATACTTGATCAGTGCTTCTTAAAACTATCAAGGTCATCAAAAACTAGAAAACTAAAAGAAACTGTACAGCCAAGAGAAGCTTGTTTTGAGAGCCGCCGGCTGACATGGGGTTCTAATGCTGGACGTGGGTGTTTACAGTGTGGTTTTCACAGGATGGTTCTTTTACCTGGCAGATGGTCTAATGCCTAGCTGCCTGATCCACGCCCAGGAGGTCCATCACACAGGAAACTTTTTTATACTGGAAGATGCCCTTGTGGGTCTTGTCTGACCAGCGTCCAGTTTATTCCTGCCTGACCATTGCTCTGGCACTGGGAGCCCTACCTTTTGTTCTCTGTGGTGTTCTGGGGACAACCCAGTCTAGAGTAGCTCCTGGTTCTTTAGATGGAAGGTGAAATTTAATATTCCATCACAATAGGAAACAAGTTCAGAGACTTATTTACAGGCAATAAATAAGTCCTAGGCAAGGGGGACATAATGAATCAGGAAGGCAATCCTCTGTCCCCAGGTCATACGAGGCAGGAATGGAGAGTTAGGCAGAGATAGCAAGACAGCCAGTGTGGCAGCTAGCAGTACATACAGGGGAAGAGGGTGTGGGTCACTTTAAGTTTGTGGGAAAAAGCATGAATGGCCTGTTTAAAGCAAAGGGCCACAAAAGCAGGACACTCAATTTCCTAGGCAGTAGAGATACCTCTAAGTTATTATCTGCCTACAGGCTTGAGGCATTTGGGCGTGGTATAAAACTAGAAACCGTGTGAAGGGTAACTGAGCCTGGCTTTTAGTCTGAGAAATTTAAACTTCTATTAAAGATGGATGCTGAAGCAACATAAAATTGTAAGAATTCACTACAGAGCTTAAGGAGACATGACAAGTTAATGTAATGTGGTCTCCTGGATGGAATTCTGGAATAGAAAATGGCATTAAGAGAAAACAAAGGAAATCTGAATAAACGTTAGTTAATAATAATGTATCAATATTGGCTCATTGATTACAGTAAATGTACCATACTAATGTAAGTGTGCATAAAAGGGGATCTTAGTGGGTGGAGTATATAAGAATTCTCTGTATTATCTTCTCAAATTTTCCATTAATCTAAAACTGTTCTAAAAAATAAAGTCTATCTAAAAACATTGCAATGCATATTCATAAATACCAAAACCCCAATAGAAAAATCAATAAAGATCATGAACAGAAAGTTTACATACATACAAATAGTTATTTTTAAAAAATATTGCCTCACACATAATAAAGAAATGCACCTAAAAACCATGATACATATTGTACATTTTTTCACCCATAGGAATGAAAAAGAGAAAACAAATTGGTAACTCATGGTAGTGGTTTCAAAATATATCCACAAATCCTCTGATACTTCTTGGTTCAAGAAGTTAGGTTTAATTTCTCTTCCTTTGAGTATGGGCTGGACTTACTGACCCACTTCTAATAAAGAAAATATAACAGAAGAGATGGGTTGTGACTTCTGTGACTAGGTCATGAAAGGCATTTTTGTTTCCTACTTACTGTTTCTCTTGGATTATTTGCTCTGAGAAAAGCCAGTTACTGCATCCAAGGGCACTCAAGCGTCCCTATGAAGTCCACGTGGTGAGGAACCGAGGTCTTCTGCCAACGACAGCCAGGAACTGAGGCCTTTTGCCAATAGTCATTTTGGAAGTGAATCCTCTAGCTGTGGCTAAACCTTCAGATGGCTGCAGCCCTGGCCAACCTTGTGAGGTAGAAATAACTAGCTAAGGTCATCTCAAATGCCAAATTCACAAAATCTGTGAGACAATAATTTTTTTTAAGTTGCAAAAGAGAGAGAGAGAAGAAGAGGGAGAAAGTTAGGAATGGAAGAAGGGAGGAAGATTGAAAGGAAGCAAAAAATAAAAGTATTGAAGGAGAAGTTGATAGACACGGAGGATAGAGAATGGAGCTCCAATAGAAAATGATGATATAAGCCATAGTCAATTATATAAAAGGAGAAACTTTCTTGAGCTTTAAAAGTATCTGAGTATGCTGATTTAAGATCTTAATTATATTTCAAACCCCCCAAAATGAGAACCCTAAGTTGAATCCAAAACAGAGTTATGCAAATGTCCTGGTAGGAAGAAAAAAAAGGAAAAAGAAAAAGAAACAAAACAAGTTATTTTTAAGGAATACACATGACCTCAGATATTTTTGTTGCTGTTTTCTGCTGTATTAAACTACAGCAGAAAATTTTAAAATGTATATAGAATTTGGGGGCAATAAGTGGTGGTGCAAGAATTTGTACATAGGCAAGGTAGTCTTTTATCGGGGGAAACAATAAATATTCCTCAGTGAAATATAGACGGAGTTATTATTAAAAAAATAACTTTACTGAAATTCTTCACTGAAAAAAAAGATTGATATTTACTATGGCCATGAAAAAGATGAATTAGGAATAAGACAATTGTCGTATAAAGAGATTAATGTTTCTTACCTGCTTCTAGGAATGTATTTTTAGAAAATATTATAAAATTTATGCTGCATTGGTATTATTATTATTATATAGTATTAATGAATATCCTTAAAATGATATTGAGTATTGACCTTTAAATGACAATGAATAACATCATTTTAATAATGACCTAGAATACTGATGAACAGGATGATTTGGTAATGTCATAGAACGCACATTAGATTAAATGTCAGATTATCAAAAATAATGCAAAACTGGAGATGGGAGAGAGAGAGAAAAAGAGAAAGTTAGATTTCAACCGTTCTTGTTTTTAAGTTGAATATTGGACTTAAAAATATTGGAGAGTATAATATCAAAAGCATAGGTGTGATCATTTTAGGATAGAAGGGTATAGAGCGATGTGTAAGTTAGAGAATAAACTATGGTAATGAAGAAGTCAATAATGTAGTGGCTCAAATGAAACAGAAGGGTGATTATTTCTCATTCAGTAGTCAGGAAGCAAGCTTGTAGTTTAGATTTGGTAGGAGACTGTGCTCTTAAAACTCATTCAGGAACTCTGTTTCTCTAACATTCCTGAGGGTATGGTCCTTGTCCATTTGCTTAAAGCTGGTCCACTATGCCAATCTGTGATATAGACTATGGGAATGTGGGATAAATAGATTTCTTATAAAAATGTGATTTAGAAGGTATATATCACTTCTAGTTGGATACCCTCATGTAGCTACAACAGATCCCAGAGAAGACTGTCTTGAGCTGGGCTTCAGTGTGCAATACTGAAATGCAGTGGATACTAAAAGAAGAAGAAAAAGAACATAGAAGGTGTTTTAAGCCATGTCTAATACAAGAGGACTTTTTCTTATTAATATTTTTCTATAATTTTTAATTTAAAAATGGGTATGTATTCCATTTATAATTCTGAAATGGCACACGTGCATGCACACACATACAAACCTGAAAAAAGAAATCCTCACTGGGTTTGTTCTATAATACCTCTTTTAAAAAGGTCACCCGTTATAGGTACCTGCATACTGTACAGATACTTTGCTCCTTTATTCAGATTTCTAATTTAAACATCAAGGAAGGAACAATGAAATGAATGCTCTAATAGAATACATAATCTCAGAGTAATTTCTCTAGCCCTTTCTAATAGACCAGAATTTTGTTTTTATTTTATTATGTGTTTACAGCAGATCAGCCCTTCTGAATATAGTTGTTAGTTTGAGTAATAAATTGAGAATAGATTAACTGAGATAAGCCCAGCTTAGATCCAGGAGGAACTGGCTGAAATGTTGTAGGTAGTGGTGGGAAGTTGTCCTGGTAAGAAATTCCCACAGATTAACTAGAATTTACTACACATCACTATTTTATATCTGGTTTTGATATTATGCTTTCTAACGGGATGGATAACAACACTTCCCTTCCTGTGGATTAGAGAGAAATCTTATGAGTTTCTCCAAAGAGTGCAAAAACTTCAGGCCTATTTATTTCCAATTATAGGCTTTGACTTTTACATCAAACCTCATGTTCATTTTTAAATTTTGAATCATCAGTGGGTTTTAAAATATTGCTAATTACAGGAGGCATAAATGTTAAAGTGTTAAAAATACTAAAAGTGAACAACCTTCCAGAAAAAAATGTTTTCAGTTGAATTTCTCAACTAATGAAAATGACAATGACAATGTGGGTGTTATTTAGTTGTCTATTTTATCTGACAAACACATGTGATGCGATGACACATGAAACACAAAATTATTGATGAAATATGAAAGCTATTGAATGGAAAACATTGGGCATGGATAGGATGGTTTTATAACTGGTAGAAAATGTTCATTTAGGGAAAAGATAATTGTTCTGCCAATCTAGATCCTGTGGATTTAACAGTCTACTTGGGTGTTTTCCATAGCTGCGCCATTTCCCCCTATAATTATGGTGTCAACTTTTAAGTAAATATAACCACTTAATAATCTTGATATTGGAGGTCAATATTAGCAGCCAGTTATGGTATAAAATGGTTGCTTTAAGCTTAAAATGAATGGATAATAAAGTTGATAATAACAGCTAACACTTACTATGGGGACAGGCATATTTGAAGCATTCCCTGCATTAATTCATTTAATACAATAGTCTTCTGAGGTACGTGTTATTACTATCCACACTTTACAGATAAATAATTCCTTTCTTTAATTCCTTTAATACTTTTTCTGGGTGTGTATATGTGTTTTAGAATGTTCAGTGAGGATGTTAATTCCTTTGATACTTTTTCAGGGTGTATATGTGTTTTAGAATGTTCACTGAGGATGTTTGTGTGTTCCTGCCATAGACGGTTAGCAGAGAGTAGATTGCAAAAAGAAAAGTAAGTTATTAGAGGAATATCTCCAAGAAGTCAGTTATAATCCCAAATATGTGGCTGTCTACTAGAAGAGTAGGTGGCACTCCTCTGACCAGCAGGCCAAGAATGGGCTGTGCTGGACAACTAAAAGTGGTGTCTTCTAGAAAGGAAAGGCATTCAGGTAGTGGTAATGAAGGAGAAAGAAAAGGAGAAAAAGAAGGAAGAGGCAGAGGAAATAATAACATTTATTGAGCACCTGCTATGAGGTAGATGCTGTTGAAATTGACCCAGTTGTCCTATAGAGCTGATGTTTATGGTTTCCTTGAATAAACAGAAACTGATCCCAGTCTTAAACTTGAGAAAGTTATATTTGTCTTATCTGAGTTCCCTTCTCAGGAAACCAACCATCAGGCCTCCTAGACAGTAGCAAGGAGCTGCAACTCACCAGATCACTGCATTTGGACAATAAGATTTCAGACCCCTCGCCCCCTCATGATTGCCTAACCAACCACCTGCTTCTGTTGATCAACTCCTCTTCCTTATCCCTCCCTAATTCATATTTTCCCACACATGGTTACATTTTTTCCCTGCTATACAGACCACCTAGTTTTAGTCAGTCAGGAAGATGGACGTGGGACTGATCTCCCACCTCCTTGGCTGTAGCACCCAATTAAAGCCTTCTTCCTTGGAAATACCCATTGTCTCAGGGATTGGCTTTGTGTGGGGTGAGCAGCAGAACTAGACTGAATTCCTGGTGTTTTGTTAACACTGTATTTGCATTACAGTGATTGTCTCTACATACAGATGAGATACATGAGACACTGAGAAATGGATACCACTGAGGTCATGGCCAGGAGGTGGCAGTGCAAAGATTCCTACCCAAGCTTCCTCATCTGTGAACAGAACAGGAAGGCCTCGGTAAATAGGTACATGTTGACAAGCAACAACCTACTCAAAACTCATCTTTTTGTATTAATGCATCATGTGACTCCCTCGTTTGGACTTCTGCAGGAACATGTCAGGTAAGTAGGTCCTCATTATGTCTTGTATCTGTTGGCATATTCATATTCCATGCAGGCATAGCTTGTTTGTTCAGCTAGAGCAAGCGCTTCTTTAAAACCAACGTTTTGTTTCTTTCACTCATAGTTTTTGCTATGTAGCCTCAATCAGTGTAGCCTTCAATAAACTATTTAACAAGGCTTTAGTAAAGTGAAAATAGGTACGTGCAGGCTGGGGCAGGTGAACCAACATGTATTTTCTCTGTTTCATTTTACTTATTGTTTGGACAAGTTCCACGGACTCCACCCTGCACGTCTTTGCTCATGGGTTCCTTCTATCTGAAATAGCTTTCTATCCTGTCAATGTTCTTCAATGTCCATTTTAAATGTTACACAGTCCAAGCAACGTTCTCTGATCCTCACACATGTATGGATCTCTCCCTCTATTGTTCTTCCAACTTCTAAATAATACTTATCTCAGTACGTGTAATTTCCCACAGGGGTCTGTGGCAGTCCCCAGCATACTGACTTGTACACCCACCCACCCCAGGGTTTCCGCCTGGGATCACCCAGGTATCTGTATGACTCATTCACTTGGCTCAAGTCTCTCATCAGAGAGGGCTTCCTTTCTGGATTCTGCAGGAGCCGACTCTCAGACAAAGATTAGAGAGGCAAGTAGTTTTATGTGGGTGGTGGTCCCAGGAAGCTTCTGTAGCAGAGATGGAAAGAGGAGAAAGGCAAGACAGGGTGTACTAACAAGCAAGGGGGGAGCTGAAGCCCAGCACACCCCTCAGAGTTCCCCTTCCCCACAGGGGAGCAAGCTAGAGCTTTATTCTCCATCTCCCTTCCTGTCCTTGGGTGAACGTCACTTCTGGGGGCATGACCTCTCTAAGACCTTGACTTCCACCTGGGAAGATGCCCTGTGCTCCCACAGGAAAGAAAGACTCCAAGAGAGCTGCAGATGTTCCCAGTATCTGACCTTTGGGATGTGGAAGAGGGTGTAGGTGACGTGGGTCTGGCACAACCAAATGCACACAGCCACAACATCTATGATATTTCCCCCTTGCTTCTGTTTATGTCCTTACTTTACTTTCATTAGCTTCATAGCAGATACCTCCACTTGCTACAGATTTCAAACTCAAAAGCACATGGACTTATTCTTTTTAATCTCTTGTGGTACCCCCAGAACAACATCTGGCACATAGTAGGTGCTGCACGAATACCAATGAAATAAATAAGTGAATAAATATATGTTACATTTAAAGATTAATTCACTACATTGTTTTATGTATTTTTAATTCACAAATAATTTTATAACTTTCAGTGCATCATTTCTTCAATTTTGTATTTCAAAGATTCTATTTTTTAGTGCATATTGCCACTTAAGTATTTGAAAACGACTTTAACTTAGGCAATTGTAAAGTTGCTGCAACAACTTTGGCTCAGTTTAGTTTTATTGTATTTTTCAATATATTTCATACTTTTCAATAAAATGGGAAGTCTTTAGGTCAAACATTTCTTTATTTTATCACATTTTGGGAAAAAACTATGCTACATTATCACAACTATACGTGTCTATATCCTCTATCATCTATTCATGTCTATATCTTCTTTCGTCCATCAATATCTTCTATTATCTATTTTCTATCTATATCTTCTGTCTATCTATATGAAAGGAATAATCGTATCACTATCATATGTAATACATATGTATGCATTGGTCATGGTGATATAGTAATTTGACAAAGAAAAACTCCTCAGATAAGGATGTTTTGCTTCATAGATGAGGAAACTGAGACTCAGTGTTTTTGTGAGTTACCCATGGTCATGTTGCTAAACCGTGGCAGACCAGGACTGGGATCCAGGTTGCTCTGTTAGAAAAGTGTTTTTTCCACCATACCATGGAGTCTTTTTCCATAAACTGCTGTATTATATGTATAAGCCACTTCCCTTTTGCATGGCGTGGCTCTTAAAAGAAGAGCACTTTAAATATTAGTTAATCCCAAGTGAACATTTGAGTTTGAGTGATATGATTATTCCTTCCTTATACATAAAGGGAGACATCTGTGTGAGGCTGAAAGATTGGCCATAGGTCAGAAGAATGATTTGTTTGAATTCAGAGGTTATCCTTGGATATTGGAAAAGCCCTTGCTTATGGCTCAGAGAGAAAAAGTTATGCAAATCAGGACGCTGTGTTTCTGCCTTCAGCCCATCTGGGCCTTGATTAAATAAACACAATTTCCCCTGTAATCTTTATCTTAGCATGTGCTCCCTCTCTTAACCCTTGAGCCATTTCTATATGAGGCCAATTCAGCTTGAGTGATTTTCTTTCATTTAGTGGACTTTATTTTTGCCTAGATTGACTGAATATTGGGGCATCATTTACCATCAGCAACATATGAGAATTCTTTGTGTAGGGGAAACGTTGAAATCAATGTGTTATTACAAGGGGTTGAATTGCAGTAACCCATAGAAATCATCTTATCATTGTCATTGTCTCCTGTAATCTATTCTCTCCCTTTCTAATACAAAGCATGAGGAAAGTTTAGCCAACCTGATGGTTGTATGTCTGTTTCCAGAAACATAAGCACCAGACTTAAAGCACACCACCCACGCTGCCCAGATGGCAAAATGCTTCAGCCTTCACTGATGTCTTACAGTGCTGCAGAGGCATGTGTCTGTGCTGGCCGGCCTGGGCCTGGCAAATGATGTGCCGTCTTCTTTCTGTGCACAGCAGCTCAAAAACCATGATGAGGCTTCGTCTGCTGGAATGAACAGATATCAATTTAAGCAGTTGGCCTCTGAAATTTCATTCACATTTATGGACATTTCTATTTTTCTACATTTAAACCTCAGGAAGTAGATCAGAGATTGCAAATTTCCTCCCATAAGCAGGGACACAGGTTTCCAGAATGTGAGTGTGTATGTTTATTTCAGATTGAGCATGTGTGCTTGAGAGAGACAGAGAGATAGGAAGAAACAAGTCTTTCTACGGGACACTTGGTTGACCCATAAATTCACTTTTCTTGTTGGGGTTAGTTTCTTCTTTATTATTTCCTATCTCATCTTATCTTGGGTTTATTTGGCCATTTCTTTTACTAAGTTCTTGAAACAAATGCTTGGCTTATTAGTTTTCCAACTCTCCTTTTTTTCTAAGATAGGCATTCAATAGAGCCCACACATCTTCTATGGTCATTAATTCCTGAGCCTTCATTATTCCTGCAAATGTTCATGTGGTTGGGCCTGACAAGTAGTGCTCAGGGCTGATTTGTGCCCGTGAAGGTCCTGGCCAGCACAGTTAACCCATTTATGACCCACTGCTGCTGAAGGATGGGAACAGATGTCTAGTTCTTCTTGACATATTGACTCTGTCACATTGGGGCCTGCCCCAGCAGCCAGGTCCATAGAACAGCAGCAGCAGCAATTACCACTCCACGCTGCCACTTAGGGTCTCACAAATTGTGCACTGCATAGTTCCTGGGAGTGACAGCCCTTCACAATTGTCAGAGACTTGTGTACTTACTGCTGTGGTCTGAATGTGTGTGGGCCACAGAATTCATATGTTGAAATAATAACCCCAAAATGATAGTATTAGGAGGTGAGGCCTTTGAAGAGGATTAGTGCCTAATCCCAATTCCCACTTTCTAATGGCACCTTGTTCTTGAAATTCTCAGCCTTCAGAACTGTGAGAAACAAATTTCTGTAGTTTGTAAGTCACCCAATTTATGGCATTTTTGTTATAACAGCCTAAACAGACTAACACTTACAATGGGAAATGTTTAGCTGATGGGAGTAAAATGCCCAGTGGAAGTGTCCTTTTTCTAATTTGCACTTGTCACTGGTTGGGCTGTTAGTGCTGCTGCCTTCTTTGACTAAGCGGAAAGAACTCTGCATGCTCACCCACTTCCATTCCCTTCTGTTGGCAGCCCTGCTTACCTATGGCCTGAAGTAGGGTCCCTCCAACCCATCTCACTTTTTTTGTTCATGATAGGACTTTGCCTCTGCTGTGAACAGTTAGGCCTCAGCTCATACCTTCTCACAGTCCGATACATCCATGCATGTGCACCCACACCCACACTCACATCCACCTCTCCCAAAACACACAATAACATGGTGCCACTGCAGCTCCATGTGGCATGTAAATAAGGCAAGCCCCTGCCAGCTATGCTGTATGATTACAGTAAGAGGTTCAGACCGAATCCTCTGCCATGGGTTTTCCTTTGAGAAGTGCTCAGCATGCACCATCCATGCTGTTGGGTCCTCTCCTCTCTCTTCCGGATACCCTTGGACCATCTCAATCATCTGCACTCCTAAGATACAGGCACAGTCTGGGTTGCAGTGAAGGTTCTGAGCAGGGTAGTGGCATTTTCCCACTCCTTGAAAATTCTTCTCCATTCTTTAGTTTGACATCTCCTCTTTTAAAACCAGTAAGCCTCGGTATAAGGTTTTCTTATGGATGTGTAGAATAGACTCACATGGATATCTGATAAAAAAAGAAGAGTGTTTAGATTTATATTCATAAAAAGAAAACAATAGAATAGGTAAGACAAAAATCCCCCTACACTTCTGTAAAACAAAAAATAGAGGCTTAAAATCCATGTTGCTTATGAAGACACTGTGTTGACAGCGATGAATATACCCCACTCATTTGCTGAGCCCTGAGGTTACTTGAGGTCATGAAAAATCCACTGACACAGGTTGAATCAATTCTGCTAAAGGCCTTTTAGATTCAGGCTGATGGTTCCAGTAAAAGTTACACACACACACACACACACACACACACACAACAGAGGGTGAGAGAGTACTATAGAGGCATTGGACATGCTAATCCATTGAGTCCTTTAATGCAAAGGGACACTCTGTCTTCCCATTATTGTCAGCCATGGGCTGAAAAATATTGCATTTGACACATCTTTTATACAACCCTACTTAGCTATGCATTTCTATGGCAACGATCAGTGTAGCACCCAGATCCTCATTAATCCTCTCAATGTCCCTATTTGGTAGGCAGCTGACAGCTAATATAGTCTCCATTCTGTAGATGGAGTGAAACTTTACTTTCATTTGTCAATATTGCTGGGAATGGAAGAACTGTTTAAAATATCTCTAAGCAGACATAGTCCTGTATTAAAAGTTTTGGCAAACACTTTCTTGCTATTATTTTCTATATTTCTCTCTCTATTTGAGGGGGACTTACCTGTACCTTCACCTTACCCACCTCCTGCTTTTAGAAGCCTCTGTTTCTTCAAAGTTAAACAGAGAATGGGAGTAGCATTACTCCCAATTTCCTGTGTTTGCAAATAAGTTAATGGAAGTCTTTCCTAGTGTCTCTCTATCTCCTGCCTGCTTCAGATAAAAATAACCCACTGCCAGGTTTGGGATCCACTTTCTGGTTCTGACAGGTTCTTCACATAAGCAGTTTATTTGCCAGCATCCAGCTGTTCCTTCAGCAATTTTGAAACATTTTATGTATTTAATTTTTAATCCTTACCTAATTCCATGGGTTAGCATTCAGTCAATAGAGACTGATATCACTCCAAGGGCTTACATAGTCTCTGGCTGGAATCAGGCACTTTGTCAGATGAGCGAAGAAAGGTGGTTGATTTGCTTTCTCTGAGGGTGAAGAGAGAGACACCTTTGGACACGTGAATGACATTGGGGGCTGCCTAGAATGCACAAAATGGTTTTAGAAAAAGAGAGAGCTTTGGAAGCCTAATTGATATGGGAGATCATTACCAGCTTGCTAGGTATGTGCATTAGTTCCAACTTCCACCCTAGTTATTTATTTATTGCTCTATTGAGGCAATGTCAATGTTGTTTCAAATGTGGGAAGCTTTAGTCAGCACAGAAGATCTGTTCATAAAGGACAGCCATTATTAAGAACCCATGTTCCTGGAATTAAACCATTGGCTTTAAGCAAACTGTATCCTTATAACAGTTGGATATGATAAAACATGATTAAAGGTATTGTATATGAGATTTTCTCACAATATATAAAAGTAAGATAAAGTCATTTCTTTTCTGCCTTCTCATCAAGTCCACCAGTCTGTTACCAGCATTAAGACGTGATAGAAATAATAATAGACTAGTGTAAGCAATTAAAATACCTGCCAGTGAGTTTAAATATGTGTCTGGCTCAGAGCCATAGAAAGAACTTCAAATTGGAAGATTATAATTACATCTTCCAGTGATTAAGAAAAAATATGTGCATAAAAATACTGCCGTGGTTTGGTTACGCCACCCAAATTTCATGGGTTGGGAATTTAATCCCCAAATTCATATGTTGATTGGAAGTGGAGTTTTTGAGAAGTCATTAGTATTAGCTAAGGTTATCAGGGTGCAGACCCCATAATATGGTTTTGGTATTTCCCCACACAAATGTCCTGTTGAATTGTAGCTCCCATAATTCCCTCCTTTTGTGGGAGGGAGCCCATAGGAGGTAATTAAATCATGGGGCAGGTCTTTCCCTTGCTGTTCTCGTGATAGTGAATAAGTCTCATGAGATCTGATGGTTTTATAAAGGGGAGTTCCCCTACACATGCTCTCTTGCCTGCTGTCATGTAAGACGTCCCTTTGCTCCTCCTTCATCTTCTGCCATGATTGTAAGGCCTCCCCAGCCATTTGCAACTGTGACTCCATTAAACCTCTTTCCTTTATAAATTACCCAGTCTCTAGTATGTCTTTATTAGCAACATGAGAATGGACTAATACACCCCATAACAGGACTGGTGGTTTTATAAGAAAAGAGAGACCTGAACTGACATACAGGCTTGCTCTGTCTTGCCATGTGATGCCTTGTGCCCTGTCATGATGCCAGTGTCACGCTCTTGGACTTCTCACCCTCCAGAACCATGAACTAAAGAAATATCTACTCTTCACGTATTACCCAGTCTGTGTTATTCAGTTATAGCAACATAAAATGATCTTAGACAAATACATAAAATAAAATTATCCACATTAAAAAAGATACATTTTCTTCTTTATTAGAATTTTTGCATTTCTTTGTGAAACTCTTATCTTGCTTAGTCAAATTATAGCAGGGGAAAACAAGCAACCGTAAGTAATACCAAAAACAGAATTGAATGACAACTCCACACAAACAAGTTACAAGACTTCACATCTTCTATGCCCTGCCTCTTCCCTTAGCAGGGTTGCTTTTTTTTTTGGAAGTCCTTACACTCTCCCTTCTAGCCTCATCTCTTCCTCATTCTACCATACAGGACTTATTCACAGCTGGTGTTTTTCCCTGTCTGTTCTTCCACTGTAAATGCCATACTTGGAGCTGCCTGTGCCTGCGGGCTTCTCACCCAATAGCTATTGAGGCTGCTCTTAGTGAGACAGGAGAGAGCCTTCTTTCCACCACAAACTTCTTTCTATAATAAACTGTGGCCTCAATCTTGGCATTGGATTGTATTAGCTCTGAAAGAACTGAGAATAGTACCCACGAGCCACAGGATTTAAATCCTGGATTTCCCCACCCCACCTATGATCAATCAATGTCTCAAGATGGAGCTTCTATCTCCAGTAACTCAGGATAGGGTTCTTTACCCAGTTGAACTCTTCCCCCAGAGTCTGTGATATTCCCTTCTAGGTTTGAGGATTTTTATCCTACTATACCTGACTCCTTTGTAAGTCTCAAATTTGCCCCATTATTTGCCAAAAATAAAAAACCAAAAAACCCTAATTGCTTCTCTAGCATTCGGAGTCCTGGCGGTTGTTATGGGCTGAATTGCATCCCCCTCCTTGTGTTTCATATGTTGAAGCCCTAACCCCCGCTCCCCCAGAATGTGGAGATGTGGTCTTTACAGAGGCAATCAAGTTACAATGAGATCATTAGGGTGGGTCTTAATCCACTTTGACTAGTACCTTCACACAAAGGGGAAGTTTGGCATGGACTCCTATTGAGGAAGATAATGTGAAGATGTAGGGAGAATGGTACCTACAAGCTTAGGAGAGAGGCCTGAAGCAGATTCTTCCCTCACAGCCCTTGAAGGAACCAATTCTGCCAACACCTTGATCTCAGACTTCCAGCCTCTAGAACCGTGAGACAGTAAATGTTTTGTTTAAGCCACCTGGTCTGTGGTACTTTGTTATGGTAACCCAAACTGTCTAACACAGTGGGAAACTAGGACACACTAATTAGGATTGTTACTCTCTCATAATCTTTACACAAATTCAATATACACAGTTGGATGTAAGATAGTTTGGCTGTGTGTTTGCACAGTGATACAGGCTGATGGGTAGTGTGACTGTGTACAATAATCATACAAATCAGGACACTTTTGAGAGTGACAGGGGCTACAGTAGTAATTATTCCGAATAAACAGATAATCTGGGGCTCTCCTAGGCAAACAGAAGGATTGGTCACTCACTGTGGGGAGCTCATAACAATGAAACAAAAGACTTAATGGCCCTTTGTAGTATTCCACTTCCTTTAATTTATTTGTTGAAGAAACTAGGCCATTGGCCTTGTAGAATTTTTCACAACTAGATTCTTCTGATTTCATCCCTGCATTGTATAAGTCTTTAAACCTTTCACTTCCTTGAAACTGCTGCTTAGGTTCCAGAAACTTTGTCAGATTCAGATTCAGAGATTCAGGTTCCTTTTTCTTTTCTTAAAAATATTTCATTGGTAATGCTATGTGTATTTCCCATAGCATACCATCAAGAAGCGCAGGATGGGCCGGGCGCCATAGCTCACACTTGTAATCCCAGCACTTTGGGAGGCCAAGGCAGGTGGATCACCTGAGGTCAGGAGTTCAAAACCAGCCTGGCCAACATGGTGAAACTCCGTCTCTACTAAAAATAAAAAAAAAAAACTAGCCGGGCGTGGTGGCAAATGCCTGTAATCCCAGCTCGGGAGGCTGAGGCAGGAGAATCACTTGAACACAGGAGGCGGAGGTTGCAGTGAACCAAGCTTGTGCCATTGCACTCCAGCCTAGGCAACAAGGCAAGACTCTGTATAAAAAAATAGTAATAAAAAAAAAAAGCACAGGATGTTCTTCATGATGTTAAGTTGATCAGTGGGTTAATGGGTTAACAGCCTGATCTATCTTCCATAGAATTCTCATCAAACTTTCATCTAATGGTGTTTTCAGCTGCTGATGATTGCTATATAGGTCTATTATTTGTACTTGAGTTTGCAAAATGATGTTCTGCCTATTCTTCCTCATTGATCGATTGGAATTCTTCTCCTCATATATTCTTTTACTCTGACGCACAGTCATATAGGAAAGGCAAGAAAAATTCTTGATTCTTTTACATTATGTGCCAATTTTCAGAATAGAGTGATAGCCTAACAACCTCCCTAGTTAACTGGAGAGACTGTGTTCATTTACTTTCATTAAGATCTCATGGATTTTGGCACACCTGATGTGTTTCAATTCATCACATCACTGTTCTTTTTAATGCTCAGATTGCTCCAGCTTTGACCACTTGGAGCCCCTAGTGTTCCTGTGTGCATCTGAACCCAGAATTCTCTGATAGTCCCTTTTTCTTCAGTTACAACAAGATATTCCAGACTCATCTTGTATATTTACTACCCCAAACCTAGAATCTGTCATTTTCCAAGGAGCATTGGTTCTTTTCATTGGGAATTACAGTCATGCAACGCATGACAACATTTAAGTCAACCAGGAATTACCTATAAGTTTGTGGTCCCATAAGATTATAATGGAGCTGAAAAATTCCTATGGCCTAGTGATATCATAACCATCATGCCATAATAGTGCAATGCATTACTCATGTGATTGTGGCGATGCTGGTGTAAACAAGCCTACTGTACTGCCAGTTATATAAAAGTCTAGCACATATAATTATGCATAGCACATAATACTTGATAATGATAATAAACGGTTGTGTTACTGGCTTATGTTTTTACTCTACTATACTTTTTATTGTTATTTTAGAGTGTATTCTTTCTACCTATACAATAAGGTTAACTATAAAACAGCCTGAAGTGGGTCCCTTAGGAGATATTCCAAAGGAAGGCATTACTATCATAGGAGATTTCCCCTGAAGACCTTCCAGTGGGACAAGATATGGAGATGGAAAACATTGATATTATTGATCCAGACCCTATGTAGGCCTAGGTTAATGTGTGCATTTTTGTCTTTGTTGTTAATAAAAAAGTTTGAAAAGTAAAAAAGTTTGAAAAGTAAAAAAAAAAAAATTAAAAATAAGAAAAACCTTATAGAATCAAGATATTAAAGAAAAAAGTATTTTGGGCCGGGCGCAGTGGCTCACACCTGTAATCTCAGCACTTTGGGAGGCTGAGGTGGGTGAATCACGAGGTCAGGAGATCCAGACCATCCTGACCAACATGGTGAAACCCCATCTCTACTAAAATACAAAAAATTAGCTGGGCATGGCGGCATGCGCCTGTAGTCCCAGCTACTTGGGAGGCTGAGGCAGGAGAATTGCTTGAACCAGAAGGTGGAGTTTGCAGTGAGCAGAGATAGCACCACTGCCCTTCAGCCTGGGCGACAGAGAAAGACTCCGTCACAAAACAAAACAAAACAAACAAACGAAAAGAAAATAAAAAAGTATTTTGTATAATTGCACAGCATGTTTGTGTTTTAAGCTAAGTGTTATTACAAAAGTGTTCAAAAGCTAAAAAAAGATAAAATTTTGTAAGGTAAAAAAATTACACAAAGTGACAGCCAATTTATAATTGAAGAAAGTAAAATTGTTTTAAAATAAATTTAGCATAGCCTAAGTATACAGTATTTACAAAGTCCACAGTAGTGTGCAGTAATGTCCTAGGCCTTCACATTCACTCACCACTCACTCACTGCCTTACCCACAGCAACTTCTAGTACTGCTAGCTCCATTTATGGTAAGTACATATGATAAGTGAGAGGTGACAGTGTGCTGGCAGCCCTCGCTCACTCTCGGCACTTCCTCGGCCTTGGCGCCCACTCTGGCCATGCTTGAGGAGCCCTTCAGCCCGCCGCTGCACTGTGGGAGCCCCTTCCTTTGATGGCGAAGGCCCGAGCTGGCTCCCTCCGCTTGCGGGCAGGTGTGGAGAGAGAGGCACCAGCAGGAACCAGGGCTGCACGCTGCGCTTGTGGGCCAGCTGCAGTTCGGGGTAGGCACGGGCTTGGCAGGCCCTGCACTCGGAGCAGCCTGCCGGCCCTGCCGCCCCAAGCTGTGAGGGGCTTAGCATCTTCGCCAGCAGCTGCGGTGCTCTGGGATCCCCAGCAGTGCTGGCCCACCGGCGCTGCACTCAATTTCTCACCGGGCCTTAGCTGCCTCCCCGCTGGGCAGGGCTCAGGACCTGCAGCCCACCATGCCTGAGTCCCCCACCCCGCGGCTACCCCGCCGTGGGCTCCTGCATGGCCTGAGCCTCCCCGAGGAGCGCCGCCCCCTGCTCCGCGGCACCCGGTCCCATCCACCGCCCAAGGGCTGAGGAGTGCGGGCCCACGGCGCGCGGGACTGGCAGGCAGCTCCACCTGCGGCCCCTGTGTGAGATCCACTGAGTGAAGCCAGCTGGGCTCCTGAGTCTGGTGGGGACTTGGAGAACCTTTATGTCTAGCTAAGGGATTGCAAATACACCAATCGGCACCCTGTGTCTAGCTCAGGGTTTGTGAATGCACCAATCCACATTCTGTATCTAGTCTGGTGGGGACTTGGAGAACATTTATGTCTAGCTCAGGTATTGTAAACACACCAATCAGCACCCTGTGTCTAGCTCAGAGTTTGTGAATGCACCAATCCACACTCTGTATCTAGCTAATCTAGTGGGGAGGAGGAGAACTTTTGTGTCCACACTCTGTATCTAGCTAATGTAGTGGGGAGGTGGAGAACTTTTGTGTCTAGCTCAGGGATTGTAAACGCACCAATCAGCACCCTGTCAAAACGGACCAATCAGCTCTCTGTAAAATGGACCAATCAGCAGGATGTGGGTGGGGCCAGATAAGAGAATAAAAGCAGGCTGCCCGAGTCAACAGTGCAACCCGGTCTGGTCCCGTTCAGCACTGTGGAAGCCTTGTTCTTTCGCTCTTTGCAATAAATCTTGCTGCTCACTCTTTGGATGCACACTGCTTTTATGAGCTGTAACACTCACTGCGAAGGTCTGCAGCTTCACTCCTGAGCCAGCGAGACCAGGAACCCACCAGAAGGAAAAACTCCGGACACACTGCTTTTAAGAACTGTGACACTCACTGCGAGGGTCTGCGGCTTCATTCGTGAAGTTAGTGAGACCAAGAACCCACCAATTCCGGACACATAAGTACAAGTGTACCACTTTTTATCTTTTATACCATATTTTTATTATAACTTTTCTATGTTTATATTTAGATAGGCAAATACTTATGTCACAAGTGCCTACAGTATTCAATACAGTGACATGCTGTACAGGTTTATAGCCTAGGAGCAATAGGCCATACCATCCATATATTCTAGATGTGTAACAGGGTATACCTTCCAGGGTTGTGTAAGTAGACTCTGTGATATTTGCATGATGACAAAATCATGTAACAATGCATTCCTCAAAATGTATCACAGTTGTTAAAGACACATGACTGTACTATTTACAGACCACAATCTGAAAACTAGGTGTGCTCATATATACTGAATAAATCAATGCTCTGGCCCTTTTCAAGAAAAAAAATTACATAATAAGATCATACTGATGCTTCCAATTCAAACTTAAGGGATACTATACATATTATTTTTTATTTTATGCTGAGAATTTTGATTCCTATTATCATTTACATAATTATTTATCCTATTACATGTAGTTTCAAAGTAGCAATACAACTGTATTTTTAAGATTTTTATTATTAGTTGAAATTTAACATATCAATAGTTTGTCTTCAAATCCATTTCAGTAATTTTGCTAGATGCTATTATACTCCTCTCTATGGTGATTGATCCAATTTATGTCTGCATCACAAAATATGAGTACTGTCTCCCTAGACTTTTAGATTTTTTTCAGTCTGATTGGTAAGAAATTCTTTATCAGTTTAGTATTTGAAAAAGTGTTCTCCTTTGTCAACTTACATATTTTATTTCAGCTACTAGAAACATTATTCTGAAAAAAAGACCCGTAGGCTTCACCAAACTGCCACAATGAAAGGATTAAAAATGAGCCCCTGGTTGACAGGGGCATTGTGTGGGCATTTTTCACAGCACAATTCTACCAAGGAAATAATTGTGAGCAAGGACTCTTCCATGGCAGAGAGTCAATTTTGTTTTAATTTTTTCTTAATTAATTCCGTAATGTAATTTATCTTATGAGCTAGATTGACACCTTTTAATTTATTTAAGGCCACTTGCATTTTGTTTTTTTGAATTGTCTGTTGTTATCTCTTGCCCATTTTTCTATATTTTTTTCTTCTACTTTTATAGTTTTCTGCTGTACTTCTAGAAATTTTTCTGGAACTCCCAATACTTTGTGATATGGATTACAAATATATTTTTCTAAATATAATTTTATTACCATATTTATTTTTCTTTTTTCCCTTAGGTAAAAGTAATTTTTTTGTGTGTTTTAGTAGTAAAGTACATCCTTTTTCCACTTATCACTTCTGATTTGTGAGTTATAGATAAGAAAAGTTTCCCACTCCCAGGTTATTAAGAGATTCATCCATCTTTCTTGTAACACTTGTATAGTGTTAGTCATTTGTATGTTTATCTGTTTCTTCATTTTACATTTAATTCTTTGAGCCATTTGGTTTATCATGTTGCTCAGTGTGAGGAATGGATTCAGTTTAATTCTTTTTTTCCAAAACACTTTTGCCATTATTTGAACATCGCTTGTTTGAAAGTCCATTTTTCCTTCACTGATTTGAGCTGTATTCTTTTCATATTGTATCCTATTGCAAAGATATCCATGTGCAGTAGGGTCTTCTCCTAGATGTGGTAGTTTGTTTCATTGGTCTTTCTCTTTGTTCTTGTGTTAATAACACTTTTTTTTTTTTTTTTTTTGAGACGCAGTCTTGCTCTGTCGTCCAGGCTGGAGTGCGGTGGCAGGATCTCGGCTCACTGCAAGCTCCGCCTCCCGGGTTCACGCCATTGTCCTGCCTCAGCCTGCCGAGTTGCTGGGATTACAGGCACCCACCAGCACGCCCGGCTAATTTTTTGTATTTTTAGTAGAGACGGGGTTTCACCGGGTTAGTCGGGATGGTCTCGATATCCTGACCTCGTGATCCGCCCGCCTCGGCCTCCCAATAACACTTTCTAATTGCTGTGTTTTTACATTACGTTTTTTTCACCTGGTGGGACTAGCTTCTCTCCTTCAGTGTATTTCTGGGCACTCTTGCTTGCCCTTCCAGATGGACTTTATGATCAACTTACCTCATTTCAAAGAAAACAATAATCAGACAGTATTTTCCCCTGGGCTTGCATAAATTTATAAATTAACTTATGGTCTTCTCTATCTCCTCATTCTCCTTGTTCCACTGCTTTATAATTTTGGGAATAAAATTAGCACATGTTCAATATACAATAATTCAGTCAATACAGAAAACAGAAAGAGTAAAAAATCATTTAAACTCGACATTCATGAATGAATTTATAACATGAATTGAACACCACTGTATTTGAATCTACACATATGCCCTACATGAATATCCAAAAATAGAATTAGTTACATAATATATAGGTAGATAAAAATAATTCTATTGAAATGGAATATTTCTATTCATGCTGTATACTAAATTTTAAGGACCACATCTCTTTTTCATAATGGTAATGGAGGAAAGTGGAAACTGACATGAAACTAAAAACAGCAATGGGTTTCAGAAATATTTTTTGATCAGTAGAAATATTAATTCTTAAATGTTTTCTCTAAGATTAGAGAAGAAATTTAAAACAATATTTAGATGTTAGAATTATTTTTAAAAACAGATGATCACTTATCTAACTGCTATTTTAATGATGAAAAAATTAGCACTCTCATACATCTTCCTAACCTTTTTTTCTGGTTTTATTATTTGGCTTTTTAGTTAGACATATTGTGCTTTTTATGTCTCAAGGTTTATACCATTTTCCAACCATTCTGTATTACATGCAGTTGTTCAATTTTAAGTCTATTTTCAAATAGATTCAATCTGCTCATCCAGTTATCTTACTATATATCTTCTTCTAGGTTTCTTATTTTGATATATCCCTTGAGAGAATTTCATCATATTTTATAAAAAGGTACTAATTGAGAGACAATTGGCTGAGGTCTTTCATATTTGAGACTATGCATTGGTTGCCTTTATTCTTGGAGATCTTGATCACTTACAATGAGATTGAGTCCTGTTAGTAGAGGCTAGGTTATATAACAGAAACAAACTACCCTCAAAATCTTAGTGTTTTACCACACCAAAAGTTTCATTCTGCTCTACACAGTCACTGAGAGAGAATGTCAGGAAACAGAGGGTTGTACCCGTTTTTTCCAGAATATATGGCCACCACATCTGCCAAGGCAGTGGAAGAGAGAAAGCAGATAATTTATAATCATTTTTAAGTGCCTGGGCTTTCCAGTGGCACAGGTTCCTTTGTATCTTACTGTTTAGGCAGCACTTGTCACACAGCCTCAGCCTAACTGTAACAGAGGCTGGAAAACACATAGCAAGTTTGGAAGTAATTACTACCTACATCTCTGGGTCGGTGTAAATATTGTAGTCATATAATGATACAAAGAAATCTCTAGCAATGATCTTATTTTTCCCCTGTAGTTTATTTGCTTATATTTTCCAGATGTCGTAAAAGATTTTCCTTATTCTCAAAATTTAGGTCATAATTAGAAGAATTATCATGTAAGTAGTACTCATTTCTCCCCTAAAACAGAGAGTTTTCTGTTGTGTCAAACTCAGATTTTTCCTTTAGTTCAACAAAGTTTTATTTTGTTATACATTAGAACATTTTCTCCATTTCATATGTTAAGGGTTTATTTTAGCAGCTTTATTGAGATATTGTTGATATACAAAGAGCTGCAAATATTTCATGTGCAAAATATAATAATTCTGGACAGTATGTTGAATTTTTACAGCACAAACAATCTTTTCCATATTGTCATTTATTTTCATTTTCCTCGATCTTTCTGTGTTTTTCTTTTGAAATTTCCATGATTATTTTATTTGTCTTCATCCTCAATAGATTTGATTTTTTGATATCTCTATTCTGTTTCTATCTGCTTATAAGTTATTTAATTAGCGGTATAAAAGTATTAGTATAAGTCATTTAAAACTCTCAATCCAATTTTACTTTAATATCATTCTGTTGTTTAACCATGTCTCATTTGAGAAGTTTTCATGATATTATACTTTTATTCAAATCTTGAACATGAAAAACTCAAAGTGAAATTATCTTTTTATCTCTTAGTTTTCCAGATTTTTTATTTGTATTCTGCATGTTGTTTTCTTTCCTCTCCTTTCCCTTTTTCTCCCTTCTTTCCCTTCCTTCCCTCCCCTTCCTACCTTTCCTCTCTTCTCCCTTTCTTTTTTTGTAGATTGTGAGCAAATTTGCCATGACATTTCTTTTCATCTCGATCATGCATTAATGCAAGCTTCTCTGTTCAGACTTTCTATTTTCTCTAATTCAATACACGTGAATTCATCCTTCTCCACATGGCTACGACTGCAGACTATTTGCTATTTTATCCATTTTTTTTCTGAGGCCTAAGTTGTGAGGCTGCATGGAGTAGGCTTGTGAGGAGCCCAGAGAAGATTATGTATAGTTTTTGTTGGAAAACTGGGCCCTATACTTCCTTCTGACATTTTATTAAGGATGTCAGAGCTTGCATTACCAAGTGGGATGTGTTCTTTATTTTTAAACATGGATGCTTATTGGCTATAGATAATTCTCCCAATCCAATGATAACCCCTAGACGCTTTGCTTCCTTAAGTAGAGTCAGCCTTGTAGATGACAGCTCTTGTTTCACCAGCTCCCACTGGCAGCATTTCCTATATCCCACATTAAGAAAATGAAAAAGAAGATGGTATTCTCTCAGGTCCTTAAGTAAACCTTAGACTGCTTTACTTCATTAAGAGATATTAGTCACCATTTTCAAGTTCTGTTTCTCTTCTTAGCTGCCACTTTTGGAAATGTGCAACTGTGGTTGTCCTCCTTATTTGCTTGCTGCTGCGCAGGTTTTAAAATGTTGCTGTTGTCATTTTCACTAAGTCCTGGGGAGGGGATTCTGTGATCTGGATTCATCTCACCATCTTTACTCAGAAATCTTCAAAGATGTGTTTCTGAAAATGTGAACCCAGAACAACGTGCAGCAGAATCTCCTGGGATGCTTAAACGTAATTTTTCCTGGCTTTCATCTGAGATAGGTATACTGAAACAGAATCTCTGTGAATGAGGTCTAGTTATATACATTTTAAATAGATTCCCCAGTACATGCTTGTCATACTAAAATTTGAAAATCCCTGGCTATAAAGTCCCATTAAAGCTCTACTCCTGTTTCCAATCCATGAAAGAGTCTAAAGGTAATATTTCTTTTGTATTAATTTTGGAAAGCAGCAAAACTGTATCTAAATAAGGTATTTGTAGCAAGAAATTCTATCTTTGTATTCAGGGATGCCCACAGTTCCATACATATCTGCTCAGACTATAGGACATATTCTTATTCCAGACAGCTCTTTAGATAAAAGAGAAGTATACATAAAGTGCTGATGTATGCATACCCAGAGGCCCTGTTAGTGTTAAATAATCATAATCTAAGTTAATGTCTGGATTTGTACATAGCAACAGTATGCAATAATTAGTGCCTAGTTTTAAAGCTCTTTTGCCTGTAGGTTTGTTGAGAAATGAAGATGGGTTGTATCACGGTGAACCACAGGGAGTTCACAAAGAACAAAATGAAGTGTTTGCCTTTCAAGATATTTATTTCTATTTCAGAAAACTGTAATATTCTTCAGTATTTCATTTACAGAGCAAAAATCTTATAATCTGTATTTTCTCACAAAATGTGTCTGATTACATTGTTTATGTAGTTTTTGAAATCCTGTATTAAAATACTAAATATTTACACATAAAGCAAAGAAAGAAAATACAAACGTCAGTTCTGTTCTGGTCAAAATTATGATGGAAGCAATAGCTGCAAAACTGGCCTTCACCTTCTTCCCCTCCATGGATGTTTATCCTCTACACTGCCACTAGGAACCCCTTTATAAAGACTACTTTCCTTACAGAATCTGGCCCTTTCTGTGCCTCATGTGATATATTTCCATGTACCACCTTTCTTAGAAATATTAGAACATAAACCAAGTTTACTTAAGTGTCATTAATCTTTGGGTACAAATGAAGTTAATTTCTTTAAAAAGGCAAATGAAAATTGACATACAAATATTCTTACAGTAAAGTGGATTTTTAATGTATGTAGAAGTATAATATGTAATAAGATTATCAGATAGAATGGGTGAATGTAATTAGACTTGATGATGTTTTATGTATAAATATTAATTCTAAGTACATAGTGATAACTCAAGAATGCATATTTTACTCCACAGAGAAATTTCTAAAAATTAATGAAAAGGGGTATAGCCAAAAAGCCAAGAAAATAAATAAAATGGAAGGCCACCACTACCACCACCACCACCAACAACATTTGATTAGATAAAGAGGCCTAGAAAAGAGGAACAGAGACACAAAAAGCAAAAGCAAAATGAACACAAAAACCAGATGGGACAGATAGTAAGCTAGTAGCAAGATGATAGACTTAAATTGGTCAATTATTACATCAAAAATTAATAAATTAACATTTCAATTAAAAGGTAGATATTAGTCTGAATAAAAAAGCCACATTTAACTATGGGCTATCTACAAGAGATGTAGAATAAACGTGAAGGTGCAGATAGGTAGAAAGTAAAAAACTGGAAAATAACAAACTGGGTACAGTGTACACTGCTGAAGTGATGAGTGCACCAAAATTCCAGAATCACCACTAAAGAACTTATTCATGAAACCAGATATCACCTGTTCCCCAAAAACCTACTGAAAAAAGAAAGAAATCATGCATATAGAAAGCAAATTATTGTGTCTATGTCAAATAGTGCTGACGCTAAGCCAAGGAGTATTACCACAACAAATGTGGGTCATTTAATAATGAGAAAAGAATTAATTTAATAGGAAAATACAGCAATATTAACTTTATGCATCTAGTAACAGATTCTCAAAATATACAAAGCAAAAGTTGATAATTTAAAGGGAAAAATAGATGAATTCACAACCAGTTTAATATCTTATTGTTATATGTAGGACAGGACAATCACACAAAACAATTTACAAGGAAAGATGATTTGGACAACGTTGGCTACAAACTGACATAATCAACTTTTGGAGAAAACTGCAATCAACAGTGGCAGAATGCACATTCTTTTCAAGCGCACATGGAAGATGCACAATGCGGGAAAATAAAATGTGAATCTCAAAAATATCAGTTACTGAAATTTTACAGAATACATTCTTTGATCACAAAAGAAACTAAAAGAAAAAGCAATAGCACATATGGCAGACATTCAAATATTTGGACATTAAGCCAGAAATTTCTAACTAACTTACGAAACATACAAAAATCACCCAGGGATATAGAAATGATAATAAAAATGTAACATATCAAAATTTGGGGGAAGCTTATAAAGCATTTTGTAGAGAAAAATCATTTAAATGCCTATATTAGTAGAGAAAAAGGTTTAAAATCAATGATTCGAAGTTTCTACTCTAAAAAGCTAGGTAAAGAAGAATAAATTCAATGTGAAATAAGTTGAACTAGGTCATAATACGCATAAGAACAGAAAGCAATGAAGTAACACAGGCACACCATTAACTAGGGCTGCTCTTTGAATGAATAAATAAAATTAATCCCTAGTAAGCTCAATCAATAATAAAAAGAAATAAACACAAATTACAAATATCAAGAATTAAAGAGATATAACGATAGATATGAAAAGGACAATAAAGGAATATAGTAAGAAAATTTGTGCCAAGAAATTTTAAAAATTAGAAAATGTAATACTTAGTAAAAATGAACAAAGCCTTAAAAATGCTATAAAGCTGAAACAAAAAATATATGAATATTCCTATATCTCTAAGAGAGATGGAATTTTTAATCAATAAATTTTACTCCAAAAAATTCTAGAAGGAGATTTTTTTAATGCTGATTTCTACCAAATAATTTAAGGAAGAATAATATCTTATATAAACTCTTACAGAAATTTGAAAAGGGAAACATGCTTACCAACACACTTTATGAAGCTGATACAAACCTAATACAAACATCTCAATAAAGATGAGCGTGTGAAATTCAAGCAAATACAAAATGAATAAAAGCATCATGATCAAGTGTGTCTTATCTCAGAAATGCAAAATTGGTTCAACATTCAAAAATAATATAATATATCACATTAATGCAATTAAATAAAAAGTTGGTGTAATTCTTTTGGCCTTATAAATTTCTCTCTTGAAATTAATCCTGTTTTATAAAACTTCATTTTGTATTCATTTTGATACAGTTTTTATACTTTTTTAATACCTGGAGTCAATATGTTTTGTAGATATTAATATAATGTTTTTGACCCAATAAATGTCTTTTTCTTTAAAGAGATTGTATCTCCTTTGCTTGTTTGTTCTGTTTTGTATTGTTTTTCGGAGACAGAATCTCTCTTTGTTGCCCAGACTGGAGTGCAGTGGCCTGATTATGGCTTACTGCAGCCTCAACCTCCTGGGCTCAAGCAATCATCCTACCTCAGCCTCCTGTGTAGCTGGGACCACAGGCATGTGCCATCAAGCTAGGCTAATTTATTATTATTATTATTTTTTTTGAACACACAGAATCTCCTCATATTGACTAGATTGGTCTTGAACTGCTGGGTTCAAGCAATCCTCCTGCCTCAACCTCCCAAAGTGCTGAGATTACAGGCACGAGGTACCACACACAGCTTCCTTTATTTTTAATAGAATAAATATTTGATATTAACTCTGAAAATTTTGTCTTATATTTTCTATTTTAATACTTCCTTTGTGTTCATCCTTGTCCCATTGAGTGTTTTGTGTTAGTGTGTTCCTTTTAAGAACTTACATGTTTTGTGTTTGGTATCCTGTTGCTTTTGTAGATCAGTCAAGTTGCATTTGCAGAAAACGGAAACCACCCTGGGAAAGGATAAGTGGTTCTAATATAGAGAACTAAGTGCTGAAAAAAATGGGCTACAGGAATATTCTCTAGTCTGTGTCTTCAGGAATTACTTCTGGAACTGCACCTTAACACTGGCTGACCAAGGACAAACTGGCTACTATAAAAGGAAAGTGGGTGGTGAGGACCAACCACAGGAAGTGGTAACTGCAAGTGCACTCTGTCATCACCGTGATGCAAGGATCAGGAAGCCCTCTAGTGATAACTGCCCATGCACATATAAGAAGGGAGGAAGGGACACTGCTCAGAAGACGCCAGCATCTCCACAAGACCATTCTTGCCAGCAACAACTTCCAAAAGTATAGAAAACTGCATTGTAATCAGATTCCATTTTCCAAATCTTGAAAGAGGGCATCTAATTAGTAGACCAAGATTCACAGAATTCAAGGAAACATAGTTTGCAGCTTCCTTCTGTACCAGAAAGCACAGAGAAATAGAATGAGTAGTGCTTACAGGGACAGCTCATGGGTTGCTTTCTAATTGGAAATTTACTAATCTTTACAGGTGAATATTTTTTAAAGATCCCTCATTTTAATTTGCATGATTCCTCTGGAGCCATCACTATACTTTTGGCCAAAATTATTTATCTGATTCAGTTGTCCAGAGGGTTCACTACAAGTACATTTTCACACAAGGATTCTAGCCTGAATTTATTTAACTGACATTTCAAACTATGTACTTCATGATATTCCACCAACATATTTCAAAGCTATTGTTAGGTATAACATTTTACCTGTTATTTCATGGGAAAGGTACACACACCCCATATATCTTTTCTCTTCATTATCACCTTAATTTTATTTAAGAAATTTTTAATCTACATGGTTTGAATTATCTCCTTTGTTAAGACAAGGTAACTCAATTACAAGAAACAGAAAGTTCCCCATATGATACTGGGCAGATATAGGTTATTAAAACTGGTACTAGCAGGAAAGGGAGTGTGAGTACTTTGCATATAATCACGTACAATTTGGAGAAAGTGTTCTTAAAGCCCTTGGTTCAGTGGGGACCTGGGAAAAAATAGTGGACTCTTGACTGTCAGTTCAGTAGCATAATGAGTCTAAGCACATTCTGAGTGCTAGTTCTTAAAAAGAAATAAAAAGCAAGAAAACTTTGCTTCAGGTGATCCTAAAATGTAGCAAAGGAACTCTGCAGCACTTCTGGGAAAATTGCTGATTGGCATGAAAAAGAATTAAGTGCTTTTCTCATACCTGCATGCAATTTTAACTGTTCTATGAAGCTTAAATGCTGTTCAAAATGCCTCGAAGAGAATCAGGGAAGTTTTGTGCAAGCAAGAAAAGATTCTATGAAGCTGAAGAGAAAGCTGCTATTTTGCATTGCCCTAGTGTTTGTTTTAAAATCTATAAATTTGGGGAAAAATAAGTAGAAAGCATCAATAAGTAGAATAAATCAATAGTCTATAATTTCGATTGCATTTTACAATGGAATCAATACTTCTGCTTTCAGTAAATAGAAAACTCCTGATCATAACCCTTTCTTTGGAGTGTTCTGTAAACTATGCAATGCTTAGTTAGCATGCATTTGTTTTTCTCTACAAAAGCCTGATGACAATTATGTGTTTTATGCCCTCTCAAAAATTAAGCAAAAATTAAATATCTACCCAAAATATTTTATTTTAGAATTGTTTAATCTTTACATCTCAGTAAGTGTTGACTATATCTATGCATTAAATTGTCTTAAGAACAATAATATTTCTGCCTATTTCAAATACTATACAATTGAGCCTGCCACAAGAACTGTTATTGGCCAGAAAGAAAATAAGATTCACGATAAATACATGAATAAAGGCAGCATCATAATTTCTATTCCATTATAGACAGACTGAGTCAGTGACAAGAGGAGCTAAAGTACAAAATGTGGTCAGCTGGCCCAGCTAGCTTAAAACCTAGTTGTTTTTCTTTGCTTGAATGGTCAAGATCTCTTATGACAAATTTTGAATTACAAGAGAATGTTCAGTGTTACCAGTCTTATTTGTTATTTATTAAGTTCTTTGAATAGATTTTTTTAAAAGTTGACTGGTGTGAGTCTCAAAGAAACCTGAGGGATAGTTTAGGGTACATGTAGGAAGGTATTGAAAAGATTTTTACTGAATGAAGGATAGATTGGGATGTTGGAATGAGGAAGCAGAAGTACAAATTCCAGGGAGGATTACATTCTAGTAAAATGTCAGTTTCCAAAGGTCAGTGCCATCCAGTCTTTCCATGAGCCATTTTCTGTGCAATAAGCATGACTCCTGGGCATGATAGGATAGAGTTTTATAAGATTTCCTTTCTCTCATGCATCATATTTAAAGTTTCTTTTCTAAAAGGGAAGAAAGGTGCGTATCTGTGCCACAAGGAGTGGCTGACTCCAGCACAGTAACCTCAAGGGTAGCACCTTCAATGTTGATGAGGTTGGACTTAGCTGCTGGTTCTGGAAAGACAAAAGTGGACTAGAGGCTGTTGATAAGTTGGCTACTCCTCCCTTGTTTTTAGTTTCATTTCAGGTCAAGAAGTAGCCATTGGTCACCACGTCTGTAACATGCACTGTGCTGTGTGTTGGGCGTACAAAGAAGGAGAATCTGCAGTCCTCTTCCTAAAGGAGTGCATAGTGATTTCAGTCCCAGGCGGTAAAGGCAGAGAAGTTTGCTCAGGGCTATAGGGAAGGTCAGAGACAATCCTCTGGCTCACCTGAGAGGTTCAGAATAAGCTTTGAAGAGGAGATGGTGCTGAGCTGAATTTTCCACAATGAGTTAACCACATGAAAAAGCTGACAAAGGTCCAGGTGTAGTGGCTCATGCCTGTAACCCCAGCACTTTGGGAAACCGAGGTGGGTGGATCACATGAGGGCAGGAGTTCAAAATCAACCTGGCCAACATGGTGAAACCCCATCTCTACTAAAAATACAAAAAAATTAGCCAGGTATGGTGGTGTGTGCCTGTAGTCCCAGCTGCTTGGGAGGCTGAGGCATGAGAATCGCTTGAACCTGAGAGGCAGTGGCTGCAGTGTGCTGAGATCACACCACTGCACTCCAGCTTGGGTGACAGAGTAAGGCTCTGTCAAAAAAAAAAAAAATGCTGACAAAGGCAATCAGTAAAATTAGTAAGAAATAGCATCAATAGAAAACAGGTTTTACAAGCAACTTGGTATAACTAAATTTAAAAATGTAAGGTGAGAAATGTAGGTGACAAAGGCCAAGTCTTTGGTAGCAAGCTATTTACAGTATTTTATCTACAAATTGTTCCAACATGTCACGTTTGCTACTTTATTGAAATGTTTGATTGCATAACATGGAGAATGTGCAGTGTGAGATGATGCCATATTTTCACTCTCTAAGACCTCGGAAGACTAAGCAGCTTTAATCACCTAGAGTTTCAGTCATTTCAGTGAATATTCATAGAAATAGAGGTGACCAACCAGCAGCGAGCTCAAGTGGCTGCATCTACAGAGTGGGTTAGGAATGTGGTGAGGTGTTTGGCAGTGGAGCGGTAGGCAGTGTGGGCAATGCTGTCTGAAAGGTTATCTCTCTAGTCTCCATGGGGATACATGAAAAACTAAAATATAGATAATAACATTCATTCATTCATTTATTTATTCCTTTTTTAGAGACGGGGTCTTGCTATGTTGCCCAGAATGGAATGCAGTGTCTCTTCACCGGCACCATCCTGGCATGCTATAGCCTCAAACTCCTGGGCTCAAGCATCATCCTGCCTCAGCCTCCCAATTAGCTGGGACTACAGGTGTGCATCACTGTGCAGAGCTAATAATGTCCTTTCTGTATGAATTATCGAGACTCAAGAAAGCACTTTGATAGGGGAAGTGAATACACTGGGGACAATTAGTGGGTGGATGTGTCTGAAGTGAGAGTAAGGCTCTCTTCAGCTGCAGCATGAAAATAAGGTGACCAGTTGAGGTCCTGGTTTTCCAGCTGAGCTCTCAATCTCGTCTCACAAGACTGATAAAAACGATATCTTTAGTTTTCCAGGACTGGCTAGAAACAATGCAGGGATATTATCAACATCTCGTTATTTTGTTCTCATAATTATTTGATTAATGATAATGACTCAGCTGCTTTGTAATACTATGTATGTCTTTTATTAGCCTTATAACTTCCCTTAACAGTATAGGGACCTTGATTTCTTAGTTTTGCCAAGAGAGCAATAAACTCACAGTCAAGTTACTTTTTTAGAATGTGTATAGTTCCCAGGTGAAGGGAATTTCAGTTCACTTAGATATCCTTTAATTTTCACATTCATTCCAGCCTCATTTCTACTCTGCATATGTCTCCAGTATATTTTTGCTCATGACACAGAAATATCAGTTCCATTCTTTGCTGGAATTAACAAACAGCAAAATATCTCACCTGCTGGACAGAATGCATTGATCTGCTATTTTCTATCTGTCCTAGAACCTCTTGTAGCACCATTGTTTAACACATTCTTGGATTCATATTTAGAGCATCAGGCTAATTCATGTTTGCTGATTTGCATATGAAGGCTAGATGTTAAAGTAGAATTTAAAATATTTGGTTATATCTACTGTTTTTACCCTCTCTAATTTAGTAGAACGTTTCTGGATGTCATATTGTGTGGTTTAGTTAACTATTATGCACCAATTATACTAATGTTTAAATAATAGTTTAACATATTTTTAACAATGTTTAACTTATTATTTGTAGTATATAACCAGGAGAAAGTCTTCAGTTATACAGTAATTTATCTTTCTTTCATAAAGCTAAAAAGATGTTAATTTGCATGATTTTAGCTGAGTTTTCAGTGTGGACTTTGCTTCTGAATTGTGTCCAAGGCTCTGAGTCGGTTTTAAGACCTTACATCTGCATGGTGCTTTGCCGTTTAAGAAGGAATTCCACATTAATCTTCAGCTCTGATTATTCAAGTTCATCCCGGTTCCTGTTACAGTCACTGCTTGAATAAATGAATGAACCAAAACCAGAATTGACTTTGGTTTTCCTAACATTGTGAGTTTGTTGGAACAGATATCATTATTATGGAATAATGTGATTTTGTAATATTATATAATATAATTATTGTATTTTTCAGATAAAACAGCTGCTAAAATTTATTTGTACAGCTGACCTTGGAATAACACAGGTCTTAACTGCATGGATCTATGTATGCATGGATTTTTTTTTCAATAAAATTACACTAACTGTGCCTGCCTCTCCCGCTTCCCCTTCCACCTCCTTCATCCTTTCTTCCTCTGTCACCTCTGAGATAACAAGGCCAACCCCTCCCCTTTCTCTTTCTCTTCATTTGAAGACAAGGAAGTTGAAGACTTTTATGAGGATCTGCTTTCACTTAATGAATAGTAAATATATTTTCTCTTCCTTTTGATTTTCTTAATGACGTTTTCTTTTTTCTAGCTTACTTGATGGTAAGATAAAGTCTATAATACATATAACATACAAGATCTATGTTAATCGACTGTTTTTGTTATTCCCAAAGCTTCTGGTCAACAGTAAGCTATTAGTAGTTAAGTTTTGGGGGAGTCAAAAAGTTACACATGGATTTTCTACTGTGCGGGGTTCGGCACCCCTAATTCTTGCATTGTTCAAGAATCAGTTGTATTACACTTTCTAGTTACAATGCATTTAACATCTTGTGCTATTTAAAACAACCCTGTCAGGCAGGAGGAGAAAAATGATTATCTCTGTCTAGCAGATAAGAAAAGTGAAATTCAAAGGTCAATGACCATCTCCAAATCACAGTGCAACAGCATTGCTAAGACCTGAATTCAGTCTGTTTCATCATAGTTCGCTGCTCTTTTAAAAATTCCACCGTGCCTCTTAGGGCATATTAATCACCATGTGTGGGAGTGGGTGGGGGCTGTCAGAGGGGCAGCATCTGGAGTTTTACCTGGTCAGGACAGAAGTCCTCCTCCCTGCTGGAATGATGAGCCTCTGTGCTTTGTTCCTTCTCTGCAGTGTGGCCAAAGTGATGGGCTTTTACAAAAGGGCACCATGGGGCATTTTCGGGGTAGCTTGGGATGGTGATTGGGAGTAGCTCACATGACACATGTTAGGATGTTGCCAAACTCATTTTGGCAAGGCTATTTGATAGTAAAAGGATATAACGCTAGCAGCCTCTGTTGTCCAACACCAGGGAGATAATTCTTCTGTTCTTATCCAGCATGGTGCCAAGCTCTACGGGAACAAAATGGAAGAAGGAGGAGGCAGAAAACGAAGCCCTCAGGTCCCTTAGGTTCAGGAATGCACATAATTAATGCCTTCCTTGACCCTTAGGAAAGCCAGAGCGCTAAGCATTGGGAATATTTTACATTAACAAAACCATATTTGTTTAACCAGTATCCTGTCCTTTTTTATTGCCACATCCTGGGGAATTTTTGAATTTATTCAAAAAATGTCCTGCAATGTTAGTACTGAATCTAATGGCTGGGCTGCATTGCTTCCTGTTACTCTCCATCTGGCCGTTTGTACTAACACAACACTTAGGGGAATACTTTCTATGTAGATGTCAATGCCCTGGCACAAAGGAGAGACTTGAGACACTGGACATAACTTTGTAAAAACTATCTCGAAGAATTAGAATATTGAAACATGAGACATCTGACTGGAAATACATACTGGATGTCACAAAATTAATTAGCTTATTTAAAATAATGATATTGCCCTTTTTCTTTTGTTTTGCAGTTTATAAAAATGTCACCTAATTATTACTAAATGTTAGATTAATATAGTTAGTTTAAAATGTGGGTTTTTCATCGTTAGACCTGAAGTGTTAAGCAACATAAATGAAGTGGTTGACTTTGTGACACTTACTTCTGATAAAGAAGGCAAATATCTCTCCTAACTTTTTTGCTTTATGAGTAGAAACAAGAGCACCAGATTTAAGGCTTCAAGGATTTCAGATAATTGCAAGTTGAGACATATAATATAGAAATACTATGTCAGAAATCCATGTAAAAGAATGGAGCCACATCAATTAGCAAGCAATAAAATACTTTTAAACATAAGCAGGCAGATTTGGAAAAGAACCAATGAGAACTTTCAGAAAAGGAAAATACAATTGGTCAAACAAGCAAAATCAGTGGGTGGTTTAAACAGCAGATTTGACATGACTATAGAGAGAATTAGTGAATTGTTGAAAAAGGACAAAGAGATATAAAAAAGTTACTATGGTGGATGCCCAGGGCTTAGTCTTACTAGAACCCCTCTGAGTAACTGTTGAATGTGCATTGAAATAATTTCTCAAAGGACTATAGGCAGGAAGCTTTACCCACTGGTTTTCATTCTCCATTATTTAAAAGTCACTTTCCAGTGTTAACCCCCCTGTGTCTCTAGGCTGTGCAGAGAGAATCTAGAGCTTTGAGCTTGAGGTGGGTGCCAATGGCCTGCAGGGAGCTGTCCATGGGTCCGATGGGCCAAAGGATTATGGCGTGGGAAGTCAGCCTGATGCAGACTGAAGAAGAATCACCGGAAACAATAAAAGTTAATGATACAGGTGCCTTGGCTGCATCTCAGGCTTAGAGACTCAGAATCTTTGTAAAGGTGACTTAGGAATCCACATTTTTAAAAAGCAAACCTCCAGTGTGTTTTATCATATTCACTAAAGTTTGAGAAATGTCCTGATGTCCTTTATCTGCAGTACACAGAATTTAAAATTGAAGTATTTCTTCTCAATTTTAGCTTGCCTCAAAATATTGCTATAGTGATAGCCTTGGGGAAAAATACCATATTACTATTTATTTTGACCAAAAGAAAAAAATAAGAAGAGCTTTTATGACTTCAGGACCTGAGTTCCAGTAAGAATTTCTAATTATGCTCCTTCCCCACCTTAATCCTTTTGGATTGCAATAGGATGGGAAACAAGTAAGTTGGAAAGTGTTACATTATTATTTTAAAATAGGGAAAATGTCCTCACATTTACTTTGACTTTTCTGATCCACTTTACCATTTACACACTTATATTTATATCCAGTGTCGTAACATCCTATACCAACCTCAATATTTCAGAAAACGTGAAACTACCTAGAATTATTTATTTTTTGGTAAAAACTTTCAATCAAATGTAACAGCTTCTTCTCTACCTGCTTTCTCTGCAGGCAACTGGTTTTAGTGATTCCTTTCTTCTTCTGCCACTTTGTCAGAATACCCTGGGGTGTTCAGCCTCTTAGCTCATGGAAACCTCATCTCTTCTACCCAAAGACAATTGAACCTAGAGATATATGACATAAGAGAAACCAAGCATTGCTCCCATCAAATGTATTATATACACTGTTTACACACAGGGGCCTTTTCTAGCTTACTAAATCCTACCTCAATTGCCTTGTTTCCATTGCTCTGAGACAAGAAATAAAGACAAACTGATGTGGTATTTC
Organism: Homo sapiens; assembly: GCF_000001405.40. Taxonomy (NCBI): domain Eukaryota; kingdom Metazoa; phylum Chordata; class Mammalia; order Primates; family Hominidae; genus Homo; species Homo sapiens. Next base: position 107,410,739 of record NC_000002.12, read on the forward strand.
ATGTCTCAATCCAGACATAGCTTGAAAGAGGTTCTCTGTATATGCCCACCTATGGCTCCTTACCTGTGGGTGAGTCCCTACATCCTTCCACAGGACCCAATGTCCTCTTTAATTGAACCTCTGCCAATTTCCTCTTGTGTTCTATAGCCCTTGTCTTTTGATGACCTTCCTTTGGATTCAGTGTTTGTGGTGAAAACTTCCAGTTTAAAATCTTGTTAGTACAGAAAATGTTACAATGATTAATGATGTCTTCTTAAAAAAAAAGATAACTTCTCAAATGCCTTCCAAAGAGGTACTTTCTTTATGAAAAAGAACATTTTATCTCTGAATTATTTTAATTATGTTCTGCTGACAGAAAACATTATGCAGGAGGCCATCATTCCAGAGGGCTCCTCACAGTGGATGTTTGTATAAACACAGTTATACCTTTCCTCTTCCTTTCTTCCCTCTTCCCTCCCCTCGCTCCTCCCATCTTTCCCTCTTTCTTTTCCTCCATTCATTCTTTCTTCTCCCTGTATGTTTCCTTTTTCTTTCTTTCACTCTTTCTCTTTTACCTTTTTCTTTTTTTTTTTTTTTTTGGCATTTCTTTTACTTTTGAGAACTCTCTGCTAAGGGCTAACTCAGGTAAAATATTAATAGATGTCAAGATGTTTGAAAAAACCAAGTTGGTAATTATAGGGGAAAGGTATGCAGCATAACACAGGGCAATGACACTGTGCCAAGCTAAGAATAAGGCTAGCAAACTATAGATGACGTGTGCATAGTGGGAGCTGTACTAAGTAAACCTAGCAGCGGTTAGAACAGGGAAATCTTCAGTAGTCTTTATATTTTGACTTCAAAGCAGCAATTTGGCTACTTAAATACTGCAAAAGATGGGATTTAGAAAGCTATAAAGGATAAATAATGTAGATAAATAAAAGGTAAATGATGTAGATACATCTCAATGTAGATAAATCTTGTGGCTTCTTTTATACCATAGATCTGTAGGCTGACCATATGTCCTGGCTCATGCAGGATGGCTCTTGTTTACACTTGTCTTAATTCAATAATAGTGGCTCCTTTTATTCACAGCAGTGTTCTAGTTTGGATGGTAAGGTATACGTTCACATAATATATCAGCAAAATGTTTCTGATAGGTATTTTTGAGTCATTTGAGAGTTTTGGGCAGTCTTGGGCTCATGCTTCCTTAACCTGTACATTTGTAGGTTGAAAAAAAGGATTTCAGGAATCTAATTATGCTTGAGGCTCTGCTTACATAGCATACAGCTGAAACAATGTCTCTCGATACACTGTAAAGTAATAGCCTACACACTGTAAGCTGACAGACCAGAATAACTGTTGGAAACCTCTGGATGCAGGGGTAGTTTTGTCTAAGAAAAGCTATAGTGTTCTGTGAAAAGTGTCTGGATGAAGTCATGGACAAAATAAGGTAATGAGTGGTGATTGCACAAACCAGATTCCTTGCCCTGATAAATAGAGAGAAAAAGTAATTTCGCATCATCAAACTCCAGCTGAACTTGCCAATATATAAACGTAGAAAATCAGCCGCCATTGTTAACCAAACTTATCCAAATGTGAAAGGGAGCAGGGAAAAGAGAAATTCAAGTAATTCAACAGTTCTGAGATCTATGAATAATAGGAATTAGAGAAATGGAAAAATTTAGCACAGTGTTAGGATAAGTGATTCATGCCTCCAGAGTTCACATGCAGTATTATCATCATAAAAGAAATATGTGTAATTTTTATTAAAAAATAAAAGTATCTTATAAGCTTCAGAAAGAGAAATTTTAAGAAAAGGGATTTTCAGAAATTCAATCTTCATGGTTGTAAGAAAAATTAAAAGTTAGGGTCATGACCCACTTAAATGTTCAAAGTCATATTTGGTAAGTTCTTGTGTCAAAGAGTGCTTTCAGTCATCATTATGGAACGTGAGAACCTGGCAAGCTGCAGCCGAGAACATTGTCTTCTGTGTCATAGTAAAGATGTTCAGTTTTAGACCCTGAGCTAACATTCAGCTCAGAAGTCTCTCAGTGAGAGTTGGGAAAGAAAGAAAAACATTCTGAGAAGCTTAATGTCAGGCAGTATTATTTGTTATATTTTTAAGAATCTGTGTGTGTGTACGACTATTTCTTTTCCCTGCTAAACACTGTACTCAACTGTGAGTAGCAATGAGAAATTTTGTGTTATCATCATAGTTGATACAGAAAATTTAGTAACTACCATTAAGGGTATCAGAGGTAACTGCATCTGTCACTTACATGGATTTGGTAGCAATACTAGGAGAAAGAGACGGGTTCATTTTCACTTTACCAACTGATGTGGCAGTGTTCAATATAATCTTCTTTGATATATTCACCAGGAATCTTTGTCAACTGTATGAATGTGGTCCCTGACTCATTCTTGTTTGGAAAGGGGCTAAACAGCTAACATAATAATGTCAAAATTTGAACTATTTTTAAACCCCAGGACTGACTAAATATTACTCAGTCAAAAAAGAAATTTGTTTGAATTATTTGGCTTGGTATTTTAGACCATGAGTAATGTCGCAGCCTATTTCAAAATCTGCCTCTTGACATTGGCTATGCAGACCTATAAAGCCATAAAGGCTAAATCTTTCTTAATTGGACAAGCAACAGTGCCCTGCCCCCAAGCCAACACACTTAATGAAAAATGACTGGGATCATTTTTTGCAAGTATGGTAAAATAAATCTGGATCAAACAAAATGTTCTGACTCTTTATTTTACTTAAGAATATTTGATGTTCTGCTCCACTGAAATAGTAGAAGGAAAATGAATTAGGAATTTCTAAAAAGCTATCTGAAAAAATTTACAACATTTTCTGCCATGAGTGTTACATCTTTGTTGGCAGACAGTGAACTCTCCAGATCATTGCTCTTGATTAGCAATTTGTAGAGCTAAATCTGGGATTATGATGTAAAAACCACCAGATAAAGAAGAAAATGTGAAAACAGGTTTCTCTGTAACAGCTAAAGAATGCCACAAATTAATTCTTTTTAAACACAAGCATGCTTCCACAAGAGTGTTTTCACTTGATTCTAGAAGGTGTTTTAGCACAGTGCAGCTCAAAGTGTGGCCTATGGCCTGGTGCTGGTGTACAAACTGTCACCATTCTGAGACAAGATAAGCAAAAAAATGAGCCTAAGAAACTTTTACAGCCATTTAAATAACTGAGAGTAATTTTTCCATCTGTTGAATCTACTAAATAAATGATGTTTTATTATATTTTTAATTTTTTCCAGAAATTTCATTTTTATATATTTTATATAAGTGAAAAGAAAATTTAAATACTGTCATTTCAGCATATGTAGCTTGAGAAACATTGTTCTAGAACTCAAAAATTACTTCTTGTTGGTTTTCCAAACAAAACAAAAAAGTCAAAAAAGATGCCCAGTGACATCCCAATACCTTTGGAGATCATGACTCATTTAGTTGAAAATGAACATCGAAGTCAGTAAGCTTAGCAGTATTTATAACTTATCCACGCGTTACTTTTTTAACAGAAACAACTGAAATGCAAAGGTATTAAGAGTGTATTTTGACAGATCTATAGTTGATAATCTCACATACATGAAACTCGTTAAAAATTTAAGGCCATGGAGTCTACAGAGCAGAAAGAATAAAGAGTAACTCGGTTAAAACTAAAGTTAGGGACTCTAATTCCAGCTTCATCCAGAGGACTTTCTTTCAGTGTTCATCTAGACAAGACTTACATTTCCTATCCCCTTGTGGTGTAGCTAGGCCTGTTAACCAGCATCAGATCCAAACAGGAAGGGCAAATGGACTTGTCCCACACTGGATCTCTGCCTGTAAAGTACCTCTCTTGAGAGTCCCGCAGGATGTGGCTAACGACAATGAGCTCACAGAGGTGAATCAGTAGGTCTCCCTCCATCATCCTAAGGAGGAACAACCCTGTTCAACAAGCTGCACCAAGTTAAATTCAAAAGTGATTTGTTTTCTCAAATTTTTCAATGAAAAGAAAACAGATAAACACTTTTCCGTTTTAAGCTTTCCATTTACCATTATTTAAAAGCTCTCAGTGTCTTCTTTCTCTCTGAATCTGCCTTCCAGCAGTAATTATGAAATAAATTGACAGACAATCCTTTTTTCCTTTAAATGTGATTTCTTAAAAATGTGTACTAAAAATGTTAAGATGAAGAGATACATATTACATGGAGCTACATTTTTTTTTTGCAAGAAAACTGTCTTCTTAGAACATAAAAAGGAATAAGTTGCTTTATGCTAATGATCAACATGGCATCAAGGTATTATGCACCTGAATACATTTTGAGGCTGATTGGCTGAGATCAATGCATGACAAATTCTTTCTATTCTGGGCAGATGGTCCATCTTATAAATGCAATCTACAGCTATTCACTTCAGCGCCTGGGGTTGTAAGGGAATTTTATTACCTCCTAGAATAATGTTCTTATGCAGAGCTACCTCTTCATAGCTAGGTAATTAATTGGATTTGTCCATTCATCCATCATTAAATATTTATATCATCTATGTGCCAGGTGGCCAGTGGTCACTAGGCTAATTAAACCTAGTGTGGTTAATAAAAAACCAAGATCCCAGATCTCATGTAGGTAACAGTTTAATGGGAGAGGCAGACAATGAATAAAAAGATAAATACTTAATTATAAATTGTGCAAAGTGTTAAGCAGGAAACATGAGTAGGATGCAGTGATAGAAAAGTCATGAGGCGCTCTCTGTCTTCATCTGTCCCTAAGTCCTGGCCTAGAGATGGTGTCCGTTTATCTCTTTTCAGTTCATGGCTCAATAGTTCTATGAAAACCTCTTCACAATCGATCCTCATGACTCTATGGGACACTTATTTTAAAAAATCTCATTTGTAGACCTCACGTTGGACTAACTGAATCAGAATCTCTGGGCATGAGGCTACAAAAATTAGCTGGGCATGGTGGCACACACCTGTAATCCCAGCTACTCAGGAGGCTGAGGCAGGAGAATCGCTGGAACCTGGGAGACGGAGGTTGCAGTGAGCCAAGATTGTGCCACTGCACTCCAGCCTGGATGACAGAGCAAGACTCCATTTCAAAGAAAAAAACAAAAAGTTCCAAATTTGAATGCAATGCATAGTGAAGGTTGAGGAACTCCATTCCCACTGAGGCAGAATTTCATGAGTGGTGCCACAACGAATACCCCATCTGCCTGGTTTTCTCTCTGGACTGCTAGACTCACAGGGGACTCCTACATCAATCATCACAGCCAGCTGTGTGGCCTGGGGTAGTGCTGATGCTATGGCCTGCAGAACCCTGGAGCTGTGACTAGTCTCTCCTGGACCAAAAGTCCACCTAACCTTCACAGGAGAGCCCTGTCTCTCAACCGGCTGCAGAAATGATGAGGGGAGCTACAACTTGCCAAAAATGAAAGTAAAAGCTGTTTCTCCACCTTTCAAACACATTCTCCAAAGTTTCCAACTTTTCTTCACATCACCTCCTTCCTCCTGGCCTTTGGATAGGAGTCTCGAATTCCTCCCTTTAATTTTTCAAATTCAATCCATTGTGCATTTCTGTACAGTGTTTCTCTGACACACCCCTTTCTTTCCACTCTTGCTGCTCCCACCTTAGGCCTAAGTATGGCATCTCGTTTGGACGTGCACAGCCTGCAAACCGATTATTCCCGAATTCATTTCTGAGAAAACACTTTCTAAAGGGCCTTCACATGTTTTCCATTGTAAAGTTTCATTTTTTCCCCCATGTTGTTTTTCACCCTGGTGCCTCTCCCTCCATTGATTATAATTTCTTGATTTCCTGAAGCAGTTTTGATAACAACCATTCTTTTACTTCATCTTCCTAGAATTAGACAAATGTCTTAATTCCTGTGTTAAAAATTCGAACTGCATTAATAAATGGCTCTTCACAGCAAAAATAGAAAAGAAAACAAATAAAACAAGTCAACAAATCTCACCTACCTCTTCCATTGTTATCTGTTGAAATCCTACTCATTTTTCATGGTCCAGCTCAGATGCAATTTTCTCCATGAGGACTTCCAAGGTCAAACCTGTAAAAAACAACAACAACCGTAAAAAACAACAACCACAAAAAACAAACCTCTACTTGGTGACTCTGCCTCTGAATTTTGAAGGTATGCCGTCTGTATCTTTTAGGAAGTCATTACCAACTACCTCTCATTAGAGATATTTTCATAGGTATCTTCTTATCCTCCCTACTTTGCTCAAGCTTCATAGAAGCCTTCATTTTTCGCCCTTTGCCAGGATTTGTCACTGTCTTTTACAAATAAATATTTTTGAAGTAAATAGACCACTAGATAAGTCAATAAATGAAAATGTTAATCAGAAACATTATTCTACCAAATCATTTTTTAAACCAAGTCAATCACATATTTCAGCAATATACAAAACTCTCATCATAATTACTTCTGGATTTATTATTCATGAAACTCTTCGTGTGCTGAGCCAAGCAGTGTTATTAGGCAGTTACTATGTGCCAGAGACTATGATATAACTGTGGGATACTATGGTGAGAAACAAAACTGAACAGAACAGTAATTATCCTTGCTTTTAAGAAATGCATAGACCAGTGGGTGAACTAGACATTCGCCAGATTAACACACAAATGAATGAGTAACCGCAGAGATGTAAACTACTTAGAAGGAGACTCCCTTCTTTTTTGAGAGTCTACTAAATAGGGAGAATTGATCCAGGCTGGGGAGTCAGGCAAGGCTTTCCAGAGTGTGTATTGTTTGAGGTGAGGTCAAGATGTGAGAGAGGAGAATTACAGAGGGAACATGTGTACAGTCCTTGAAGGAAGAGAGAGCATGGAGGTGAATGAAGCTGCAGGAGCGCCAGCATAGCTGGAGGGAATTGCGAGAGGTGCAGGAAAGTTGTGGACAGGGCACTCTTTGGGATGAGAAGTGATCAAATGTGTGTTTTGTGCAGAACTCTCTGACCATGGTGGTAAAAATAGATTGAAAGGCATAGTAGGTTAGGTAGCTGTAAAAGGACCAGTTAGGAAAGCAGCCCATGGGTAAGATGTGATGCGGTTTAGACCAAGGTGGTGGTGATGAAGGGAACTGGATAGAGTGGGTGATGTTGAGGTGATAACTGTGATGTAAGGTGGTGAGGTTCTGTCCTGAGAGGATGAGGGCCAGGGAGATGTCCAGGAGGCCTTCCAGGTTTCTGGCCAACTCAAATGTTTGGTGTTTGGAGGTGTTGACATTCACTAAGACAGGAAATTAGATGGCAGGCTGAGAGGAGTTAAGTAATATCTCAGGAGTGTCAGACGTAGCGAACATTATTTAAAATATTGCTTTCTCGTTGCGTTTATTCTATTTGCTTTGTATATTCACTAGGCTCTGGCTGCAGAACTGAAATAGTCAATCTCAGAAAATCTGAAGAGAAGGAATTAATGTAGTGTCTGTCCCACTGGTAGTTATTATTTCAGTCAGAGCTGAGGCTCATATCTCCTGTGCTTACACACCTTAGGTGTTTTCAAGAGGGCTCATAACCTTGACCAGGAAGAGGCTGAGAGAGAGCTTCGAAGCTTAATTCTGTAGTTAGAGGGAAAAAATGCTCCTGAACCTCTTCCTTGTTGAAGAGGCATTTGAGAGCACAGGAAAACTACTCATTGCAATGTAATAATTCTACATGATTTGACTCTGATGCAAGCAGATTTATTCTGAGTCCATTGAAACTTGAACTTTAAAAAGTAATGAAAGTAGTCAATGCTGGAAAAGACCAGATGTTTTTAAACCCACATTTTAATAATGCTTTTCTCTCTTTAATGAGATTACAGGAGAATTGTATGTGGGTTTTTATAAGTTTCAAAATCTTAAAAAATAAACTATTTTATTTTTGAATTAAAAAAACCTTTTTAAGTTCATAACTTTATGTTCTTGATTAAGTTCTGCATAGATTTTTCATTGAAGAGATAAATGTGCTGCCATAGGAAATGTGCAATGGGAGGGGTGATGTCCAATGCTGACGTTTGGCATCTGCTTTCATGTTAGGGATTACACTGGAACTTGATGGAGATGCCATCACAGCAGCTGTTCATTCACAAGGAATAAGAAATAATGGAACTGCTTATCAGTGAATGCCTGGGCTTGCAGAACAACTGTTCATTAACTTTGCTGAGCCAATAAGCAATTAGAGGACTGTAATGATACTCAAGGTCCCATGGCTAAAAAATCCCCTGCATGCTCTGGGCCGACACAGTCCAACAACTGTTTTATTTTTAGCACAGGAGAGTGCTTTGTTTCAAAGTTGGCGTGCCAGATTGCAAGCCTATGTGCAGTGTGCTGTTTTAGGATGCTCACTTTGGTATTTGTATTGCTGTGGCTGCTGTGTACTAGTATAATATTTAATGACCTTTCATTAGACAAGTTCCCTAAAGGTCTTTTTTAAACGGAAGGCTCAACTTTCAAAATCTAATCACCATATATAATCAAATATGTGCCCTGAGAATGAAAAACAGGGTAATGTTTACCACCTGCTGTAGTTCTTCCAGGTGCTGATATTTGCATTTGTCACAAAATATCACCAGCATTTCCTTATCTGCTGTCTCCTTCAGCTTAGGTTGCCACAACAATACCACACATTGGGTGGCTTAATGACTACAAGATTATTTTCTCACTGTTCTGGAAGCTTGAAGACTGAGCCCAGGGTGCCAGCATGGTTGGGTTCTGGTGAGGGCGCTTTTTCTGGCTTGCAGACAACCACCTTCTCACTGTGTACTCACATAGTGGAGAGAGAAAGAGAGTGAGCTTTCTGATATCTCCTTTTATAAGGGCACTAATCCCATCATGAGAGCCCCCTGCTCATGACCTCATCTAAACCTAATTACTTCCCAAAGGCCACATCTGCAAGTACCATCAGGTTGGGAGTTAGTATTTTGCAGGGACAAAATTCAGTCCATAGCACCTGGAGCCTGCTTCCTTCTAAACATCCCACCCTGGGCTAGAGTAGAGAAACTTGAGGAGATCACAAAATGTGCACACACACACAAAAAAAAACCCCACAGGATGCCTTTACAGCAGTGGGGCCCATATTTCAGTCTTTCAAGGTCACCTGTTTCAGTTATCTTATATGCTATGTTTTATACTTTCATTTTATTGTTCCCTCCTTTACCTAGACATTTTGCTAATAGATATGCTTAATTTTATCATTTGTTACTAGGAAAGCAATTCATTTTTCAATTGACTTTTATTTCTATAAGTGCCTCATAAATTACTGTTGTCATTAAGTTTCCAAGTTGTGACTAATGGTATTGACAAGTCACCCCACGTGTGATTAAGTGCATGAGCAGAGAATTGCTCCTGGGTTGACGCCTCATGCAATTTGGTAAGTACCAATGTCTGTCCCTGGACATTCACAAAGTTGCACATTGTAAGTGCTGACTCTTCTGTGAAATACTGCATCTGTTTCTTATTTTGCACAGCACGTAGGTTTTCTTGAAGTATCTATTAATGCCCAGTTAAGATGAAAAATCCTGAAATAAAAATGTTTTATCTTAAAAGCTTTGAAATTCCTTGTACCTACACATTGAATGATTAAAATAGCAAAATTGTGAAAACATATTTATGTGCAAAATTAAGAAAACTTCATTCTTGTCTTAAACTGCAGGGATGCTTGTTTTCTACCACAAAGCCTGTGAGCAAAAGTAAAGATTCGGAAAGTTGAATAACACACTGCCATTCATTTCCTCAATTCAATGACCAGTGACAGTAATTGATTTTCCCCCAACTTTATGTCTTGAAATTTCAAACCTACAGAAAAGTTGAAAGAATAATTCAGTAAGTTTTTGAGATCTATTGCACAGTATGATGACCCTAGTGTATTTTTATTATAAGGTAGGGTATATTTCAAAACTGCCAAGGGGTTAAATTTTAAAATGTTCTCACCATAAAAAATAATAGGTATGTGAGGTAATGTATATGTTAACTTGCTTGATTTAATTATTTCACAATGTATGCATACATCAAAACATCACATTGTGCCCCATAAATATATACCATTATTGTCTGTATTAGCCCATTCTCATGCTGCTAATAAAGACACACTTGAGACTGGGTAATTTATAAAGGAAAGAGGTTTAATTGATTCACATTTCAGCGTGGATGGGGTTCAGCATGGCTGGGGTTCCTGAGGTTCCATGACACCTCAGGAAACACAATCATGATGGAAGGGGGAGCAGACACAATCTACGGGGAAAGCCCCTTGTAAAACCATCAGATCTCATGAGAACAACATAGGGGAACTGCCTCCATGATCTAATCACCTCCCACAAGGTCCCTCCCCCAACATGTGGGGATTACAATTCAGATTACAATTCAAGATGAGATTTTGGGTGGGGACACAGCCAAACCACATCGTCTATGAAAAATAAATAAGATCAACTTGCCCCTAAAAATAATACAATAAACACTCAAATACACTTTGCTTATATTTAATAAGTATTAACATTCTGTCAGATTCTCAGGTATGTGTGTATGCATGGGCAGTTCTGAATCATTTTGAAAGTAAGTCAAAGATATGATTCTTGATCATTAAATACTTCATATAAAAATGTGTCTCCTAAGAATAAGAATATTCTTGTACATAACCCTAGCATCATAATCAATTAAGAAATCAAAAGGTGATAGTATATGTAGCATATTAGCATATGATATGAAATCGTAATTCATATTTCTTCAGTTTTCTCAAGAAATAACTTTTACAGCTATTAATTTTCTAGATCCAGGACATAATTACTGCATTCCATCTAATACCATTTAATCTAAGACAGTTTTCTTGCTTATTTTGTTTCTCATGCCATTGACATTTTAAGGAGTCAAGGCCAATTAATTTTTTAGACTGTCCCCAATTTGTTTTAAGGTTAGATTAATGTTAAACACTTTGGGCAATAAGATCACGTTGGTGGCAATGTATCTTATCTGGAAGTATGTGATGTCAGCTATCCCCTTCTTGTAAAATTCAGTATAATAACTTGTACTCTTAATAATCTTTGTACTCAAGTTATTATACTCAGTATAATAATTTGATCTCTTAATAATCTTTTAGATTCCTATTAAAAAGGTACATATTCTCTTCAAAATTAATGAACAATCTCTGTAATTAATAAGTAATGAGTGAATTTCTTTTCCCAAAATATTGAAGCAAATGCTCATAAACAAAAGCAATTAATTTAAGAATTCCTTTCCTCTTTCGGTGTTGATAATTTATGAAGAATGTTTCTGATCTCCAGTGGCTACTGTTGGGTGTGACAATTCTAGGGGATTTTCAGTTCTCAAATTAACTGTGGTTCACAGCAAGAATGTGGAATTTGGTAGTATTTCTTTGTCAATATCAGCAGCATAAAGTCTTAGAAATGTGGAGATGTAACGGAGTTTCAATAAAGCAAAACCACAGCCCTCCTACATGTACACATACTGCCTATATTTAAAACAGGTATAATAATAGCACCTAATTCTGTAGGGTGGTACCAGAAGAGAGAAGCTGGGTACCATAATAATGCCCATGGAAAATGTTATCTGCTCTTTGGCTTTGATAATTATTGGTCGTGTCTCAAGGAAAGCATACCTGAATAAACTGCAAACTCAAAAGAAGCTTAGAAATAACACTGCATATCTAGAGCACTTGATGCAATGCAGATCATTATTCAGTCTACTTCTAGGAGATATACAGGTGGCAATATACTAGTCCAGTTCTTCTATCTGAGGGCTGGAGAAAGCTGGATAACAGAATTGTAACCTGTTACATGAAGCCATTTGGGTCTCTGTGCTGGGAGTCGGGATGTCTTAATGCTTTGTCTGCTGTTTTCTCTTTAACAGTAATGAAAGGTGGATTTTTTTTGTTTTCATTAAAAAATGCTATGAGCTAAATGGAAGGTGAGGTCAGCTGAGCTTCCCACTTAAAAATTGCAGTCACATCTACTGAGACACTTTCCTAATTCTAAAAGCATCTTAGGTAATAAGAGTAATTTAGGCAAAGAGAATGAATTAGTGCTGAGGAGTGGAGAACAAAGAAATTATGAAACCACTCAAAAATATTTCAAGGATTTAGTTCAGAAGCAAAGCTGGAAATTTAGAACCTTATTATCCTGGTTTCAAAAACGATTTCAAAACACTAATTAAAGGCCTAGCTCTCCTTGGAGGCAGATTGTTTTATTCAAAGGCCGGTTAGGAAGCAGAATTAGAAGTAAAAAGAAATATTCTCTAGGCCACTTCATTGGCCCTTTTTCTTCCTCTCACTTAAAAACTTTAAGATGGGAGAACATCAAAGTTGGGAATAAGTTGTATGACTCAGTGTTAGAAAAAGAGTTCCTGGGGACTGTCGATTGCATCTAGATCAAGCTGCTTAGACAATCTCGTCAGCCCATAGCAGGTGGTGAGCAGTAAAATGCTGGAGAACATTGCCATAGTAGTCAAACTCCATGAAGACCATTTTGGAGTACTTTGAAACTTTTATCTATTGAGTCTGATATAAGAGTAAATGAAACATTACAGTCCAGTGTTGGGACAACCAGCTGCAGCTCTTAGACCCTCCAATTAGAGTTAGGTTCCTGGTTTCCCATCTGACCTAAGGGGCCCCCCATCACTGCTCCCTGAACTCACGTGTCTGTGCCTTCACAGGGGGCTCTTTTATAGTACTGCAAGTAATTTTCCACCATGAACCATTCAGTCTCCAAATAATACATTGGCTGTATAATATTTGTTGCTGTCTGCCCATCTTAAGTGATTTGGATTTCATATGCATATAATTTCTAATTCAAATTGCATCTATATGTGGCCATAAAATTCACATCAGTTCAGGTGGAAAGTTGATCAGAAGCTTGTTCAGTATCACTGGCTGAGTTGTGAGCACCATCTTTCTGATGACTTTCTTATTGTAAAATCTGGGAAATGCCTTCTTTGCTGGAAGATACTATATTTTTTCTTAGTTTCTGCAGCACCCAATGCCAAACAAATCCCTCTGCAATGACTGGTAAACTGGGCAATACTGGAGCCAGGATTGACACATTTAGAAGGAGTGCCTGGGCTCAGTAGTGTAACTACAATGTTTTATGGGGTTTTAGAGGCTTCTGATTGTATACCATAATTTGAATTACCTCCCAAAAAGTAAGAGGCCATTTTCTGAAATAATGCCTTGATTGATTGATTTATGTTACATTTTCAGAATACAAATCATCCCTCAGCTATAGATTTTAGCCATGCCCATGGTTGTCGAACTTTTTAAAAAGTTCATCTTTTGAACACAGAGACTGAGTTGAAACTGACTTTTCAAATATGTTTTTGTAGGGTTCATTCTTGAAAACGATAAAAAAGAGTACTGGAAAGTAAGAAAGGAAACACCTAGCAATCTCTTCATAGGGAATAACTTTTTTCCTGTTATTTTCATACCTGCATATCCTATGTAAAAGTTAAAAATAGGCTTTTATCAACAAGTTTGTATTCTGGAACATGTCTAAAAATACAAATGCATCAATGTGAGAAGTTTAGATTTACACTCTTAAGGAAAGGAATACATCTATTCACTCAGAGCCTTTCAAATCTGCAGCTCTGATCACAGTTTGTCTTTGTCACTTGGAGAGCAAATATGTTACCTTTGTGGGAACTGACATTTGTACTGATTGGCTTGTAGGTAGTAGTATAAACAAAATGGATAATATAAGAATCTCTACCACTGCAAACTCAGATATAATTGAGGGAAGAGAGAAAATATTTCCAGTATGTGTAGAAGCCAAAATTGGAGCACAATTCCAACATAGACCTTCAGACCTACCAATTAACAAGAACAAGATATGAACCAATTACTCAGGAGTGGGCAAGATCTAATCTAAGAGCCTGAATGATGAATATTTCCTGGAACAGCTAACATCATTATTAAGATGTGTATTAGAGTTCTCCAGAGAGGTGGTTTGTGAGATTATGGAGGCCCAGAAGTTCCACAATCTACTATATGCAAGTTGAAGAACCAGGAAAAGTGGGGTTGTAATTCAGTCCAAGTCTGAAGACCTGAGAACCAGGGAAGCCAATCATGTGAGTCCTGGTGCAAATCTAAATGCTTAGGAACCATGAACACTAACATATAATGCTAGAAGAAGATAGGTGTCCCAGCTCAGAGAGAGAAAATTCACCTTCCTTCTGCCTTTTTTGTTCTATTTGGACCCTTGATGAATTGAAGGAAGCCCATTTCCCTTGATGAGGGAAATCTTTACTCAGTCTACTTATTCAAATGAAACCCTCACAGACACACCCAGAAATAGCTGTTTATCAGCTATGTGGGCATCCTTTAACCCAGTAAAGTTGACACATAAAATCTACCATCACAAGTCCACCCCTTGTAAACTTCGTACCCATATGCATTTTCTGAAACAACAATCAACCTCCAAATAGAGAAAATAACAGAATCATAATTCCACCTAACATAATAAACTATCCCATACAACCAAAAGTGTGCTAATTCTTTCCCAAGAAGAGGCGTGATGTTTACTCTTCTTCCAATATCCAATATTTAAATACTATGATGTAAAATTAACAATATTTAAATACTGATATAAAGTCAATGTATCTTATGTTACATGATGAAGGAAAAGAGAGGAAAGAAAATAATGACATTTTGCATAATATGTGTATGTATATGCAAATGTATTCATAACAAAATAAAGAGAAAATACTCATGACGATTACAGTCCTCATCTCTGTAACTGGACATATGGTCAAGGCTTATCTTTCTACTACCTTCTTTCACTACCCATTCTGTATTTGCTCTTTGCCTTCAGCAAGCACTTCTGCTGGCCAGAGTTCTTTACCTAGCAGGATTACCCAAACCTTCATTCTTGAAGGATCTGGGACATTCATAGTCCTATTTGGATTGAGTTATTGTAGTTTTTTATTTGCCTTAGTCACAGGCTATGATAATACTAAAATGTTTTCTGAGGGATCTTCAGTATTCCAGGCATGTCTTCCTCATCTCTATTGTGGAGTAGTAGTTCAATTTCTCCTTAGTATTCTGGATCAATCACCTCAGTTCAAGCCACAACTCCCTTCTTGGCCTGTTGACTCAGAGTCATGAGGAGCCCAAAATGACCAGACAGCAGTCTTTACTTCTAGTTCAATAAAATCATTACAGTGTCTCCTGGTGGAATCATTCCTCTCTTTTCAATTTAAACCTCTAGGCCAGCAGAGCATAAAGTTAGTATCTTAGTCTGTTCTGTTCTGCTGTAACCGAATACCAAAGACTGGGTTACTTATAAGGAACAAAAATGTATTTCTTATAGTTCTAGGAGCTGGAAAGTCCATGGTCGAAGGACATCTGGCAGAACCTTCTTGTTTCATCATACCATGGTGAAAGGAGGAAGGTCAAGAGAGCACATGTGCCTGCATGCATAGAAAATAGAGTGCGGAGGTAGAGGACCAAACACATCTGTTCGTCAGGAACTCACTCTCCAGATAACTAATCCATTTATCAAATAATGACATTACTCCATTCATTAAGGCAGAGCCCAGATGACCTCATCACCTCTTAAAGGTTGTACCTCTCAACACTATTGCATTTGGGATTAAGTTCCTAATACATGAACTTTGTGTAACACATTCAAACTATAGCAACCAGGGAACAGGAAACAAACTTGTCTAATAGTTCAGTAGGGGTAATTGTGAATGGTGCCACTCCTATTTCAACCCTTTGATTCCTGGACCCATGATCCTTGCAATGGCAGAAACAGTTACATATGTACTGGATGCTGATTTAGAACATAGCCTTCTGGAGAAGCTTGCCCACCCTGGTAAGGCAGTGCCACCCAGCTGGCACTGCCAATGAGTGTTCAGAAGTCCATTCAACCATTCTATAAAGCTAGCTGCTGCAAGATGGTGGGGAACATGGTAAGTCTAGTGAATTCCATGATCGTGGGCCTGTTGTACTTCTTTGGCTGTGAAGTAAGTTCCTTGTCAGAAGAAATACTGTGTGAAACACCATAATGGTGAATAAGGCATTTTATAAGTTCATGGATGGTAGCTGATATGGTTTGGCACTGTCCTCATTCAAATCTCATCTTGAATTGTAGCTCCCATAATTCCCACATGTCATGGGAGGGACCTGGTGGGAGGTAATTGAGTCATGGGGGTGGGTCTTTCCCGTGCTAGTCTCATGATAGTGAATAAGTCTCACAAGATCTGATGGCTTTATAAAGGGGAGTTCCCCTACACAAGCTCTCTTGCCTGCTGCCATGTAAGATTTCCCTTTGCTCTTCCTTCATTTTCCACCCTGATTTTGAGGCCTCCCCAGCCATGTGGAACTGTGAGTCCATTAAACCCCTTTCCTTTATAAATTACCCAGTCTCAGGTATGTCTTTATTAGCAGCATGAAAACAGACCAATACAGTAGCTTTGACAGAAGCATTGAATGCAGGAAAGGCAAATCCATGTCTAGGGTTAGTGTCTTTCCAATAAGTCAAAACACTTCTCTTTCCTTGATGGAAGTGGCCCAGTGTAATCAACCTGCTACCAGACGGCTGGCTGATCACCTGGGAAATGATCTAACATTGGGGGTTCAGTCCCTCTTGCTGGCAAATTGCATACTCAGTAGTGGCCACAACCATGTTACCTTGATTTATGGAAGTCCACCTTCCTTATCCCATCTCTGCCACCAAGGCTACTTTGTTCATGGCAGTGTCAGCTGGAGAAAAAAGCTGAATTGTATCCACAGCGTGGCTCATTCTAGCCACTTGATTATTAGAATCATCCTTAGCTGAGGTCACCCTTTTGTGAGTATTCACATGGGACACAAATATCTTCATGTTCTTTTTCTGTTCAGAGAGATCTATCTCCATATATATTCTCAAAATTTTTTGTCACCAGTTTTCTACAGATATTACTTCCAAGTCCCTGACCATTTAGACCAAACCATTAGTCACAGCCCATAAGCTGGTACATAATTGCACATCTGCCCATTTCTCTCTCCAAACAAAGTGAATACCAGGTGCACTGCCCAAAGTTCTTCCCAATGGGAGGATTTTCTTCACAACTGTCCTTCAGGGATGTTGTAATGCTGTAATGCTGCAGCTGCCCATATTCAAATGCTTCCTGCCAATTGTGTAGAACCATCTGTAAACTATATCCTCAGACATAAAGCTACTAAACCTTGTAGGATATGTCATCCCACTGGCTACAAATATTGGTTCAAAAGTGTATATGCTACTTAGGCAACTTCAATTCCCAGAAGTTTTACTGGGAATGCTGGAACAAATAAGTTAGCTTTTAATAAGTAATGCTAAACTCAAACAAGGAAGCAGGGAGCTGCTGGCAGCCAACTTGGTACAGTGAACTGATGCTGGAAGGCTGAGTGGAGACACAGAAAGAAACAGGAGCATGCTGGCATCCATGTCATCCAAATTGTACTGTTATCAGAGCATATTAATCCCTTTATTGGTCAAGCTAATCTGGGTTTGGATTTGTTTCTCTCTGTGCAAGAAAAAATATTCCTAACTTAATCAGACTAAAAGCTCATCACAAATTTCAAAATAACAGCAATAGTGAAATCATTCTAAAACCTTCCAAAAGAAAAATAGAAAAAGTCAGCTACAAAACCTACACAAAAGTGGTGATCAGACTGGCAGCTGACTTTACATCAAAACTACTGGCTGTTACAAACAATGGATAAACATCACCCAATTTTCCACTGGGTGCAATGCCTCATGCCTGTAATCCCAGCACTTTGGGAGGCTGAGGTGGGTGGATTGCTTGATGTCAGGAGTTCGAGACCAACCTGGCCAAGATAGCAAAACCCCGTCTCTGCTAAAAACACAAAAATTAGCTGGGTGTGGTGGTGTGTGACTGTAATCCCAGCTACTCGGGAGGCTGAGGCAGGAGAATTGCTTGAACCAGGGAGGTAGAGGTGGCAGTGAGCTGAGATCACATGACTGCACTCCAGCCTGGGTGACATAGTGAAACTCCATAACAAACAAACAAAATCTCCCAAGTTTCAGGGGAAAATTAGTTCTATCCTGGAAATGTATGTAGCTAACTTTTTCTGAAGTGTGAGGTATTGATATTTTCAGATTCACTGTATGTTTTAAATTTACTTCTCAGACACTCTTTCTTAGGAGGTTACTTATGCGCTTTCAGAGAAATAAACAGCCTGAACAAAGGCTAGAGAATGGCATGGAATTTAGGCTGAGATCCAGTCAATCCAGTCAACAATGAAGGGATGTTCCAGTACAGCAGCTGTGCAGTAGCTCATAGGCAGCTAGTCCCAAGTCGGGCAGTAAAAGGATTCAAGGAGGGACATTGCTGTAGGGAAGGTGACTCATGAGGAAAGATGCTCTAATGAGACAGATTGGAAAATAATAGATGCAGAGAGAATTATGCAAGTAAAAAGGCGAGCAGTTATTCATAAAGAAAAAGAAAATGCTTTATAAAAATTTCTTAATGCACAATTATTATCAGAGTAAAAATAATGTGAACTCTGATTATTGTTCAATTATTAAGAGATAGATGACTCTACAGGGGGAATATGGCTTTTGAAGGCCCAAATGTACATGAGATGATAAAATTCACCCATCTTACATATACCTTATAAAAGGTTATTAGTATGTTTACTGTAGTCTAGTTAACAAATATTATATTTTATAATCAACTAGGCCATTATGAATTTTATATTTGTGGTATATTTTATCTCTTGGAACAACTTTTTTTCCAGGTGTCAAACATAAGCACTTGAAAATCCTATAAATCCTAGGCTGTTGTCTGTAGTGCCTAACAGATAATGCAGCGTGAGATTACTGCTAGAACAACACATTCTCTGTTGTTATAAAAGAAATTGACTAGAAAGAAAAATGAAGTTGTGATTAATGACAGTATCAAGGTGTGGTGGTGTGTGCCTGTAATCCCAGCTACTTGGGAGGCTGAGGCAGGAGAATGGCTTGAACCTGGGAGGCGGAGGTTGCAGTAATCTGAGATCGCGCCATTGCACTCCAGGCTGGGTGACAGAGTGAGACTCCATCTCAAAAAAAAAAAAAAAAAAAAAAAAAAAAGACTTTCACCAAAAATATGGTGTTGGTATTATCTCTTTTACAGATGATTAATGGATGATGGATGTAGAGAAATGGTATATCACTAAAATCACTAGCCTAGAGCACCTATGCAATCTCCTCCTGAACCTGATAATATCTGAAACATAAATCAAGAAATAACAGAGAAGCATGTCATTTAGAAATGTGAAGGTTAATACCAGAAGATACAAATTTAAAAATTTTAAGTAGTCATTAGAGAAGTGGGTTTGGAGGTGGGGTGCAGTCAGAAAGAAAATTGCTAATTTTCATTGCACACATTTTGGTACAGTTTTGTCTTTGAGCTGCATGCTTATATTGCTTCACAAAAGATTTAAACATTTAAATTAGCAAGGTATGATGACTCATGCCTCTAGTCCCAGCTACTCAGGAGTTTGAGGCAAGCCTGGGCAACACAGTAAGATGCCATCTGGATTGATATAATTCAGGTCCTAATAAGCTTTGTTTTCATTTTGTTTTCCCTAGGTAGTGCAAGCATGGGTGAATGTTAGACATCGTAGTACTTGATGGTAGCAGAATCCTCCAATGAGACTGCTATAATTTTCAAGGGCTGACTCTCCTCTTGCCTTCAGACTGTGTCTTACCTACTGCAATGCTTTTTACTCAACTTTAGAGTACAATAAGACTATTATTAATAGAACAGAAAAATAGGATAGAACTGAAATAGCGACATAGAGAGGAAGCATGAAGAATCTTAATAAAACATTTGCATTCTGAGTCATAGGAGGACATGAATAAGGTAATTTACTTTGTTAAGTATCTCCCTCTGTGTATATATTAAGATTCATATTTCTTTGTTCATTTGCCCAATAGTATTTATTGAAAATGTTGGCAGATATTAATTTTGTTATATTAGGTACTAGTGTTGGAGAGACTGCTAGGTACCTTTGAGCTAAATGGGGTGCAAAACTACTACTAGAAGTCTCAAACACTAAGCTGGTGGTGCCTGTGTGTGTGTGTGTGTGTGTGTGTGTGCGCGCACACGCGCGTGCGCACGTGCTACGGGGAGGTGGTTAAGCACAGAGATGCTAATCTTAACTACTGAATTTATCTGTCTTCTGAAAGCTTTGTCTTTCTTGCTTTGATATTGTTAGTCAAAATATCCCTAACATAGTTGCATCTTGGTACTCAAAGACAGATTTGATCTAGACAATGCACTGTAAGGAATTCCATTCATTCTTTAGCATAGTGCTGAACATTTTGTCTCATCTTATAATGCAGTGTTAGAACAATGATATTTTGAGTCAGCCAGCCATTGCTCAGTTTTTCTCAGTACGCTATGTCTATGTCAAAACATTTCCCTCAGTGGGGCATCATCACTCACTGCCACTGGCGAACACATAGCCAAAGAGTTACAAAGATGTAATGCAGGTAGGATGACAAAAATCATGATAAACATGATTGACAATATCTTTCTTTGTGACAGGATTTATGGAGACTGAGAATCTGAAAAGATGTGGTAAGATTGGGTGAAAATTAAGATTTTTAAAGTGTAATTCTCTTTCAACAAAGGAAAGTGAGTTATTACTTTTGTGCAAAAGTAATTGCAGTTTTTGGAATTACTTTTAAAAGTAAAGACCATAATTACTTTTGCACCAACCTACTAAATAACCCTTAACATTTTAATGAACAAGGCACAAGGCAGATCACACAATGAACAAGGCAGATCACACAATAAGGAAACAACAGAAAACTAGTCATCTGAGCACACAAGAAAAGAAGGAATGGGCATTTCTCCGATGACAAGTTGTGGAACACAGAGGTGAGAAGATGATGTACAGTTAAAACATGAACATTGAAACAAATTCTAAAGACTGATGGTGCCAAATAAGTTTATCAGTAAATTGTGTAAGATGGACTTAATTATTCTTAAAATTATCCATAAAGCTGTTCTCAAAGACATTATCAAGTGCCTAGCTGAAGTCAAGGCATCTGTCTGTTACACTTTCTTGTGTCACCAGATGAGTAATCCAGTCATAAATAAAATGAGACTTTCTTTCCTTAATCTTAGTGAATATCTCATTCTAGTGAAATATTCTCACTAGATATTGCACCCCACCCCAATATCTCATTCTAGTGTTCTTTGATTTTGCCTCTAGGTTCTCACAAATAACTCGGAATGTTTCCCAAGTCTGTCACCAAGTTCACCGGTCTGCAGCTGGCAAAATATTTTACTTATCTTTTGAAGCCAAAAGACTTGGCTTGTTCCAGTTTGGTGATGGCTTTGCTCTGTTTTGCATGTTTTATTTCCCCAAATATTGTTGAATAACCTTCAGGTAAAATACCCATGGTAATTTGTGAATGGAAATTTCATTTGGGTTATTTGCCTTTTAATAGACATAAGGGTCTTTTTTTTTCAGAGCCTTGGAATCAATGTTTTTTTGCATATACCAAGACTTAATATCTTCCAAGACATAGTTACACATCTGGAGCAGTGGCAGTCATTGCTGTTACAATCATAGAATCAGGTTTATAACTCTGCTTCCAAATGTTGTCTTACCCACTGTTTAAATGTTACTGGAGTTTCCTCATATTACCTGTTGGTGTGTGACACGGGAAATAATAATCTTACCAACCATTTTCTCTATAAATACATTAAGGAAATATGCAGAGCCATAAAATTTTAGTCTTTTCTAGATTGAAATTTTTTTGCCTTATTCTCTACTAGGAGAAAGTGGAGTTCAGTAGTAAAGCTGCTGAGAGGCTTTGAAGTACAACAAATATGTTTGTGTTAAATAAAGACTAATTTACTTAGATGAGTTCTATTGTTTATCTAACAAGAATTTTTTTAAATCTTTATTTCACATAAAGATTTCCTTTGTGTAACTCCACCACCTCTTTTAAGCCATTTAGAAAGTGTTAATATATGAAACAAAAATGAAATGAAATGATTTCTACACCAGAGGTAAGTCTGAAACCTTCGTCTTGTCAGTTGAATATGCTTTAAGAAATTCACTTATGAAATCATTCAGTTGAACTGAAAAGTTTTTTCCCTGTGGTTTTAATCAAATGACTTTTATTTAATAAATATGAAAAGTTTTATACAATTAAAGACTCAAATAGAAAATTCAGTTTGACTGCATTCCTAATGCTAGATGACGAGTTAGTGGGTGCAGCGCACCAGCATGGCACATGTATACATATGTAACTAACCTGCACAGTGTGCACATGCACCCTAAAACTTAAAGTATAATAAAAAAAAAATTCAGTTTGAGAGTATATGCCAAGTTAAGAGCTATTACAGTGGATTCCAGCATTCCCAGACCAGTAACACTTTGAAAACACTTTCAGAGAAGTTGATGCAGATTACCAACATTTTGTTTCACTAAGCAAGCAAAATTAAATAAAATCACCAACCAACCAAACAGGCAAAAAACTCTTGTATGAATTCTCAATATTTATTTATAAAAATAAGCATGATTTTGGAATAATTATTTAAATTAAATGATTTTAGCAACATGAGAAATGTAGTATATTTTTCTGATTTATTTTATAAGATATTTCTTCACAGATGAAAACTTTATAACAAAATAGCCCAGTTGTTATTGTTGTTGTTGTTGTTGTTGTTGTTGTTTTTAAGTTGGAGTCTTGTTCTGTCACCCAGGCTGCAGTGCAGTGGTACGATCTCGGCTCACTACAACCTCGGCCTCCCGGGTTCCAGCGATTCTCCTGCCTCAGCCACCCAAGTAGCTGGGTCTACAGGCGCATGCCACTACGCCTGGCTAATTTTTGTATTTTTAGGAGAGACAGGTTTTCACCATGTTGGCCAGGCTGGTCTCAAACTCCTGACCTTAGGTGATTTGCCCACCTCAGCCTCCCAAAGTGCCAGGATTACAGGCGTGAGCAAAGGCGCCCAGCCATAGCCCGGGTACTTTTATGACTAGGTGGAAATCACTGATTTAAACGGCTGGCACTTTACTCTATAGAAACAGTTCAGATAATGAAAAAAGCATCTTCATTAGACTCTCTCTACTTTTCCTGATGAATAAATGAGATCACAAGGGGTCCGAAAAGATGAAGTGGGATATATTTGCTTCCACCATGCTTCACAGAAACAAAAATCTTGAAATGAATATATACAGTTAAAAGGTAGATAAACATTTCCAAAAATATAGAGCATGTTACATACAGCACTACTTTTGGAAGGTATTCAGTGAAAAGATGACTCTTAGAGTTCTGTAATGCGTAATGATGTGTTAAAGCACAGAGCAACCCTGCTGTGTTCCAGCAAGGAAACCCGATTAACTTTGTTTGGACAAATATTGTCCACATTTATTTAACCTCAGGACTCCCTTTGTCATAACTATGAACATGGAAGACATGCAATATTCTCTACTGTTTCCAGCATCTCTCTAATCCATGCAACACTTGTATGAACTCTTTCATGAAATTAAGCTGTTAGTATAGGCATGGAAACTCTATTTTCGTGAATGGTATAGAGTAACTTGAGGGGGATTTGTTCCTTCATGCACTCATTAATTCCTTGTTTGCTGAGCAGCAACTGCATGTTTAATGATATTTTAAACAAGGTAAAGAATGGAATAATAAATGAGTAAGAGATATAATATCTGACTTCAAAGATTGAAATTTTTGAAGAGAAATATCTGATATTCAAGATGCAACAAGAAAATATAAGCCTATTAGATAAAACTAAAGATACATTATTTAAAATCACTGAAGGATGAGAATAGGGAGATGAATGGGCTGAAGATACACAAATAAAATTTTGAAAAGTTTTCTTTCTGAGCTAAATATTAAAGAATTATTCATTTTATAAACCTGAAACAGTAAGTTAACCCCTCCTCTCACACTGCTTTATCTGCTCTAGGCTTATCTGAACTAAACCCTTCCTTTCTGCTCTAAAGCTACGGATACTATGATTTTATGACAGAATTTCAGGTCAGGAAAAAAAAGGATTTGAAGAAAGACAGAAATTTTCTTTTATCAAAACAAGTAGACAGTTGTCCTGTCACTCACATTTAGATCTCTAGAGATTATTCCAGATGAAAAATTCTGTATGGCAGTTGTGAGAAGTGATGTACTTGACAAATAGCTCCCAGTACAATTTAAGGGCAGAAAGCGTATGCCTCTAATTCATGCCACACACTGATGCCAGATTAATCTTCCCGTAAGACTATTCTGGGCACGATAAACCCTGACTCTAAATATTTCCCTCACTTTCTACCGCATACAGAAATGCTATGAAACCTCCAGTGTCTCATCTCAAACTGCCTCAAACTTGTGTTTTATGAATCCTCTCTTAGTTACCAGTTATTAGATTAGAAAGAAGATAACTTTCCTAAGTGATTATATGCAAAAAAGAAATATCTTAAAAGGATGCAGGGATATCCTTGAAACACGGCAACAAGTACAGCTGCCTTCATGAAGGCTGAACTGAGGAAGGGACATCATAAAAAAACAAGATATTTCTGTGCTTATTTATTTTTATTAAGATATAATTTTAATACCATAAAAGTCACCATTTCGGTTGGTTCCAAGTCTTTGCTATTGTGAATAGTGCTACAATAAACATATGTGTGCATGTATCCTTATAGTAGAATGCTTTATAATCCTTTGGGTATATACCCAGTAATGGGACTGCTGGGTCAAATGGTATTTCTGGTTCTAGATCCTTGAGGAACCGCCACACTGTGTATCCCAGAACTTAAAGTGTAATAGTAAAAAAAAAAGTCACCATTTCAAGCTATACAATATAGTGGTGTTTAGTATATGCACAAGGTCACGCAATAATCATCACCATCTAATTTTAGAGCATTTTCAGCACTCCAAAAACTCTACCCTCATTAGTTTGCATATGGTATATTTTTTTCCATCCTTTCATTTCTAACTTGTTTTTGTCTTTGAATTTAAAGTATGTCCCTTCAAAATATTCTACAGTATATAGTTAGAGCTTGTCTCTTTCCATTCTGCCAATCTGCATTTTAATTGAAGCCTTTAATTTATGTTTTAATGTAATTACTGATAAATAGGATTTACATATGCCATTTTACTTTTCATTTTCTATATATATCTTATGTTTTCTTTGTTCCTCAGTTCCTCCAATACTGCCTCCTTCTGTGTTAAATAGATATTTTCTAGTGAACCATCGTAATGCCTTTACCATTTCTTTTATTGTATATTTCTGAGTTATGTTCTTAGTGGTTCCTCTGGGGATTACTGTTAATATCTTAATTTATACCATTCTTGTTTGTATGACTATCAGTTTAATTTCAATTACATATAAAAATGCATTTATTTAGATCTGGTCTTCCATCCCTTACTTACTGTCACAAAATGTATCCTTATACATTATTCTCACCAACTTATTAAGTGAATTAAACTAATCTAGATCATTATCATTAACAAATATTTGTTGATCATCCAGCAACAACTTGTATGCCTACATTTGCTTTTAAATCATATTTAAAAATGGACTCACAAATAAAAATACATTTTTACTATCTTTAATATTTATCTATATAATAGTCTTTACTAATGCTCTTTATTTCCTCATGAGTATTCAAGTTACAGTCTAATGTTCTTTCATTTTGGCCTAAAGAACTCCTTTTAATATTTCTTGTACTGCAGTTTGGCTAGCAATAAACTCTTTCCATTATAGTTTTTAGGGAATTTCTTAATTTCTTTTTCATTGTTGTAATAGCTTTGCTCAATGCAGAATTCTTTTTTGGCAGGATTTTGTTTGTTTCCTTTCAGTACAGCTAATAAAGCAACTACTGCCTTTTGGCCTCCTGGTTTCTGCCATTTTCACTGACATCTTAGCAGAATCAAGATACTTACACCTTCTATTTTTGTTTCTCTCTCTTGTGGTCTCTTTCCCTTTCTCATTTTTTTCCTAACACTTATCACATTATTTTAGACCCAAAGTAAAACTTAGAATTCCTAAATTTGTACATACTCCTAAAAAAAATGTGCATTTAAAGCAATGTAAGCCCCATAGAATTCTCAAAATCTTTGTTAGCCACAGTGAGAATTTTTCATGTCTACTGACAACTTCATATTCCAAGGTAACCAAATCCCTAGAATCTGGCTGGGTCCTCTCTCTTCTCTTCTATTTCTTCTCCTTATAGACTTCATGCTCAATTACCCCCCACTGTCTTCTAATTATTCTGAGAAAATGTGATCAAATATTCAATTCTCCAGCTTTTATCCAAAAATTCAGCCCCAGCCTTCCTGTTACATATCCAAACCTATAAAAATATGTATAGAAATAAAATGGCTTTTATTTAATATGATCTAATCTCCTTTGGAGGCAATTATCAAGTTCATATTGGTTACCTCTTCCTTTAGCTGTTCATATTCATATTTCTGTACAAAAATTTTCATTGTTCTTCCACCTTACATATAGCACATTTTGACTTCACTACAGAGTGCAATTCACTTGGTAGGTCACTTAACTTGTTTCCCCAACTACACCATACACTTCTTCTGAGCAAGAAAAAGGTAGTCAACAGTTGCTGAATTATCAACCAATAATTGTTAATGCTAATGACCTAGATTATGTTTAATTCATAATAAATAAATAAATAATAATTTGTAATTAGCAATTCATAATTAATAATTTATAATAAACCATTGTTATTTAATATTATATTAATATTTTATATTTATATTTATATGTTTAATATTAATATTTAATGATAACATTAATTATCATTAAATAATATTAGTAAAAATTAATAATATATGATATTATATAATATAATATTTCATAATAATTATAATTAATAATTAATACATTATAGATTAATTAATAAATAATAATTCATAATTAATAAAAAGTAAGTGCACATCAGGATTTACTGTTGGGGTTGAATGGTGCAAGAAGCCACTCTATCATGTCAGCAGTATTTACAAAAGAAGTAAATAAGACAATAGGGTATTTGTTAAGTATTTAATTAGCTTGATGCAAAGTGTCCCAGCCATTGAACAATGTTCTAGTTCCTAGTGATCTTCTTTATTCACCTAGAAATGCTAGGTATAACTTTGCCTTTCCTAAGCTGCTATAGTTTGAATGTCTTTGCCAAAACTCATGTTGAAATTTAATTGCCAGTGTAACAGTATTAAGAAATGGGATTTTTAAGAGGTGATTAGGTCATGAGGGCAGTGGATTAATGCCACTATCATAGGAACGGTTTAGTTAGCATGGGAGTTGGGCCACCGTTTTCTGTTTGTCTCACATGTGTAGTGTACTCCCTTGCCATGTGATTCTCTCTGCAATGGGATGAGCCTTGTCAGATGCCAGTGCCATACTCTTGGACTTGTCAGCATCCAGAATCATGAGCCAAATTTTCTTAATAAATTCCTTAGTCTGTGGCATTTTTCATAAATTACCCAGTATGTTGTAGCAGCAGAAGAATGGACTAAGATTGCCATCAAGAGTGGAGTTGTTGGTATAACAAATACTTGAGAATATGGGAAAGCGACTTCGGAACTGGGTAATGGGTAGAGGCTGGAAGAATTTGAAGGAGAAGGCTGGAAAAAGCCTAGATAACCATGAACAAAGCATTAAGAGTGATTCTGGTGAGGGCTCAAAAGAAGAGAAGAGCTATAGGGAAAGTCTGAATCATCTCATAGATTATTTAAACTGTACTGAAAACTGGAGTAAAGGTCATCCTTGTTACAAGGTAGCAAAGACCTTGGTTGAATTGTGCCTGAATCCTAAGACTTCACTAAAGGCAGAACTTAAGTGATTAGCTAAGGTATCTGGGGGAAGAAATATCTAAGCAGCAAAGCATTCAGTTGTTGCATGGTTACTTTTAACTGCCTATGGTGAGATATGAGAGGAAAGAAATATCTTAAAGATAAATTTATCATTAAAAAAGAAACAGAATGGAAGGATTCGGAAAATGTGCACCCTATCCGTCTAAGGAGTGAAAAAACATATTCCGAAAAGAATACTAAGGGTATGTACAACAGGCAGTTTGCTAAAGAGATTAATGTGGCTAGAAGAAATCCAGGTGCCATTCATTACGACAATGGGAGAAAGACTCTAAAGGCATTTGAGAGACCTCTGAGGCTGTCCCTACCTTCACAGGCCCAGAGCTCTAGGCAAGGACAATCATTTTAGGAAACGAGCCCAGGTTGCTCTCCACAGTCTCATCGCTCAGGACGGTCTTGGGACTCTGCCGTGTGCATTCTGATGTAGCATTCATCAGCCACCTCAGCCATTGCTCAAGCAGCCCCAGATATAGCTTGACCCACCACTCCAGTAAGTACAAGCAGTAAGCGTTGCAGCATCCACAGTGTTAATTCTGCAGGTGTGAAGAATGCAAGCATTCTGGTGGCATGGCTTCCTCTACCTAGATTTTAAAGGATGAACCTGCTACAACAGAGTGTCCCAACTAAGGCAAAGCCTTATAGAGCTGTGGGAAAGGGGCCACCTCAAAGACTCCAGAACTATAGAGTCACCAGCATCCAACACCAGCCTGGGAGAGCTGCAAGGACTGAGCCCAGCAAAGCCATGAAGCAGGGTTGCCTAAGCACCTGGGGGCCCAATCCCATCCCAGTATATCTATGAAGTGGGATATGGAGTCAAGAGAGACTATTCTCCAGCTTAAATACTTAATGTTTCCCTGTTGGGTTTTAGAATTACTTGAGACCACTTCCCCCCGCCCCCACTTTTTTTTGGCCTGTTTCTCATTTTTGCAGTGAGAACATCTATCCTATTCCTGTCCCACTATTGTATTCTAGAAGTCAATAACTTGTTTGATTTCACTGGCTTACAACTGAAGGAAATTTGCCTCTAAATAAATTGTGCTTTGACTCCCACATTAAGTCTTTCTCCCGTTGTCATAATGAATAGCACCTGGATTTCCTCTATCCATATTAATCTCTTTAGCAAACTGTCTGTTGGACATACTCTTAGACTCTAGTCCACTCTAGACTTCAGACTTTTGAGTTGATGCTGGAATGAGTTAAGATTTTGGGAGTTATTGGAATGGAATTAATATATTTTGTTCTGTGAGGACATGTGTTTTGTTGGGACAATGGCTGCATTCTGTGGTTTGAATGTCCCCACCAAAACTTACATTGAAATTTAATGCCAATGTAATGGTATTAAGAGATGGGACCTTTAAGATGTGATTAGATTATGGAGGCTATGCCCTCATAAACGGACCGATACCATTATCATGATCATAGATTAGTTATAGCAGGAGTTTGGCCCCCTTTTTCTCCCTTTTCCATGTGCATGCTTTCTTATCTCTCTGTAAAATGACCCTTGCTAGACACCAGTGCCATATTCTTTGACTTCCCAGTTCTGACAACAATGAGCTAGCTAAGTCTTTCTTCATAAATTACCCAGTCTCTGGTATTCTCTTATAGCAGCATAAAAAGGACTAAGACTTGCTAAGAAACAAGATATTTCATTATTTTAGCTGTTTGTTCCCCTATAGTACTTATAGCAATTTTAGCCCTATAGACCACATGCAGACTAAATTTCCTGTCCTTTTACTTAGGTTTAATGAGTTTTTCACCCACAAAAAGGAAAGATAAAGTTTTCAAGATACAAAAAAATCTCTCATGCAGCTGATTTGTATTCAAAAGTGAATCCTCCAAAATCCATTATACTGACTTTTAATCAAAGGCAGATATGATGAAACTTTTTGCTACAGGGGACATTTCTTTCTAAATAGACTATCCTACCATAGCGATAAGGTCTTGCAGAGGGATACCATTTTACACACTAAGTCTTGTTACATAAATAATTAATGCACTTATTCTAGATCAAACCATCCAGGTAGGCAGAGCAGCCTTTATACTCTGTTTTTTATTTAATGAATACATTGAAATACAGGATAGTTCTATTTGCCTTGGTAACACAGTAATTATTAGAAATAAATTCCTCTGATAATGGGAATAAGGGTGATTTTCACAAGGTCCACAGTGACTATGGAGCAAGGGTAGGGACTTGCCATAAGTAAGCCAGGACACAAAGTTTAGCTAACTCTCAAAAAAAGTACTTGTTTTAAACCATGAATAATAATCTCTAAATAAGAGAATCTCTAAATAAGAGCCATTTCTGCCACTCAAAAATGTTAATGATAACATGACAATGCAAAAATAATGATGGTGATGGGAAGACAGAGTTAATCTGGAGTTAATCTTGATCTGGAATACAGAGTTCATTTGATAAGATTGCAACGCAAAGTTCTTGAAGTTCTTGAAGTTCATTGAGCTGTCCAGGCCAGAGGTGAACCACAGTTACAAGACAGAAGGATGCTACCCTCTAGGGCTCAGGAGAGTGTGGTTGGTGAGCAGGTATGCAGACTGAGTCCTACTTGTTCTCAGGGTAGCATTTTCATGTGATCTTTGGTGCAGTGTCCATCTAGCAAGAGCTGCGGAAAACACCCTCTGGGGAACAGGTGGGATGAGGAAAGTGGGAGGTGTGTGAAGGGAGTGGGATTGCTGCTAGAACAAAGACTGGACTATACCCATGTTCGTTACCAGTGAGCTGAAGTGATCGATCACCAGACGTAGGCCAGGGTTGCATGGTAACTGAGAGACACCATGCTCTGGGGCACCGTTGGGGCAGAGCAGCATGGGATGTGCCCATACACACTCAGTTATGTCTAGGCAGGAGGCACAAGAAAGAGCAATGTCCCAGCAACCCCAAAATAGAAAGAGCAACTCCCTTCCTCCCCAGTGTCCTTTAGCACTACCTGCGAAGTTTCACATTGTGCTAACTGTAAAGAAAAAATGCTTAGCTGCAGTGCATTATACCAGAGCAGGTACTAAAGGGTGACTTTCCAGCTGAGAAGCTGGAAACTAGCTTCAGCCTCCCATGTAGCTGTGACTACAGGTGTGCGCCACTATTCCCAGCTAATTTTCTTATTTTTATTTTTTTGTACAAACAAGATCTTACTATGGTGCCTATGATGGTCTCAAAATCTAATTAACTGACACAATAGGAATGATCTTTTTTCTATTTTAAAGATGAGAAGCAAATTCAGAGGAAGTAAGTAACTTGTTCAGATCGTGTGCCTAGTAGGTGGAGGAGCTTACAGACTCATCCAGATGTTTCTATCCAAAAGCACTGTTTGGATGTCTAATATGATAGATGCATTCTGTAATATGGGCTTCTTGTTGTCCAGCAAAATCTCTTCTCACATTTTTCCAGGTAGCAACTATATTTCTCAGCACCACCACCCTTGCTGCAAAATATAGGCATATGCTCAAATTATCTGCACTAGAAAGTGAGAAGAAATGATGTGAACCATGATTTTTTTTTTCTCCTGCAACCAGCAACACAACTAGAATAACAACGACCTAAGTATCCTTGGAAGCAAATATGTTGAGGATTGCTGAACCCAGCTTCAGTCTGATTTCCAGTATCACTCTGAATGTGGAGCAAAGCTGCCCATGAGGAACAAATATACTCCTGTTCTTTAAGCCAGTTTTTAAAAGTTTATCCTAATATATTCATAGATAATTATGTATATCAAATATCAAAGTATATTGAAAGTTGTTACCAATTTTATTTCCTGAAGCGTATGTAATGCTCACTAAATATTTGTGGAATGAGAAATTAAAGAGTACTTGCCTTAATTTTAATTAAAGCTGATAAAGCCTTAAGGACATTCCTACTGTGTGTGAAATAGTATTTGTGACAATCATCACTTGTTCATCTTGGATTTTGCTTTGAATTACCTTTTCTTCTTTTTGATTGCTGAAAATTAAGTGTAATCTCATTATTTATTCCTCTCTCCTTTTAGTTACATTATCTTAATACACAAATATTCTCTGAGTAGCTCCGTTGAGTTTGTCTTGCATTGACTTTTAGTTGCTTAGTATATTTCTCTTTAGGGACTGAGACTATATGATGTACAGCCATACATAGGTAGACACACTGGGAAGCAGCGTGGGATAATGAAAATTATTAGGAATTTAGAGGGCTTAAGGCTTCATTCTCTCACTCTCTATTTCTGTATTTTGGAGCTGGTTCCCTAATATCTCTGGGTTTCTGTCCCCTACTGGATGAAATCAGGAATATATGTTGTTTCTGAGGCTTATTTAAAGATTAAGACAATAAATATAAGTAAAAATGCTGCAATTATATTGGTTCTTATGATTGTTATGGCATAGCAAGTGCTCACTCAGTGTTTGATAAAATGAATTGGAATGAATGGAAGCCATCTATTGAGCTTGATAGTCATTGTGCCTATGAAATTTCCCAAGAAGCTGCTATAACTTTTAGATCTATGCATTGAGATCTAGTGCACTGAGAAATTATTAACTGAATACACTAGAAGCCAGAGATAAAGTCATCTTCTGAATATATCCAACTATTACCAGAGAATGTATTAGACCTTGGAGAAAGAAAAACTACGATGAACTGGGGAATAGTAGGAAATGGTGAATATGTAAGTTTAATATTTTAGAAGATACACTGAAGCTAAAGTGAAATTGGTTCAAAATTTAAGCTGTCAGACACATTCAGCAAGGGACAAGTAGGATTTCATGGCAGGGCTACTCTGACAGAATTTCCACGATGTTTATACAAAGAAAAGACTGGTTAATGGGAATATAAATAATAGATGCCTTGAATGTCACCTTTCATGTGTTTCTCCAAGAAGTTTTGATGTCACTTTAACATCCTACTACAGAAAATACGCAAAAATTGTTTATAATTGTTTAGTACCCTACTCACTCCACTAAAGTATAGCTTAGAACTATGGCACGGGCCTTTCATTGGTTTATTTGGGCAAATTATGCTATGGTTCAAAAAGCATCATTTCATTGCAAGAAAAAGAGATCAGGCTGGGCGCAGTGGCTCATGCCTATAATCCAGGACTTTGGGAGGCTGAGGTAGGAGGATTGTTATAGTCCAGAAGTTTGAGACCCGCCTGGGCCACATAGTGAGACCTCATCTATATAAAATTTTTTAAAAAAAAAGAAAATTAGCCAGGCATGGTGGCACATGCCCTTAGTCACAGCTACTTGGGAGGCTGAGGTGGGAGGATCATTTTAGTGTGGGAATTTGAGGTTGCAATGAGCTGTGATTGTGCCACTGCACTCTAGCCTGGGCTATAGACCAAGCCTCCGTCTCCAAATTAAAAAATAGAAGAAAGAAAAGAAAAAAGAAACTCATTTAGGGTAGCCCAAGTAACAGAGGTGTGGTGCCAGATATTCAGAGCAGTCTTATGAAAATCCACAGAGGGCTGAACAGCCAGGCCTTGTGAAGGTCTGGAACTGAGACACTAGTGACTGATTCCTAATTCATCCTTCTCTCTTGTTCTAGTGGCCTCTCTGGCCCAGCCTGCCTTTTCTCATCTCTGTTTCTCATTGTGCCTCAGTCCTGTTCTCCTTTTCATCTCATAATCAAGACTCTGCTGCATATTTATCTTGCACATGGGCCCACAGGAGCACCCTTAGAGCACCAGTATCTGCAGCTTTTCCTCAGTTTCCCTCTGTGTTGCTTACTGCAAGTTCCTGAGAAACAATCTGTTTTGCCCAAGCCCATTTTTCGAATCTAGCGTACACTGTCACTAATTCAATAAGCCATGTAGAGCAGGGAGAATTAGGTATTTTATTGCCCACTCAGTAGAAGCTCTTGGTAGGGCTGACTTTCTAAGGCAAGGTTTGGAATGGACTAGCACCAGAAACCTTGCTAGAACAGACATTATGATGGAAATGAACTGGGCTGCAGGGTGGGAATGTGTTTCATGCTACTTCTAGAAATGCTACTATTTAGTTACAGAATCTTAGGTAATCCCAGGTTTAGGTCCCTTTGTTATAAATGAAACTAGTTAGACTACTAGATGACTATTAATATCTGTTTCAGCTCTAATTGACTGGACAATAGGAATAAATTATGTTCATATAAGTACCAGGACTGAATGTAACCATTTTGTAATGGCTTGGTTTGTCTTATTGACACCAGAGAGTAGAGATGTCCTCTCAATAAGTTTGGCCATAAGTTTAACAAACATTGGCATCTTTGTTATAATAGGTTTGTATGGCTGGACTACTTACGTACAAGAGCACTCTATTTAGACTTAGAAATATGGTTCAATACTTATTTATGATTCCCATTGTTTGTTTGTATAGGAAAATATTTTCTTGTGAAAATCCCACTTCACATTAGCAACACTTTATTCTATTCATACCTATGACTATAGCAGAAGTAAGGAGCAATGTAGAGAAAAAAAATTCAACTCTTCCAGTTCATATGTAAACATTTGTAAAACATATAAATAACATAATTTATAAGGTAGAGTTAATGAATGTAAAACTATGTTATGTATAAACATAAAAAACAACTTTATATTACCAACACAAATTCATCCATTCATGCGCATGCACACATGCACAATGCTCTTATATAGTCACACAAAAACTGCAATATAAATGAAATAACTCAAATACAAAATAAGCATTCTCTGATCACAATGCAATAGAACCAGGAAGGAAGGAAGGAAGGAAGGAAGGAAGGAAGGAAGGAAGGAAGGAAGGAAGGAAAGAAGGGTAAGGAAGGAAGAAAGATAAATTTCCTTACTAAAAATAATTAAATCTCTTCAATGACTATTTTGTCAAAGAGTAAGGAAAATCTAAATGTTTAGTTTTCCAGAATGTAATTAAGTAATTAGTTACAATGCTGCACATTAAAATATACACTAATTCAGTTAGAACAGGGCTCAGAACAAAAACATTTCTTAAATCCTCATGTTTTTAAAAAGAATGAAAATAAATTAATCAAGCATTTTTTTAAATGTTAGAGAAATAAGTAATAAAATCCCAAAGAGAACATAAATATAAAGAAGGAAGCATAAATAAACCAAATAACTGCTTCTCAAAGAAATAAATAAACCAAATAACTGCTTCTCAAACAATGAACTAAATAAAACAGCTAGTTTTATAAGAAAAACTCATACAAAGCACATAGACACAAAAGAAAAAATTGTAAGAAGACAAGAATGACAGAAGGAAATTAAAAAAAAAATATATATATATAATTGTCTACTTTGCTCAACAAAATCTGATTTGATACAGGAAATCTATGTGGCAAAAATAATTTTCAAAGAAAATATAATTTATCCCAAATTACTCCAGATAGACAGATTCTAAAAGACAATTAGTTCAGTTTCAACATCTAAAGAACTTGAAAGCCATCATTCCTGTACTTACAAGAAGAAAAAGAAAATGAAAGACTAACAATTAATGTCTTTTCTTAGAGTCACCAGAGAGAACTGAAGTTGTAGGGTGAACAGCCACCCCAAAAGCTAGGGGCAGGAGAGTAAAACAGAGATCTGAGACCAGTTTACCTGAAGCAGAAGCTGATTGAGCCATTAAATAATAGGAACACTAATATGGTAAATTTTATAAACTTTTGGGGGCTAAATGGGGACAAACTTGAGAATGAAGAACTGGTAGGGGCCCAGACTTGGGGAGGATTCTCACACTTTCATGGGTTTTACCTCCAGGGACTCCACCAAGTTTTCATGGTGAAAACTGGAAGAATAAGAAAATACTCTCATCTCAAGGAGAGGGGAAAGTAACCATCTTGAAAGAGCCCAGAACATTCCTAATAACAAAACTGTTTTCCGAGAAATACTACTGTAACAGAGACTTATCTGACATCAGAGGAGTACACTTTGCCAATATGAGCCCCCTTTTATCTTCTCTCATATAAAATGAAGGGGAAAAAGTCTAAGAAATGCTTCTGAAAATCATAGCCCAGAAACTCAGTCAGGCTTGGTCTTAGTCCATTTGTGTTACTATAAAGGAATACGTGAGGCTGGGTAATCTATAAAGAAAAGAGGTTTATTTTGGCTCACAGTTCTACAGGCTATACCAGAAGCATGGCACCAGCTTCTGCTTCTGGTGAGGGCTTCAGGCTGCTTCCACTCATAGTGGAAGAGGAAGGGGAACTGGCATGTGCAAGATCACAGGGCAAGAGAGGAAGCAAGAGAGCAAGGGTGAGGCACCAGGCTTTAGAAAACAACCAACTCTCAGAGGAACTAATGGAGCAAGAACTCACTCCCCTACCCCTGGGAGGACAGTGATCTATTCATAATTTGATCTCCAACACTGGAGATCAAATTTCAACATGACTTTTGGAGAGGCCAAATATCCAAACCATAACATTCACCAAAAAACTGAGGATAAAGCATAATATTGTAGAACACTTCTGTCCAAATCTTACTACAACATTGACAGGGATTCACTAGATTGCAACAGATACAAATTACAGACTGTATTTAACAAAGAGTTCTGAGAGAAACTCATAAAGGGAACTAGAAAAAAAAACAGAGGCTGGGTGCGGTGGCTCATGCCTGTAATCCCAGCACTTTGGGAGGCTGAGGCAGGCAGATCACAAGATCAGGAGATCGAGACCATCCTGGCTAACATGGTGAAACCCCGTCTCTACTAAAAAATATTTAAAAAATCAGCCCGGCGTGGTGGCAGGCGCCTGCAGTCCCAGCTACTCGGGAGGCTGAGGCAGGAGAATAGCGTGAACCTGGGAGGTGGAGCTTGCAGTGAGCCGAGGCCACTGCACTCCAGTCTGGGCAACAGAGATTCTGTCTCAAAAAAAAAAAAAAAAAAAGCAGAGAAAGAGCATTATGAATAAGTAAAGGGAACATTAAATAATTTATTGTTCTTTATTCTAGTAATAATAGCAACAATGCACTGGGTGACTATAGCATATAGATACGTGAAACAAACAAAAATGATGGCATAAGGGATGAGAAGGAAGAATTGGGAATACTCTGCTATAAGGTGCCTGCATAAGCCATGAAGCAGCATAGTATGATTTTAAACAGACTTAGATTAGTTGTAAATATATATTGCAAACTCTAGGGAAACTACTAAAAAATAAAAGAAGCATAAGTGATATTTCTAATTGTTTATTTTGCCATGATCTTCATTATCCTTCACAAAAAATGATATTGTTTACAAAAGGAGAGGAAATCAAATGATATAAAATGCTCAATTAAAACCAGAAATACAGAAAAATAGAAGTTACAAAAGAAATGGTACACATGCAACAAATAGAAACAATTACAAACATGGAAGACATCAATTCAACTATATCTACAATCACTGCAAATGTAAATGGTCCAAATACACCAATTAAAAGTGAAAGACTGACAGAGTGGATTAAAAATACAGACTCAATTATATGTTAGCTACAGAAACCCACTTTAAATATAAAGGCACAGGTAGATTAAAAGTAAACAGAGAAGGATATGTCATGCTAACACTAATCAGAAGCAAGCTGAAGCAGCTGGCTATATTAATTTCAGACAAAGCACAATTCAGAATAAGGAAAATTATCAGGAATAAGGAGAAGCATTATTTAATGATAAAGTGGTCAATTCTTTAAGAAGATATAACAGTTATCATATGCATGCACCTAAGAATAGAGTGTCAAAATAAGCGTGGTAAAAACTGATAGAACTGCAAAGAAAAACAGACAATTTCACTGGTATAGTTGGAGATTTCAACATACCTCCATCAGTAATTGACACATCTGGCAGGCAGACAATCACTAAAAATATAGTTAAACTGAACAGCACCATCAGTCAACTGGATGTAATTGACATTTATTGACTGTATAATTCAATATCAGCAGAATACACATTCTTCTCACCTCACATTAAACATCCACTAAGACAGACCATATTCTGGGCCATAAACAAAGATCAAAAAAATTTAAAAGAATATAAATTATACAAAGTTTTCTCCCAGATCACAATGGAATTAACTAAAAAAGATAAATTAGCTAAAAAGATAGCTAGAAAATCTAAAAATAGTTGGAGCTTAACCAATACACTTCCACCTTAGGAAAGTAGAGAATAAAGAGAAGATTAAGACTAAATAATGCAGAAGAAAGGAAATGATAGATATTAGAACAGAAATCAATGTAATTTAAAATAGAAAATTAAACGAGAAAATAAATGAAACTCAAACTCGCAAACTGGGTCACTGGAACTGTCTCTATCTATCTATCTATCTATCTGTCTATCTATCTATCTCTGCCATGATAACTAATACAAAAGAGATACAACACAAATTACTAATATCAGAAATTGGGGTCATTATTACTCATTATATGATCACTGAAAGACTATTAAAGAAATGCTACAAACAATACCATATGCATAATTTTGATAACTGAAATTTACCAATTCCTGGATAGAAACAACCTAACAAAAGCTTGTCTGACAAGGACATAAACTCATTCACACAAGAGGATAATCTAAGTATAGATATATAATTAATATATACATAATAATCTAATTGATCTGTATCTATTAAAAATTAAATCAATAAATAATACCGCTACCAAAAAGAAAACACATAGGTGGTTCAGAAGTGAAATCTACCAAATGTTTTAAAAACGAAATACTAGATTTCTGTATCAGACGTCCCCAACCCTTTGGGCACCAGGGACTGGTTTTGTGGAAGACAATTTTTCCAAGGACCAGGGTGTGAGAATGGTTTCTGGAAGATTCCAGCACATTACTTTTATTGTGCACTTTATTTCTATTATTATTACATTGTAATATATAATGAAATAATTATACAATTCACCATAATGTAGAATCAATCAGTGGGAGCCCTGAGCTTGTTTTCCTGCAACTAGAGGGTCCCACCTGGGGGTGATGAGAGACAGTGACAGATCATCAGGCATTAGATTCTTATAAGGAGCATGCAACTTAGGTCCCTCACATGTGCAGTTCACAATAGGGTTTATGCTCATATGAGAATCTAATGCCACTGCTGATCTGACAGGAGGCAGAGCTCCGGCGGTAATGCCAGGGATGGGGGAGCAGCTGTAAATACAGATGAAGCTTTGCTCACTGCTCCCTGACCTGCTGCTCACCTTCTGCGGTGTGGTCCAGTTTCTAACAGGCCACAGAAGGGTACTGGTCCTGGGGGTTGAGGATCCCTGCTCTATCTTCTTTACTAGAAAATAGAAGCAGATGGAACACTTCTTAACACATTCTATAAGGCAAGCATGTCCCTCCTAACAAATTCATATAAAGACATTGCAAGAAAGAAAAAAAAATACAGACCTATATCCCTATAAATATAAATGCAAAAATCTCAACAAAATTTTGGCATTCAATCTAACAAGGTATAGGAAGAATTGTATATATCATAATCAAGTGCTATTAATTTTAGATATGCACAACTGGCTCAAGATACAAAATTAACATAATTAATTACATCAAAGGGTTAAAAATAAAAATTATATAATCATATCAATAAATATAGAAAAAGAATTTGATTAAACCCAACTCCCATTCATGATAAAAACTCTCATAATGGTGGATGTGGTGGTTCATGCCTGTAATCCCAGTGCTTTGGGAGCACATTGATTTTTGCTGAAAGAAGAGTGGCTGCACTGCCTCCTGCTGAGTTTGGTCACAGGATTATTTGCCGTAGGTACCAAGTCATGGTACTTGATGACCATCAATTCCTGTGAATCTGTGCCAGAGTACAGCAAAAATCTCCCTTCTAAAATGCTCATCTTTTTTCCAGAATTGGGGGAAAAAACAAATCATTTTTGTGGGTTGGACACTTTCATATTTTAAATAATAATACAATATATGGATGGAGTCCTTTTATTTTGGGTATCTGGAACATTTTGCTTTGTTCTATTCAACATAAAAATCATGAATGATACTCTCAAGCAAAATTCTCAGAATGCAAAGCTTGCCTACATAGGATCAGAGAAGAGAAAAGATGGCTGCCTCCCTTCAGGACTTCACGACTATTATAATTTCAGCACATCCTCAGACTACAAAATCTTAGACCAGGGTTCCTATGGGATTCAGAGGAAGGACTGGAATTAATCTGTTGGCAACACCAGCACAAGTACGAATAGTAAAATTATGAATTGATTTGACTACAAAAATAGGTCCATCAAAATGCCGGCTGCCAGAGCTTACCTCTGCTCAAATCACAAAATAGACACTGATGGTTTGTTCAGTTAATAAATACTTAGAAGACATAACCATGAGTTAGAGCCCTTAACACACTGAGAAGACAAATAATTTAGATCCTGCCTAGAAATGGATTTCCTTTACAGAATCTTCTCTCTTTTGTTCTGTATTTAAAAATAAAGGGTATTAGTTTTGTTTCCACACATACTTAATCAAATGAAAAGCAGAGAAGGTGGGAGGGTTGGAATTAAAGATGCTCCTGTAATCAGGTGCCCTTTTTTCTTTTTCTTTTCTTTTCTTTTTTTTTTGTTTTGAGACTGAGTCTTACTCTATCACTCAGGCTGGAGTGCAGTGGCATGATCTCAGCTCACTGAAACCTCTGCCTCCTGGGTTCAAGCGATTCTCCTGCCTCAGCCTCCCAAGTAGCTGGGACTGCAGACACATGCCATCATACCCAGGTAATTTTTGTACTTTTTTTTTTAGTAGAGATGGGGTTTCACCATGTTGGCCAAGCTGGTCTCAAACTCCTGAACTCAAGTGATCTTTGATCCATCAGCCTTGGCCTCCCAAAGTGTTAGGATTACAAGTGTGAGCCACCAAGCCCAGACTAGTCTTGTGTTCTTATAACGCAGTATGTATTCACACTCCTGTCTTCCATCAGACTAGATATGCTTGGAGGGCAGAAAACATATTCTACAATCCCTGAGTATCCTGCTGCTAGCAAAGTGCCCCAGAGAATTAATAAATGCTTATAGAAAGAAAAATGAATACGTATGAAAAGAAAGTATTTGATTCAAAAAGAATAATTTGAAGGGAAAAGACAGATTCAAGAGCAAGATCATCTGAACTGCGATGTGAACATGTAAACGTGGGAATCAGAATGATTCATGCTGGGGTGGAGTGGCCACAGCCAATGATATAGTCCATGCTAAGCTCCACAAGTGTGACCATCTTGAAGTAATAGGATTTTTAGTGATCGTAATGGGATTTCAAAGTCAGATTCTAATTCTGCCACCACTCACAGCATGCTTTTTGGATCACAGGATCCCTATGAGCTGTAGGTGTCTCTGTGGATGGAAACAAATATTATTTGACCCTTAATAATTTGCCACAATTATTTGGATTTTGGTACAGAGAAAAGAGAGCAAATAAGGAGGTTGAGAGAAGGAATCTCCTCTGTGGTGAGTGAGAATGCAATGTAACCCTGGGAATTCACAGATATAGCTGTCCAGCAAGTCTGCTGGGATAGAGGTGGAGGGGAGCGGCTTTCTTCTTCTTCTGGAAATGCAATGATGTGCTGCAGGCCCAGAGTCTCCAGGAGTTGGACAGTGGGCCTTTCAGTCAATCATAGAAACAACTGGCACCCAAGTCCAGATTGCCTGGCCACTAAAAGTCTATTTCTCCACTCCAAAATTTGCTTTCTCAGGCCTGTAATATAAAGAAGGAGATCTCCAGAGGGAGTGTTCTTGCATTAGAAAGCAACCCCAGCCATGCCGAGCAGATGCCCTGAACTAGTGTGCACCTCTGTGGAATTACAGAAGCCAGAAGGCAGAGAGGATGGTGTACCTACATCTCTACTTTGCAGACTGTGGCCTGGTGAGTTTTCCCTTTTCCCAACAAAGATTTTCTTAATCCATGCCTAGTGCTGGTGTGATGTTGAGTATTATTTTCTGCCCTCTTTTGTGATAGATGATAGTCCTGGAGGGACCCACCTGATACAACATCTGTTAAGTCTTCCCCAAGAGCTGGAGATGTCAGACACTGAGTGGTATTATCTCTCTCTCTCTTTCATCCTTCATCCTACTATGGCTTGCCTCTCTTGATAGTGTCTGACAACCTGTAGGCATCTTACTTCTATAGGTAGCCATTCATTAGATTATACAAGTTCTGTCCACAGATCTGCATGCTGAGAAAGGAGCAAAGGTTCTTGGGTATACTGATTACATGGCCTGCATCTGGATGGAATTTAAGGTGGAAAGCTCATATCTTTTCTGTCCTGATTGTCTTTGAGGTTTCCTATTACTTGGTGGGTTGTTTAGTGAATCTGTGAGTTGAGTTGAACAAATATTCATTTATTTAGTTTAATAAATAATATAAAGAAGAATATTTCATCTCTACCTGCCTTTCTGCTATTCTGTCATTTGTGTTCTATTTGGATAAATATATTAATTAGCATGTTAATGCTAATGAATTGCTACATTTGAGACTTAGAGTTTGAGAGGTGGTTTATTTCATTATATTGTAAAAAAGGATAACACAATACTAATGTGGCCATCACCAGTTTTCTTCAACAAGAAAACAATGGAGTAGTGGCTTCTTTAGAAAATCTGCAGGTAGGGGTTTGAAACTTTGTCTTTCAAGATGTAGGAAAGAATCCACTTTTCTCTTTGATCAATCACGGATGACTTAGCCCTTTTTAGTTAAAGTCTTTGAAAATCCTTCAGTGTAATTTCCATTATGTTCTTAATACTTTTAG
This sequence comes from Homo sapiens, assembly GCF_000001405.40. Classification (NCBI taxonomy): domain Eukaryota; kingdom Metazoa; phylum Chordata; class Mammalia; order Primates; family Hominidae; genus Homo; species Homo sapiens. The sequence continues at coordinate 107,453,203 of NC_000002.12, forward strand.
ACATTAAGGGGATTAAGAGAAAGAGAAAGACAATTTTCTTTCTTCTCTGTATCAAGCACGTTAGGTTGTTTGGAAATAGTTTAAGAGAAAATAACTGGGAGGGGCTGCATCTACCCGAGTTTAATAGCTTTGCCATGATATAATTTTCAACACTGAGATTACTTAAATATTTTTCAGATTACCATAGTTATAAACTGGATTTAGTGAAAGATAGAAAGATATATAACCCAGTAATAAGATTCACTTCCTAGGTAGAGGCTTTTACTCCCTGGGGCAGAAAGAAAATCATGAAGATAGCATTTTTCAGAGTTCTAGGAGACATAGTTCATATTGTCTTTCCAAATTCAAAGAAAGCATCGACTTTGCAGACTTAAAGATATACCAATTCATTGATTATCTATATTCAGAAACAGAATAGGAATTTAGATTGGTTCCATAAACTTTAAAGTATACCAAGGCAGAGCATGGCTGGTTTACTGCTTTTCTTTCTTTTTTCTTCCTTTTTAACTCTTTTCTCCATCGGTATATCCATTTTTTATTCTCGTTTTTATTTGCCTTTTGCATTATTTTACCTACTATATCATTTTATTAAATATGACCAAATAGAGTCTCTCATTTTTTTATTATTCCAAAAGCAAAGTAAATTTCATTCTAGTGTTTACCAGCAAAGCTCCTGCAAGAGCATCTATGTAAATGCTATCCATGTAACTAAATGCATTCCACATTTTGCCCAAACTAAATTAAATACCAACAGAAATCTTGCCAAAAATAAAAAGAAAGTGTTAAGACTATTTTCTATTAATCTTTTTATTACTCCTTATTATAATGGTATATATGTACAAAGACATACAGAACTAAGAGTACAGCTCAAAGTGAATAAATCTGTGTAACCACAAATTAAGAAACAAACCAGCACCTCAGGAGAACCATCTGCCCTCCCACGATATACCCTCACCTCTCCCCAAAGGTAAACTGAATCTTAACTTTTCTTACATTAGATTAATTTTGCCAGCTTTTGGAATTATAATGGAGAAATAGAGTACATATTGCTTTGTTGTGGCTTCTTTTATTCAATATTAAACTTACATAAGATTCATCTATGTTGGTGTTTGTAACAGTAGTTCACCAACTCTTGTGATCTGGAATATATAGTATTCCATTTTAAAATATACCAGAGTTTACATATTAATTCTACGGTTAATGTACATTTTGGATATTTTTAGTGTTGGGCTATTACGAGTCCATAAATGCATTGTCATCAGGTATATAGTTCCAGAAATGGAACTACTGGGTCATGGATAATGCATAAGTTCATTTTTCTGATATTCCCAAAAGATTTTCAAATAATTTTACTAATTTACATAGCAAACCAGCAGTATATGAGAGTGCAATTATTTCATGTTCTCAATGCTTTATATTTTGATTTTTTTAAATTTTAGCTATTCTTTTGGGTTTGTAATTGTATATTTCATTGAGCACTTTTTCATACAATTATTTAGATACGCTGATCCTTTACAAATTCTTGTTTAAGTCTTTTGCCCATTTATTTATATCATCTTTATTAAATTTTTATATTGATCTATAGGGGTTGTTTTAGATTCTGTGGGTCTTTTTGTCAATATGTATATTGTGAATATATTTCTTTTCTCACTTTTTGCATTGCATTTTAAACCTTATAATGGTGAATTCTGATAATAAGAGATCTTCATTAAGTTCAACTTATCAATATTGCCCTTTGTAATAGTGCTTTGTGTGTTCTGTTTCAGAAATCTTTCCACAACCCCAGGCCATGAAAATACTCACTTGTGTTATTTTATAGCAACATTGTTTTACCTTCTACCTTTAAATCTCAATTCACATGGAGATTACTTTTTCATGTGTTTGATATGAGTAGTGGTCAAGGTAAATTTTTTAAATAAATTAGTACATTTTATGCTTTAAAGCAGTTTTAGGTTTATAGAAAAATTGAGCAGAAAGTACACAGTTCTCATACACTCCTTTGCCTCCCCCTCCCTTTCCCCTATTAACAACTTGCATTAGTTTGGTATATTTATTACAATCGATGAGTCAATACAATATTACACTGTTGTCTCCTTCTGGCTGTGCACCAAGCTTGGCTCCCATCTTCACTGCTTCATGTCATCCTGTCCAGGAGGCCCTAGTTGACTCTGCCACATGCAGATACTGGGAGGCCCAAAGGAAGATGCTAGAACACCTGGAAGCTGCTAAATGATTACTCAAAAGGTGAACCAAACTCTTTTATTATACCTTACTAATATTTCACATATAAGAGCCAAGATGGCCGACTAAATGCAGCCAGGGAGAGCTTCTCTCACCTGAAGATCAGACCATGAAGACCAGCACGCTCTCAGAAAGAAAGCATTGAGAGTGGACAAAAGGAGGGTGCAGACCATGGACTGATGCCGGAGGAAGATGGGAACCTTGCATGGGGTTTCCGAGCAACAAGACTCCTTACAGCCCTCAAGTGGTTCCTGGGGAAGGTGTGAGCTAAATAGGCATGGAGTGGCCTACTGTCGCCATGAACCTCTGGAATCCTAGCTGCAGAAGACCTCATAACCCCCACAGACATTTGAGCTGGCAGGGAAAGCTGCTTGGAAGGTTGGCAGGGACAGAAATCAAGCCTGTAGGGAGCCCAAAGGGTTTGGCATGAATACAACTGCAGTGGAGCACAGCTAAGGATGCCCATATGCCAAGGATTGCCATGCTCCTCTAGGTGGCTTTGGCTTTTGTTGACTGTCAAATATGAACAGAACAGGGCCATCTTGCCTGTGGGACAGGACAGCCACTCTCATAGCTCTTTTGCTGGCAGATCCCACCTTCTTATTCAAATTCATGAAATTCAGGTAACTCCTGTAAGATACTACTCAAGATGACCATCCCCAAGACACAGTCCTCAGATTCTGCAAGGTCAATGTGAAAGAAAAAATATTAAAGGCAGCTACAGAGGAGGGGCAGATCATCTACAAAGGGAATCCCACCAGGCCAACAGGGGGTCTTTCATCAGAAACTCTGCAAGTCAGAAGAGATTGAAGAACTGTATTCAGCATCTTAAAGGAATGAAATTCCAACTCAGAATTTTATATCCAGCCAAGCTGAGCTTCAAAAATAAAGGAGAAATAAAATCCTTTTCAGACAAATAAATGCTATAGGAGTTTGTTACCAGCAGACTTGCCTTACAAGAAGTCTTTAAGGGAGTGCTAAACATGGAAACAAAACACTGTTACTGGCCACCATAAAAACACACTTAAGTACATAGACCAAAGACACTGTAAAGCAACTACACTGTCAAGTCCACATCACAGCCAGCTAAGAACACAAAGACAAGATGAAATCCACACATATCAATACTAACCTTAAATGTTAACAGGCTAAACACACAACTTAAAAGGCACAAAGTTGCAAGTTGGACAAAGAAGCAAGACCCAACTATATGCTATCTTAAAGGGGCCCAAATAACATGAAATGACATCCATGCATATAAAAGTTATGTTTACACTATATTATAATCTATTAATTGTCGAATAACATTATTTCTAAAAAGCAATGTTCATATCTTAATTAAAAAATAATTTATTGCTAAAAAAAATATGCCAGGTCATCTGAGCCTCCAGCGAACTGTAATCTAAATTTTGCTGGTGGAAGGTTTTACCTCAATATTGATGGTGGCTGACTGATCAGAGTGGTGATTTCTGGCAGTATGAGTGCTTGGGACAATTTCCTAAAGTAAGACAATAATGAAGTTTGCTGCATTGATTGCTCCTCTCATGGAATATTTCATTGTAGCATGAAATGCTCTTTGACAGCATTTTACCCACTATAGAACTACTTTCAAAATTGGAATGAATCATTTTAAATCCTGCCACTGCTTTTTAAAATATGTTAATGAAATATTTTAAATCATTTGTGATCATTTAAATAATGTTCACAACATCTTCACCAGGAGGAGATTCCATCTCAAAAGAAACCAATTTCTTTGCTCATGCACAAAAAGCATCTCTTTATCCATTCAGGTTTTCTGGTGATATTGTAGTAATCAGTCACACCTTTAGGCTCCATCTCCAATTCTAGTTGTCTTGCTATTTCTACCACATCTGAAATAGCTTACTCCACTGAAATATTGAGCCCCTTAAAGTCATCCATAAGAGTTGGAATCAACTTCTTTCAAACTCCTGGTAAGGTGGATATTTTGACTTCTCCTCCGTAAGTCATGAATGTTCTTAATGGCAACTAGAAGAGTGAATCCTTTTCAGAAGGTTTTCAACTTACCTTGCCCATCCGCATTTGCAGAATTGCTATCTACAGGAACTATAGCCTTACAAAATGTATTTCTTAAATAATAAGACTTGAAAGTTGAAATTACTGCTTGACACATGGGCTGCATAATGGATGTTGTGTTAGCAGGCATTAATACAAGATTAATCTACTGTACATTTCCACCAGCATTCTTGGGTGACCAGGGGAATTCTCAATGCTTAGTAATGTTTTGAAAGAAATCTATTTTTCTAAGCAGTAGATCTCAATGAGGGCTTTAACACTTCAGTAAACCACGTGGTAAACAAATGTGCTGTCATCCAGGCTTTGTTGTTAAATGTATAGAGAAAAGGCAGAGTAGATTCAGCATAATTTTAAGGGCTCTTAGATTTTTGGAATGGTAAATAGCAATGCCTTCAACTTAAAAATCACCAGCTGCATTAGCCCATCACAAGAGAGTCAGACTGTCCTTTGAAGCTTTGAAGGTAGGACCATGCTTGAAAACCAGTGATGTAGATTGAAGATTGATTGAGTATATTTGAAATTTTGTTTGTTTTTAAGTAAAAAATGCCTCTACCCGTGATGAGGAAGAGACTTGGACATACATCCTTAGATTTACATTTGTATTTGGGCCCTGTGGTAACCCCACTTCCTTACCCAGATGTGTCAACATGTAACATAGAAGGGCTCTTAAGCTTCCTGCTGCTTTGGCTTTTCACAAATAACTTTTTTTTTTTTTTTGAGACAGTGTCTCTCTCTGTCACCCAGATTGGAGTGCAGTGGCCTGATCTCAGCTCACTGCAAGCTCTGCCTCCCAGGTTCACGCCATTCTCCTGCCTCAGCCTCCCGAGTAGCTGGGACTACAGGTGCCCACCACCACGCCCAGCTAATTTTTTGTATTTTTAGTAGAGACGGGGTTTCACCGTGTTAGCCAGGATGGTCTCGATCTCCTGACCTCGTGATCTGCCCACCTCGGCCTCCCGAAGTGCTGGGATTACAGGCATGAGCCACCGTGCCTGGCCCACAAATAACTTTTAAATAACATTTAACAATGGGGACTCAGTAGGTTTGTAGTTCTTAAACATTTTATATCTGGAGAACTTAGGTTTAATCCATACTTCTTTAAAGATAAGAAGTGAAGATGAAGGGTGACAAATTCAGGGAAATATTTTAAAGCCTAAATTAAAAGAAGATTTGAAAAAATTTAACCTTCAGTAATACATCTAACGTTTGTGAGTAACCAAAAATGTCTTGAACAAATGAATTTTTCCCAAACTCACAATTTGTTTTTACCATTAATAGATGGGGCCCTTTTACTATACAGTGTTTCCTCATTAAAGATTCCATTATTTTTAAGTACTGCCTTTTTCTAGTTTAAAATGAAGAATTCCGTTCTTCATTGAAGGAGAAAATTTCATTTATTTCATATTTAAACCAAATGTGCTATGCTAGGTCTATTTAGGAGTTCCCTCAGTGACTTAGTCATAATTGATTGAAATATTTTTTTGCAGAGCCTGATCCAGGCTAAGTCTGGAAATGCAATGAGTTACAGAACAGTTCCTCTTGATCTAAACAGTAGTCAGACTATGAAAATCAGTGGAGCTTGAGGCTAAGTTAGATCAGAGGATTAATGCTCAGACCCTTAACTTTGTGGACTTCATGACTCAGAGAATCCTGGTGTGATACTTAAAGGCAAGGCCAGCAATCTCAACAGGGCCCTTAGTGAACACTGTTCTGGAAAATTGAATATTTGTAGGCATTTAGCCCCTAGGAGGAAGGGGTCTGAAGGGCCCTTAGAATGCACCTTTTATTGGTGGCTGAAGCTCAAGCTGGATAAATGACTTATTCTTAGTCCCAAATCTGGTTGGTGGAAATAATAGTGTCAGAATGTATATTTTCTGACTTCTAGTCCATGTCTCTTTCCACTAGACCTTGCCACAGCAGGGCATGAGAGGCCGTCTGGGGGTGGGCCACTCACAGACAGAGGAGTTAGAATTAAGGGCGTCCTCAAGCCGAGAAGTCCAGAGCCAGAAAAGGCCAAGCAGAGATCTCTAGGGTGTAGCATCACTTTCCTATACAAAGTTAAAATGGAAAAAATTTTGTCAAGAAAAATGCAACTTTTTCTGGTAAGGGACTAAGAGAAAAGGAAGATGGGTATGGCTAATGGGGAGGAAATGAGTTAGGAATTAATATCTGAGTGTTTGGAAATGTCAGAGGATAAGAAGGTAAAATCTGGGCTGCTGTGATTATCATTTAGTAACCTTAAGCAACAGAGAAAAATACAAGCTCATGCAGAAATACATTCAGTAGGGGATTGTGGGCAAATATTAATACAAACTGTTCCTGTTTCAAGACATTTATATCAAGGTCTTGGTGAGTCTAATAGAAAATGGAGCGATAACAAGTAATTCCAAAAGAAAAAATATTCTGCTAAATCTATGGTTAAAATGGATGTAGTTTTCAGTCAGAACAACTGTACTGTATGAAACACTGCCAAACTGTTATAATCCTTGGAGGAGGATTGCGATTTAAACAAAACTATTCAAGAATGTTGATTCTCCAAGAAACAAAAACAAACAAACAAAATAGATAAAGGTGTTAAGAACCTTGTAATGAAGCAGAAAGAAAATAATCTCGTGCTGGGTTTCCATAATGTTGTATGTCTTCTGTAGGAACGAAAAGTGGCTGTGCGTACCAAACAAACACAAATCGTATCAACAAAAAACATTCCAAATGTTTCCAAAAAACTGAACATTTGATCAAATGTCTGGATGTTTGGCTATATTTTCTTAACTGAAATGTGAGGTATGGCAATGCAGGTGCAAGCTGTTCACATTTTTAAAAATATCTTGATAACTAAACATATTAATCACCAGCCATGAGTGCCTCATCAATCCCTGATATCAAGGTCATTAAGGCAATTGATCTTTGGCAGGCTGTTGATTGATACAGCTCATTGATAATTTTTTATCTGGTATTAATTTGGCTATTAGAGCCACCTTAAACATAAGTATATTCAAATTTCAAGGGTAATATTTGAGAGACTTTTCTCCTAAATGATGATGGGAGAGTAGGGGAAATAAATGTCAGATCAGAAAAATTAAAACTATTAAAATCAAATCATTTACCTCATTATGGCCATTACACTTGATAATGGAACAGGACTGCTGTTCAAATGCAGCATATTATTGAAAATAACCAAAACACTTGCATCATCTCTCACTTTAGAATATACAAAACACTCTCCAATAGAGTACCTTTTTAATATTCTCTATAATCAGGTGTAGTAGTGTGGTATAATATAAAAATGTGTATGTTTTTTGTCCCTGATTCCTGGCACAGAGCTCCTAATACTCTCAGGATTTCCTGGGCAATAAAAGTGTCTTCTGTTATTCATAAGGAGTCCCCTTTGAGCACATCTGAATTTATGCTGATAAGATGACTTAGGGTAGGATCCCCAACTATTTTCAGGACCAGGCTGACTACCAGATAGACCAAGTGATTAAAAGAGTTGGTACTTTCGGCCCCATCCCCACCATCTAAGGAGGACCCAGGGATTGTTGTTTGAGTGCTATAAAACCTTTTAAACAATGAGATTCAAAAAGCTTCCAGGTTGGTGACATTATGTACTGGAAGGGTGGCACACCTGGAGAGGGGTTGACAGCTCCATGCCTTTACTGATGTAATTCTTCCATCTGGATGTTCCTGATTGCATTCTTTATCATAAACTGGTAATAGTAAGTACCTTTTTTTAGTTCTATGAGTTATTCTAGCAAATTAAAAACATGAGGAGGGAGCAACAAAAACCCTCAATTTATAACTGGTTGGCCAGAAATACACGTGGCCACCTGGGACTTGAGAGTGGCATCTGAAGTGGGGGTAGTCTGTCGGACTGAGACCTTAGCATATGGGGTCTGCATGGATGCCAGATAATTAGTGTCAAAACAGAGTTGAATGGTGGGACAACCAGTTGGTGTCTAGAGAGTTGGAAAATTGACTGGTGTGAAAAAAAAAAATCCCACAAATTTAGTGTCAGACTTGACAAACTCTGGCTGACGGTGTTAATGACATCTTCTTTCAAATTGCAGATGGCAGGTGTGTGTGCGTGTGTGTGTGTATTTGGGGCAGGGTGTGGGCAGTCATGGGAAATAATTCAGAGTCAGGCTAAATATAAATAGCTATACTAAATGGTAGCAAAAAATACCATGGACCAAGTGGCTTGTATGTGTCAAACTTACGAATTACTAGATAATTACATCGTGAGGCAGAGTCTTCTTAAGGCAGTGGTTGAGTTAAAAATGAAACTCCAAGCTACAAGGAATGCTTTAGATCACACTTAGAAAACTTGAAATGGAAAATCACAGTGATTTTCCTCAGACATTTTTTATTGTAGCTGCTTTTTAAAATATGCAAATATTGTCTAATGATATTAGCTTCATCTTACTTAGCTCATCCATGTGTGACACATTAAGTGTCATCTTAAACTGATAAATCCGGGCTACGATTTCAACACGGCGGCCCCTTGTGCATTTCTTTCCTCCGGAAATGATCTCAGAGAGCTTCAGATGGAACATAACTCTAATGGCAAGCTGAACAGATAGGTTCTGTATTCATTTTCAAAATCTGTAAACCCTGGTGGATGGCCTTCTTTGATTGCTATAACAACACACCAAAAGTGCAAATCTGACTAACCGTTCCTCATAATGTCCTTAGTGCTTTCAATACATGTAACCCTTAACTCACTTGAACAGCTCCCAATACTCTTGATGGTAACTTCACCTCCTTGGTCAGCTCCAGAAGGGCCTTCATTTTCTGCCCCACGCCCAGTCTTGAGCTTCATCGCTGTCTCTCCATCATGGTGCAATCAAAGCATATGGAGCTAATTGCATTCCTGCATCCTGCTATGCTCCCATATGTTCTCAAGTTGTGCAAGAGTCATTAGATTGTGTGCCTGGAATAAATAGCCTCTTCCATCTCTCCACCTGGCTGACTCCCACTCATCATTCAAACCCAGGTTAGGTGTCATGTTCTCCCATCCTCTGAGAAGCCACCTCTCTCTGCCAGGCTGTGCTCTTGCTCTGTCTCCATAGCTGTTCTTACTTACTGTTGATTCTTACATGGAATTGATGGCATCCTTGCCACTAGAGACTCTGAAATATGTTTAATCGTATGAGTCTGGTGCCTGGCAGCATGACAAAGAGCAGTCAATGAATGGTTGAGTGAATGGATAAAGCCAATATGAAAAAAATTATAGCCTTCTTTCCTAACAGAAATATATTAGTGATATGTTTTTCAGATATGCGGCGACCTAGGTTATTTGTTTGTTTTATTTTTTTAGAGGTGGGGTCTCACTCTGTCACCTATGCTGGAGTGTGATGGTGAGATCATACCTCACTGCAGCCTGGAACTCCTTGAATTCAAGTGAACCTCCTGCCTCAGCCTTGCTAGTGGTGTCTTAGGTTATTTAAAGCACTGTTGACCAAGGATGGAAATGACATAAACAAATTTTACAAATGTCTGTGGCAAATGCCAACTGTGTATGGCACATCTAATTTAACAGAATTTAAAGGCAAAGCATGGTTTGGTGGAGAGTAACAATTATTATTGTATTCTGCCAATGTTTTCAGAATATTTAATTCACGCATTTCAGATAACACAAAGGATCCTGAAATTATATTTTTACTTCTATTTCTGTGCTTCCTCTATATTGGAGCAATTGTGTGGAATGGTAGCACAACAAGGGCTAGTAGAACAGCTGAAGTGTTCATTGAAATGGTCAAGATTGTCTTTAAAGAAAGGAACAATCCCTACAGAACCATATCATGATTTGACAACTTTGCAGCATACTTCTATGGTATAAGTGTTTTCACAACTGTCTATTCAAACTATTTTACGACTTTTCTCTTACAGAAATATCATATGTCCCCATTTCAGATGATAATCTTGCCTTGTAAGAAAACAGAAGCAGGCCGGGCGCGGTGGCCCACGCCTGTAACCCCAACACTGGGAGGCTGAGGTGGGTGGATCACCTGAGGTCAGGATATCCAGACCAGCCTGGCCAACATGGTGAAACTCTGTCTCTACTAATAACACAAACATTAGCTGGGTGTGGTGGTGCATGCCTGTAATCCCAACTACTGGGGAGGCTGAGGCAGGAGAATCATTTGAACCCGGGAGACGGAGGTTGCAGTGATTCAAGACTGCGCCATTGCACTCCAGCATGGGTGATAATAGCGAAACTCTGTCTCCAAAAAAAAAAAAAAAAGAAAGAAAGAAAGAAAGAAAAGGAAACAGAAACAACCCACAACCCAAGGGGAACTTCCTTCTCTTCCTTCTACAAATCTACCAAGACTCCTGCATCTGCTTTCCCTCCTGTAAAAAAGGAGAAAGTACCCACATGGCTATCATTTTTCACTACATGGTAGAAACCATCCCCTTTTACCTTTTCATTAATTTTCTTCTACATTAATTATGTATTTTTATTATTAATGTCTTATGTAATAAACCGCTTTCTATTGGTTTATTCCCATTGTGGTACACTATCTCCCAACTTTAAGTAAATGCATAAGCCCTTCCTAAACCCTACAATTCTTTCCAGGTATTGCCCCATTTTTCAACAGCACTTTACAGCCAAACTTCTTGAAAGAATGATTGATAACTGCTAATTCCACTATTACATCTCATTTTTGCCCAACACACTGCAACCAAGATCTTGATCCCACCGGCTTAAGTCTTGTTTGGTAAAACAGTCAATAATCTTTGTGTCGTATTTGTCAGCACAACTGACTACTCTTCTTAGAATTCTGGGAGAACACACAATCCTGGTTTCTATCAACTTGATAGACTTCCTTCTCAGTCTCTTCAGCTGGTTTCTTCTCTTTTCAATCTCTAGATGATTTGGCTAACAGGCTTACTCTTGAGCCCCCTCCTCTTATCTAATCACCATTTCTCTATATGTAATTTTAACCATAGCATTTTAAAAAAACATATTACACATTTGTTGATGATGCCCAGACTTGTATCTCCAACCTTCAATGGGAATCTCTGTCTCATATACTCAACTTGCCTACTTGAGCTCTCCGTCTTCATGGAGACAAGTAGCTTAATGTGCCACAAATAATCACTTGATTTCATACTTCAAACCTTAAAATTACCTCCCCCACAGTCTCATCTATTTCAGTCAATGGCCCTATCATTTATCCAGTGGCTCAGTGCAGAAATTCAGAAGTCAACATGCTTTTTCTCTTTCCATTGTCCTCTCCATCAAATCTATCAACAAAGCTTGACCCAGAAAATATGTATCATACATGATAGCTTGTCTCCATCTTCACTGCTACCACCCTAATGTAAGCCAATATGGGGGTTCTTTTTTTTTCCTTTTGCAGCCTCCTAACTTATCTTTATTATTTGGCTCCACACAACTGCTGGAGTGATATTTTTAATTGCAAATCAGAATACGGTCCACACCTGTTTAAATTGTTTCAGTGGTTGTCTCTGCACCTGAAGTCAAAATCAAAATTTTTAATGTAATTCCAAAGTCCTCCATGACCTGGCTTCTACCTGCTTTGTCAACTGTGTCTCTAACGACTCTGTCACAGTCAAGCTTAGTGTGGCTGGCCTTCTCATTGTTTTTTATCGAATATATCAGACTTGCTACCACATTAAAGCTGTGGCACAAGTGGTTTCCTCTATGTGGAGTCTTTTTCTACTAGATCTTTACATGGCTGCCTCCTTCAAACATTCATGTCTCAGATCAAATTTAATATTATCAGTGAAGTCTTCCTTGAATATCTGATTAGAGTCTTCCTCCCTTCACCTATCGATACCTAACACCTACTATACCTCCAAGTTTCATATTTTCCTCGCACCATTGTCCATATGTGTTTATGGGTATAAATATAAACACAAACTTAGTGGTGAATATAGATAAGTAACGCATACACACTCCCCAAACAAAATTTAATCTTGGTTGGAAAACACCCAGACCTTGTGCTTTTTTTCCTCTAACCTCAAATATTAAGTTTCCATCTTCTATACGTAGTAGTTGAATCAGGTAAATGACATAATAGATAGAACTTAATGTTCACATCAGAGGCAAATATAATTTTTAAGACACACAGACATCTCTGAGACTTGCTATCTGCTCAGAGAAAAATTACAGGCTGAAAAGATGGAAGGGACAGGAACTTCAATAGAAAATAACAATTAAAGCTTTTAAGAGCCAAGCAAATGGAGAAAGGAAGTAGCATAAAGAATGCAGAGAAAGGCCAGGTGCAGTGGCTCACAATCCCAGCACTTTGGGAAGATGAGGCAGGCAGATCACCTGAAGTCAAGAGTTTGAGACCAGCCTGGCCAACATGGCAAAACCCCGTCTCTACTTAAAATACAAAAATTAGCTGGGTGTGGTGGCACACGCCTGTAATCACAGCTACTTGGGAGGCTGAGTCAGGAGAATCACTTGAACCTGGGAGGCGGAGGTTGCAGTGAGCCGAGATCATGCCACTGCACTCCAGCCTGGGCAATACAGCAAAGACCCCCTCTCAAAAAGAAAAAAAAAAAAAGAATACAGAGAAACACTCGAGGAGGGCAGTCTCAGTAGAACTTGGACAACTGATATGGAAACATCACAGATGCCTGCAGAGAAAAACTCCTTTTTTTTTTTTTAGCTGTCTTTCTCTTTCTATTTCTCCTTGACTGTAATTGAAAGTGGGTGGACATGTGTACATAAACTGCTCAAATCCCTTGGGTCTGATGACACATGTGAGATGAGCTGGAAGTCTCCTCCAAACTAGACTGAAAACCAGGACACAACTGGTGTCCTATTTTTCTTGCAAATAATTGGCTATTTGCAAGAAATAGCCATTTCAACCATGATTCTGCTTTCAAACTTTCCTTAATTGCTGAATACCAATAGACACTGCTTTGTTGAGCATTCCCAAACTGAAGACAGAGGGACCATTTGTTGGCTTCCAAGAGGCTGCTTGCCACGGGCAATGTCAGTGTTCTGGAAGTGTGCATTCTTCCTATCAGAGTGAGCAGAAGAGAGCATTTCAGCAGCCAAAGCACAGTAAAACATTAAGTTGATAGAAGACAATGAGTATAGGATGGCGCATTGGTTCAATACACTGTGGGAATTCATGGATATGCACCAATTGCCTCTTTAGCTGTCCCTCAGAGTGCCCCAGAATTCAGGAAGTATAAAGTCAGGAAAGCACACAGTAAATAACTAGACATTAGACATATCACAGAATGAGATTGCATTGCATTTTTTTTTTGCCCAGGAGCCAACTGCAGTTTCAACAACCTCAGGTAAACTGCTTTTTTGTGCACATCTGAAATCAAGGCCATTCAGAAGCAGTAAGAGCTGGTCAGCACCTGATAGCCTGAAATGGCCATGTGTGCACTTTCACGCTCCAAAATAATTTGATCTGTATAACCTGGGAAAGCAGCTCCTCGTGGGATGAGGAATGTTTATGTAGATTGGTAAAGTAGCACACAGAAGCTGCAAAACTTCAGGAACAGGAAAAATCATGATCAGAGAATAAACTAGTGTTAAATAAGTGAAGTGCTGGGCTATCAGCATGAGCGTAGTGCATGCAAATATGCCTCAGGTAATTTAACACTAATTACTAAAAAGCTGTGTTTTTCTGACCTTCTCTCCCACATTCCTCTCTGCTTATGCATATTTGGCTTTCCTGTATTTCTTTTTCTCGGTTTAGTCTTTATTAGGTCAACTAGGAGAGTGCAACACATGGCTGTGACTGTAATATAAAATGTTGGGCTTATTTGGGGATTTCCATATAGACATCTTCAGCAACTCCAGCAATCCCCACAGGAGGTATAGAGTCTTTTAAATATATGTGTATGCTTAAATATATTCATGTGTTTATTTCTACTAATACCTACACAGTATGACTATTTCAACTTTGCTCTGCTTGTAAATCTAATAGAACAAAATCCAAAAAAAAAGGAAATCAGAGTTACAGTTTATTCAAGCAAGATCTCCATTACAGACTTAAGTGGCCTCTGACCTTCAAGGAGGAATTTCTGCCAACACAGAGCTATGAAAAGCAGATAAGGGATTGAAAAACCTTGCTAAGTTGTCTCTGAGAGTTATTGTAGATAGATGCTATTTGAAAGACTGAAAAGGATTTAAATATGTAACACTGTTGCAATAGTTCTCACTGGATTATGCAAAAGACTTCTCGCTGACTCTTAAGCACAGATTCGTTAATGCTTTGCTCTGTTTACCTCATCTTCCAATATACTATGTGTTTGCTTTTAGCTGGGGTTACCCACTGCTTCCTGAGTCTCCCTTAATCATCTCACACTAGATAACACCTCCATCATGTTGGAAAATAAGAATACAAACTGAAATCCAGTGTTACATTTTTCATCATCAATTGTTGTCAAAACCCAAGTAAGAAGAACATGAAAAGATAATCATTGGCACTGAAGAATATAGCATTCTATTCTTCCGTAATATAGTAAATTTTATTTTTGGCTACATATTACTTATGAGTCTCATCTACTACTAGACTATAAAGTCCATAGGAACAAAGACTGACTCTTGGTCATATTTTATTCATAGCATCTAGCAAATGTCTGGCACATCCTTGGCTCACATTGAATAGTTGAATTATTTTTTTTTTAATAAAAGCTCATTGGAAGAGTTCGTGGCCACACATGGTGGCTCACATTTGTAAAGCTAGCACTTTGGGAGGCCGAGGTGGGAAGATCTCTTGAGTCCACCTGTTTGAGACCCACCTGGGCTTCACAGCGAGACCTCCTCTCTACAAAAAATAAAAAGGTAGCTTGGCATGATTCTGTGTGCCTGTAGTCCCAGCTATTCAGGAGACTAAGGCAGGGGGAACCCACAGAGCCTGGGAATTCAAAGTTACAGTGAGCCATCGGGTCCGGAATTGGTGGGTTCTTGGTCTCACTGACTTCAAGAATAAAGCCACGGACCCTCACAGTGAGTGTTACAGTTCTTCTAGACGGTGTGTCCGGAGTTTGTTCCTTCGGACCCTCAAAGTGAGTGTTACAGTTCTTATAGACGGTGTGTCCGGAGTTTGTTCCTTCTGATGTTCGGACGTGTTCGGAGTTTCTTCCTTCTGGTGGGTTTGCAGTCTCGCTGGCTTCAGGAGTGAAGCTGCAAACCTTTGCGGTTGAGTGTTACAGCTCTTAAGACAGCACATCCGGAGTTATTCATTCCTCCCCCTGGGTTCATGGTCTCACTGCCCTCAGGAGTGAAGCTGCAGACCTTCGTGGTGAGTGTTACAGCTCATACAGCCAGCGCGGACCCAAACAGTGAGCAGCACCAAGATTTATTACAAAGAGCGAAAGAACACGGCCTCCACACTCTGGAATGGAACCAAGCAGCTTGCTGCTGCTAGCTCAGGCAGCCTGCTTTTATTCCCTTCTCTGGCCCCACCCACATCCTGCTGATTGGTCCATTTTAGAGAGAGCTGATTGGTCCGTTTTGACAGGGTGCTGATTGGTGGGTTTACAATCCCTGAGCTAGACAAAAGTTCTCCAAGTCCCCACTAGATTAGCCAGACACAGAGCATTGATTGGTGCATTTACAAACCTTGAGCTAGACACAGGGTGCTGATTGGTGTATTTACAAACCTTGAGCTAAACACAGAGTGCTGATTGGTGTATTTACAATCCATTAGCTAGACATAAAGGTTCTCCAAGTCCCCACTAGATTAGCTAGGTACTGAGTGCTGATAACTGCATTTACAAACCTTGAGCTAGACACAGAGTGCTGATTGGTGTATTTACAAACCTTGAGCTAGACACAGAGTGCTGATTGTATTTACAATCCCTTAGCTAGACATAAAGGTTCTCCAAGTCCCCACCAGACTCAGGAGCCCAGCTGGCTTCACCTAGTGGATCCTGCACCAGGGCGCGGGCAGCCAGTACCGTGCCATGTGCCTGCACTCCTCAGCCCTTCGGCGGTTGATGGGACTTGGGACCGGGCTCAGCGGAGCAGGAGGAGGCGCTGGTCGGGGAGGTTCCCGCGGGCGTGCAGGAGCCCACGGAGGCGGAAGCTCAGGCATGGCGTGCTGCAGGTCCCCAGCCCTGCCTCGCGGGGAGGCAGCTGAGGCCCCGCGAGAATTCGAGCGCATTGCCCCTCACTGCCCTGGGCCGCTCCGAGTGCGGGGCCCGCCAAGCCCACGCCCACCCAGAATTCGCGCTGACCCCTGAGCGCTATGCGCAGCCCGGGTTCCCGCCCTGCTTCTCCCTCCACACCTCCCCGCAAACAGAGGGAGCTGGCTCCGGCCTGGGACAGCAGAGAGAGGGGCTCCCACAGTGCAGCGGCAGGCTGAAGGGTTCCTCAAGCATGGCCAGAGTGGACGCCATGGCCTGAGGAGGTGCCGAGAGGGAGCCAGAGCTGCTAGGACGTTGTCACCTCTCACCATGATTGTGCCACTGCGCTCCAGCCTGTGAAGACTTTGTTTAAAGGTTATAGATTTTAATCTATCTATTAATCTAGTAATAAAATAATTGGAGGAGGTGAGAAACTATAGGTTCAATTTGTTACAGGATATTAGAAGGTAAATAATATTATAAGGTTCATAATATTGAAAGGTGAAAATATATTTCACATTCATTTAGTCACTAATCTTTAATCCCTATTATGTGCTACAGAAACAACAGTGAAGAAACACAGATCCCTACCACAAATAGCTAGAATGGGAATGTGAGAAAGTAGACAAGATACACACACGCACACACACACACACAAACATATTTGACACAGCTAAGGGAAACAAGACAGGAAAGAGGGTTGGGAAGTGTGGTGGTAGTTGGTGAGGCACTGACATTTTAGTTGCAGTGACCACGAGAAGCCTTACTCAAGGTACATCTCAGCAAGCACTCAAGGGAAATGTAGGAGTGAGCAAGACTGCTCTGTTGCAAAAGCTCTGAAGAAGCAGCATGTCCATATGCTCATGACATGGCTTGGAGACCAAGCTGGCTACAGTGGACAGAATGACAAGGTAAGGTGTAGCTGAAGTCAGAGAAGCATCATGCAGAACTTCGCAGGTCAGGAAGAGCTTTTATTTATTTACATAGTAATATGGGGATATATTGAGCAGAACTGTGACATAATATGACTACTATTTTAACAGGATCATGCTAGACACTATGTTCAGAAACAAAGATACTAAATACATTTGTTTTAAAAACTTCAAATATTTTAGGCAAATATGGTGATAGCTTAAACTACGCTAGTAGTGGAGGTGATAGTAGGAAGTAAATTCTGGATATATTTCTAATGCATAACCAGCAGCATTTTGTGATATGTGATGGGAAAGGGGGAAAAAAGAGTCAAGAATTATTTCAAGGTTTTGTTCTAAATTGCTGGAAGGATAGACTTGCCATTAATAAGGATAGAGAAGAACACTTTAGAAATTAAGGTGGTATGCGGAAAATGAAGTATCAGGAACTCAACATCTGAATGTGGGAGTCATCAGCACATAGATCCATGAGACTGGATGAGATCACCTACAGAATGAATGTTGATAGGAAATTGAAGAGGTCTGGGGAATACTCAAATTTAGAGGTTGGGATAGTGGGGGAAAGTGACAAAGTAGAGAAAGAACAGCCAGAGAAGCAAGAAGAAAACCAGGTGACAATTGGTTCATGGTAGTCAAGTGAAGAAATAGCTCAAGGGTGAGAATGATCAACTGTGTTGAATGTTAAGGACAAAGGAAGCAAGACGAAGACTAAAAAGTTACCATCAAGTTGTTTCTTAGGTTTTTACTAACATTCCTGTCATATACCCTTTGTTCATAACCAGCATATGTTAATGTTTTGCCTCATTTACATTATAATTCCCCGTATATATCTATATGTAGAATATACATAAGAATCTCTCTATATATATATAGATATGTATTTTTTCTGTATGATTTGTTGAAAACATCATACTTACTCCTAAATAGTTTAGTGTTTCCTAAGAATGAGTACATTCTCTTGTATAATGTCAGTACATTTGGCAAAATTAACAAACTAAAGATTAATATATAATGATGTAACCCATTACCCCATTTAAATTTTGTCCGTTTTCCCAAAAATGTCTCTTATAGTTAATATTTTCCTAGCCCAAGATCAAATGCAGTAGCATACACTGTAATTAGTTTTCATATCTCCTTAGTCTCTTTTAATTCGAAGTAGTTTATCAGCCTTTCCATATCTTTACTGACTTTGACATCTTGTAAGTGTATACATCAATTATTTTTTAGAATGTACCTCAGTTTGAGTTTGTCTGAGGTTGCCTCGTGATTAGACTCTGCATTTTTCGTAGCAATAGCATAACAGTGATACTACATCCTTCTTAGAATATCTTATTCAGAGGCAAATGATGTCAGTTTTTTCCAGTGTTGGTAATGTGAAGTTTGATAACTTGGTAAAGATGGTGTTGGCCAGGTTTCTCTACAATGGAGCTACCATTTTTCCTTTTCAGTAATTTATGGGGAGATAATTTGAGACATGTAAATATTTAGTTTCACATTAAATTTTCACCTGTAACTTGTAAGACAAATTGATAATTTTCTAACCTCATTATTCTTTTTATATTGATTGATTGATACTCTACTGTAAGGAAGAGCTTAATGTTCTTTATTATTTTTTACATGGTTATTTGTTTTGCTTATTTATATCATATATTAATGGATTTTTTAAAATTACACAAAGGATAATAATCTATTACTATAATTATTTATATTTATGCTCAAATTGTTCCAGGACCAGCCATTGCAATCCCATTCATTTAAGCTCCTGTGCCCCTTTGACATGTCACCATTCTCCATTCATCATATCTTCACTTTCTGGTGCAATAAGATGTCCCAAGATCATTGTAGAATTTCCTTGTCCAAGCTGTGGCATTAGGCATTTATCTAAGGAAACATGTTTCCTTTTAGTTAAGAATGATATTTAGAAATAAAGAACTGGTTGTTTGTAGGCCATTTGTATATCTTCCTTGGTGAAGTATCTTTTCAAGTCTTTTCTCCGTTTTTTAATCTGTTTGAGTTTTTATAGTATTCTAGGTAAAAAGCCCTTGTTAGATATATGTGTCTCTAATCTCCAAACCTGTGGCTTAACTATTAGTTTCCTTAAAGATGAGTTTTAATGAGCAATTTAAAAAATATTGATTATGTCTTTTTGTCACTTTTTTCTTTTATGTGTATTGTTTCCTGTGTCCTATTAATTAATCTTTGCCTACATCAAATTTTAACAACAGTTCTCAGTAATGTCATTGGGAATGGCAGATTATAAACTTCCCCAAATCCTATCCTTCATAAAAGCAAAGAGAACCCTGCAAAAAATTTCAAAACCAACTTTTTCAGAACTCTAGGGATTAACCAATGTTTTGCAAGAATCCAGAAGGCATTGTTTTTTAAAGTAGCTAAATGAGGGTTGTGAGTTTTGTGGCATTTTATCTTGCCATATTTTCCAACCCTTTCTCCTGCTTCATGGTGTCTTTGACAACTCACAGCTACAGTGAAAACCATAATCCTAGCACCACTGGAGGAGTCAGTATAAATTGAGCTCTTTCAAAACTCCATTCTCAGAGATTAGTATTATTTGACCTATCTGGCATTTCTTTGTGGAAACTCAATCCCAAGACTGGTTTTTATTTTATTTGATATGACTCTTAGCTGAATTGTGCACAAATAGTATTTTCTTCAGAGGTGTTTAGCAAAAAGAATCAGCAGCAATTGTTTAATGTTGTAGCTGCCTGAGGAGGTGATAACAATTGGGACAAATAAGCTAATGAAAAATCTGTTAAGGACAAACTAGAAAATAAGATGTTAGCAGTGGGCCTTGAGAAATTCAGGCACATTCCTGGGAATCCAGAAAGTCACTCTAACATGCAGAACCATTCATATCCTCAGAAAAGATTGGAGGAGGACCTAAGCTTTCACATCTGACTGGCTTCAAGACTCTGTAAAAGGAGAAAATGAAGGCAAGACAGAGTTATAAACTGCCTGAGTGTTGCAGGCATGTTCCCCCACACATGCAGAACTCCCCAACAAAAACTGGAGGCTTATTGTTTTCTGGAACTAAAGAAACAAACAAAAATAGCAACAAATCTGTTCATTCAGTAAATGATTACTAAAGTAACCAAATAATGCTGTCAGTGGTCACTTACAACAAAGTACATAGACTTAAAGAATTAGTTTAGAAAGGTTTCTAAACAACAACAAGGAAAACAACAAATAGCAACAATAACAAATTCTGAAGAGGAGGGAGAATCTGATTTATATTATATTATATTTATTATATTATACCATAGCATATTATATTTAGTATTTATTATAATACATTTATATGTTATATTAATTTAAAAGTCCACTTTTCAAAAAATATTATGAGACATGAAAAGAAATATGAAAGTATAGACCGTACATAAGAAAAAAGCAAACAATACAAACTTTTCATGAGGAAGCCCAGATTTGGACTTACTTGACAAAGACTTTGAACATTTTAATACAGTCAAAGAAATTGAAACCACATCTGAAGAATTAAATAAAGTATGAGCACAATGTCTCACTGAATAGAAAAAATAAAAAATAAAAACATAGAAATGCAAAACAACAAGCCAGATTAAACTTCTGGAGTTGAAAATCTAGTATCTGAAATGGAAAATATACCACTAGAGGGAATCAACAGCAGTTTCAAGTGGACAGAGAAGATAATCTGTACACTTAAGATAGATCAATTGAGGTTATACAGTCTAAGAAACAGAATTTTTAAAATTAATAAAAATAAAAGTCTCATGCTCTACTGACTGAGCTAGCTGGGCTTCCAAAAATTAATAAAAATAAAAAGAGCCTTTTAAAGTTTCGAGGCAACATCAATTACATCAACATATTTATAATGGGAATTCTAGATGCAGATGAGAAAAGAAAGTGGAAAGAATATTTGAAGATATAATGGCTAATAACTCCTCAAATTTATTGAAAACATTATATACACACCCATAAAACTCAAGGGCATATGCAAATAGGATAAACTCAAAGATATACCCAACTAAATACATCCATGATTAAACTCTCAAAAGTCAAAGACTAAGAATCTTGAAAGCACCAAGGAAAAAAGGACTCATTATGTACAAAGCAGCCTGAATGAAATCCTGTCAGACATCATAGAAGCCAGAACACAGTGAGGTGGTATATTCAAATCAAAGGAAAAGAAAAAAGAAAACTATCAACGAAGAATTCTGCATTCAGTAAAACTGTTCTTTAAAACTTAAGGAAGAATTCAAGGCCAGGACACTGTGGCTCATGCCTATAATCCCAGCACTTTAGGAGGCCAAGGCAGGTGGATCACCTGAGGTCAAGAGTTCAAGACCAACCTGGCCAACATGGTGAAACCCTGTCTCTACTAAAAATACAAAAATTAGCTGGGTGTGGTGGCGCTTCCCTGTAATCCCAGCTCCTCAGGAGGCTGAGGTAGGAGAATCGCTACCCGGGAGGCAGAGGTTGCCGTTAGTCAAGATCGTGCCACTGCACTCCATTCTGAGTGGCAGAGCGAGACTTTATCTCAAGAAAAAAAAAAAAAAACTTAAGGAAAAATTCAATGTATCTATATAATAAACACAGAGAATTTGCTTTATTAGAGCTATTCTACAAAAAGCATCAAGAGGTATATCTTAAAGTAAAATGAAAAAAAAACTACATAGCTACACAGTAACTTGAATCCACATGAAGAAAAGTCAACAGTAAAAGTAAGTATGTCGGTCAATATAAAACAAAGTATAAATATATGTTTGTATGTAACACTTTATTTTATTTGACTTAAAAGCAATCGCATAAAGCAATTATAAATTTGTGTTCATAGGCATACAATGTATAAACAGGGAATTTATATGTCAATAATGAAAGAAACGAGGAAGTACAAGCAGAGATATATAGATGTGGACTTTTTAAAAAATGCTCTTGAAATGAAGCTGGTGTTAATGTGAAATAAATTTTTATGAATTAAGATGGTAATTGTAATCCCCAGGGTAACCAATAAGGAGCTAATTTTAAACATATACAGTAGAAGAAATGATAGTGAGTTAAACTGGTACATTAAAAAAAACCATCTATTTAACATAAAAGAATGCAATAATGGCTGGGCACGGTGGCTCATGCCTGTAATCCCAGCACTTTGGGAGGCCGAGGCGGGCAGATCACCTGAGGTCGAGATTTCAAGACCAGCCTGACCAACATGAAGAAACCTCATCTTTACTAAAAATGCAAAACTGGCCAGGGTTGGTGGCACATGCCTGTAATCCCAGCTACTTGGGAGGCTGTGGCAGGGGAACTGCTTGAACCCAGGAAGTAGAAGTTTTGGTGAGCCAAGATTGTGCCATTGCACTCTGGCCTGGGCAACAAGACCGAAACTGCATTAAAAAAAAAAAAAAATCCCCCCCCCAACAAAAGTATGCAATAATGGAGAAGTTGAGAAACAAACAAGACATAACATTGGAAACAAATTTTAAAATTGAAGACATAAATCCTACTTTATCTTTAATTACATTAAATGTAAATGGATTAAATACTCCAACCAAAAGACAGAGGCTGACAGAACGGATTAGGAAAAAACAAACATGATCTAAACATATGCTGTATACAAGAGATACACTTTAGATTCAAAGACACAAAAAGGTTGAAGGTGAAATTATAAAAAAAGATATACTATGCAAACAATAACAAAAATAGATGTGGAAAAGTAAAAGTGATACTAATACCAGACAAGATATTTCAAAGGCAGAAGGTGTTATTAGACACAAAGGAGGATATTTCACAATGACACAAGAGTCATTATTTCAAGATGTTATAATACTTATAAATATATATGTACCTAAAAACAGAACCCAAAATATATAAATCAAAAATTGACAGAATTGAATGGAATAATAGACAATTTGACATTGAAGGTATTAATATCCTACTTCTAATTATAAATAGAATAACTACACAGAGAGTCAACAAAAAAAAGACTTTATCAAGGCATTGAACTAACTAAACTTAACAGACATTTATACAACATTCCACCAAACAACTGTAGAAAACAAATTTTTTACAATTGCTAAAAAAAATTCTCCAGGATAGATAATATGCTAAGTCATATGGCAAACCTCAATAAATTAAAAACAATTGAAATAATAAAAAGATATTTTTCAACCACAAAAAAGAAGGAAATTTGAAAAATGCACAAATATGTGGAAATTAAACAACACACTCAGAAATAACCAATAGGCCAAATACAAAATCACAAAGGCAATTAAAATATACTTTAGGCCAATTAAAATAAGAATACACCATACAAAATCTTAGGAATCCGTAAAGCAGTGCCAAGAGGAAAATTTATAGCTGTAAACACCCATGTTAAAAATGAAAATGGTCACATATTAATAATCTAAATACCCACCTTAAAATACTGGGAAAATAAGAGAAAACTAAACCCAGAACAGGTTGAAAGAAAAAAAATAATAATGTGAGCAGGAAAAATTAAATAGGGAATTAAAATTTCAAGAATTTCAATGAAATCATCAACTGGTTCTTTGAACAGATAAACAAAATTGATGGCCCTTTAGCTAGACCAAGAAATAAGACCCAAACTAAATCAGTGAAGAGAAAAGCATATTAATACTGACATTAAAAAGCAAAAAGGATTATAAATAAATATGATTACCATTTTTGTGCAAATACATTATATAATATACATGAAATTAAGAAATTTATAAAACTGACTCTAGAACAGATGAAAAATATGAAAAGAGATGTAAAAGAAAAGTGATGAAATTACTAAATTAAATGTAGCACACACACATTTACAAACACACACAGAAATACAATACTCCAGAACAAGATGGTTTCACTGACAAATTCTTTAAATTATTTAATTAAAATTAGACTAATTATTTTAAAACTCTTCTTAAAATAGAAGTCAAGAGAACTTTTTGTAACAGGTTCTATGAGGCCATTTTTACCCTGGTAACAAATCAGGCAAATATATTACAGGCAAAGAAAACTACAGACTGTTAGCCCTTATGCATATAGATACAAAAGTGTTCAATGCAATATCAGAAACCAAATCCAGCAACATATAAAAACTATTACAAACCATGATTAAGTGGGATTTATCATAAAGATGCAAAAGTGTCTCAATATACAGAAATCAATCAATGTAACACACCATATTATAAAATAAAGGACAAACACCACATGGTCATTTCAATAGACAAAGACAAAAATGTCATTTAATTAAATACAATAATTTTTCATTATAAAGACACTCAACAAACTATGAATAAAAAAATACTTCCCATATCCTTAACAGTACACTAATACAGGAACAGAAAACCAAATAGAGCATGTTTTCATTATAAGTGGGAGCTAAATGATGAGAACACATGGACACATAGAGGGGACCAACACACAGTGGGGCCTATCAGAGGGTGGAGGACAGGTGGAGGAAAAATAACTAACGGGTACTAGGCTTAATATCTGGGTGATGGAATAATCTGTACAACAAACCCCCATGACACACATTTGCCTATGTAACAAACCTGCACTTGTACCCCTGAACTTAAAAGTTTAAAAAAGATGCTTCCTCATGCAGATAAAAGGCATTTATGAAAAACCCACAATTGACCCACAATTATTCTTCATAGTGAAAGGCTGAAAACTTCCCCTCTATGAGCAGAAACAAGATAGTAATATCTCCTCTTGTTACTTCTATTCAACATTCTACTTGAGGTTCTATTCAAGGCAAATGGACAAGAAAAAAGAATTAAAGGCATTCAAATTGGAATAGAAGAAGTAAAACTATTCCTAGTCACAGATGACAGGATCTTGTATGTAAGAAAACCCAAGAAGTGCTCCTCACTGCAAAAAAAGCCTCTTATAAGTGATGAATGAATCCACAGGTTGTGATATACAAGATCAATATATAAACATTAATTATCTTTTTATACACTATGAACTATCCTAAAATGAAATTAAGAGAAGAATTTTATTTACTGCAGAATAGAAAAGAATAAAATTCGTATAATACATAAATATCTAAATAAATTAAGGATATTTTGTGTTCATGAGCTATAATATTTAATATTGTTAAGAAAGTAATACTCCCCAAATTGATCTACAGATTTAATGCAATCTCTGTCAAAATTCTAGCTGCTTTTGCTGTTATCCTAAATTTCATATGGAAATACTTGAGACCCAAAATAGTCAAAACAATCTTAACAAAAAAAGAACAAATTCGGAAGACTCAACTTCCCAATTTCAAAACTTACTAAAAAGCTGCAGAAATCAAGACAGCATGGTATTGGCATAAGGATAGATGGATAGACATATGTATCAACGAAAGAGAATTGAAAGCCCAGAAATAAATCCATATATCTATGGTCAATTGATTTTTGACAAAGGTTCCAAGGCGATTCAATGGAAAAAAATGTTCTTTCCAACAAATGGCGCTGGAAAACTGGATATCTATGTAAAAAAGAATGATGTTGAACTTACTAAGTTAACAACACATAGAAAATTAACTCAAGAAAATCAAAGAATTAAATTCAAGAAATAAAACTAAAACCTATTTAGTTAGAAAACATGACCATATATCTACATAACCTTGGATTAGGCATGGTTTCTTAAATATGACATGAAAAACACAAGTAAGAAAAAATAGATAAATTGAAATATTTTAAATTATTTTATAATTCAACAAGGGATAACTTTGTAACTTTTTTTTTTTTTTTACAGATGGAGTCTCGCTCTGTCACCAGGTTGGAGTGCAGTGGCAAGATCTCCCCTCACTGCAACCTCCACCTCACGAATTCAAGCGATTATCCTGCCTCAGCCTCCTGAGTAGCTGAGACTATAGGTGCATGCCACCACTCCCGGTTAATTTTTGCAATTTTTTTAGTAGAGACGGGGTTTCACCATGTTGGCCAGGATGGTCTCGATCTTTTGACCTCATGATCCGCCTGCCTTGGCCTCCCAAAGTGCTGGGATTACAGGTGTGAGCCACTGCGCCCGGTCAACTTCTTCACTTTTCCAGCTCAAACATCTTTCTCTCATCTCCTCAAATATGCGAAATTAGAGAAGATTAGAAGAATTGTTCTTACATAGTTGTCATAACAAGGGAAATTACACTTTTGGTAAAGATACTTTATTGTGACCAAGTTGACAAGATCTTAGGTCCTAAGAAACGAAAAAGGCAGAGAAAGATCTCTGGCTCTGTGCTCCAAGGCTACCTTCTGTCCTTTGCTCCTCTGCAAATGACTTTCATCAGTTAGTGCTCTCGTGTGGCACGATTCAACTTTTTTTTTTTGTCTCAGCATTTTGTATATGTTGTAAAGTACAGGTTATATTGTTTTTGCATACAGGTATCAAAATATTTCAGCACAATATTTAAAAGACTATCCATAACCCATTGATTTACATTAGCATTTTATAAAAAAATTAAACACAAATTTGTGTTTATTCATAGACTTTCTGTGATTTTCCATTGATCTATAAGTGTACTGTTACACCAACACCACAGTGTCCTGATTACTGACATCTTGAAATCAGGCAGTAAAATTCTTCCATTTTGTCCTTCTTTTATACAATTTTTATTCTAGGTTATTTATATTTTACATTACTTTCAGATAAGCCAGTTAATTTTTGCAAAAAAAAAAAAAAAAAAACACGTTGAGGTGTTGATTGGGATTATCTTGCTGCTAGAGGTTAATTTGGGAACACTTTAAATCTTAATATCAAGTCTCTCAATTAATGAACGTTATGTAACTCATCATATATATAGGTCTCTTTAAATTTCTCTTAGCAATACTTGGTAGTTTTGGGCATACATGTCTTCTAGATTTTTTGTTAAATTTATCCAGTACTATTTCATATTTTTGCTGTCATTGTAAATGGTTTTTTTTATTAAACTGTCAATTATGTGTACATATTACTATATACATGTATTATATACATATATATACATATATTATGTGTATATATTACATATACACAACATATACAATGTATATATTACATATACACATAATTGTATGTGTTGTAAAGTAGAGGTTAAATTGTTGTATATTGTTATTATTACTTCTGAAATATTCAATGAATTTAACAGTTAACTTATCTGACAATAGGAATGTCTTTGTGTGAAGATTGATATTTAGAATGCCCATTCATTTCATAGATACAGAGGACTCTTCTTGGGATGCTTTGGCAGTTTGTATCTGAAAAAAATTTTCCATTCTATCTAAGTTTTATAATTAATTAAAACAAATATGTTAATAATAGTTTTTATTAGTTTTTTAATGTTTGTAGTATTGATAGTAATGTCCCCCTTTTCACTTCTGCTATTGGTAATTTATTTCATTTTTATTTCTGATCATTCTAGATAGGCTTTATCAAATTAATTGATTTGTTCAAAGACATGTCTTTTTATTTTATTATTATTATTATATTGGTACTTTCTATTTTATTGATTTCTACTCTTAGCATTATTATTACTTTTATTCTACTACCTTGGGCATAAATTGCTCTTCTTTTTCCAGACCTTTAACTTAGAAATATGTAGGAAATATGTAACTAGGAAATATTAAAACTAATGGCAAAAACCACAATTACTTTTGCATTGACATATAGTTACAGCCTTGAGAAATTATATTTTCCTAATATTTGCTTTTAGTGCTATAAATTTCCCACTAAGCACTGTTTTAACTTCATCTTACATATTTTATATGCTGTGATGTTATTATCATTGTAATTACTCTTTTCCTTTTTGATTTCTGTGTTCAGTTTTTAATTTTTACGAATTACATATATCTTTCACTTACTGACTTTTTAGTTGAATTTTGTTGCAATCTGATAACTTATTTAATGTGATTTCTGATTTTGAAAATTTTAAAAACTGTTTAATGGCTCAAAATATAGCCTACCTTCATGAAGCTTCCTCATCTCTTGAAAATATCTAATCCGCGGTTACATGATGGAGTTTTCCATAGTATCAGGTAGGTTCATTTAGTTGATATCATTGTTCAAATGTCCTATATCCTTACTAATTTTCTCTCTAATTGCTGTATCAATTACTATAAGAGTATATAAGAATAAAGAGGTTTTTTTTAGCTATAATTGAAAATTTGTCTGTTTTATTTGTTTGGTTTCTTTGTTGTTGTTTTTCCATGAGTTACTGATTCCTGTATTTTGAAATGCTATTATTAGATAAATACACATTTAGGATTGTGATTACCTCTTAAAAATTTTACCCCTTTTCTGATTTCTTAATTCTTTATGTAAAGTATATACAATTATTATTGTCACATTGACTTTGTTTATCCATCATTTTCCCTTTATGTCTTTTCTGTTTTCTTTTGAGATTTTATATTTTTACAGTTTTTTAAATAGATTTCTTATTCACTATTGCCTTATTAGATATATCTGATAAACAATATCTGATTGTTTTATTATATAGTAGTCACTCTAAAGTTTGCAAGATGCATCTTTAATTATCACAAATTACCAAAAAAGGTAAAATACCACTTTATGCATAATATACTTCTATTACCTCCTTCTGTTATTGCACATTCTACTTTTACTTTTGCTAGAAACATATTCATATATGTGTATGCATGTGGTGTGTGTGTGAGTGATGTGTTATTTTATAAATACATTGTGCTATAAACATAGATTTTTAGTTTAAGCTTTTTTTATTAATTAATTTTTTTTGTTTTTGAGATAGAGTCTCACACTGTCACCCCAGCTGGAGTGCAGAGGCATGATCTCCGCTCACTGCAACCTCTGCCTCCCGGGTTCAAGCGATTCTCCTGCCTCAGCCTCCTGAGTAGCTGGGGTTACAGGCGCCTGCCACCACTCCTGGATAATTTTTTGTATTTTTAGTAGAGACGGGGTTTCACTATGTTGGCCAGGCTGATCTCAAACTCCTGACCTCGTGATCCGCCCACCTTGGCCTCCCAAAGTGCTGGGATTACAGGTGTGAGCCACTGCACCTGGTTAGTTTAAGCTTTTTTAAATAATCAATTATCTGTTAAATATATTGAATAATAAAATATATTTTATATTTCTCACATGTGTATTATTTCCAGTGCTTTTTAATCTTTCTTATAGGTCCAAATTTCCATCTGACATTATTTTAATTATTCTTGATCAGTTTCATCTAACATTGCTTATAGTGCAGGCCACTGGAAATGAAATGTCTCACATTGTGGTTTGAAAAAAAAAGGCCTTTATTTGGTCTTCAATTTTGAGAGCTATTTTACTGGTAAGGAATTCTAGGTTCACAGGTTTTTCTTTTCCTCTGTTGAGTACTTTAAAGATGTCTCTCCATCAAGTTTCAGCTTTCATAGTTCCTGATAAGACATCTTCTGATCTTTGGTCCTCTGTGTGCACAATGTGTATTTTTATTCTTTGGCTACTTTTCTTTCTCTTTACATCTCATTTCAAGTCATTTGATTATCACGTGGATTTGGTGGTTTTCCTTATATTTATTTTGCCTGAGGTCACTGAATTTCTTGGATTTTTAGGTTTATAATTTTCATCAAATTTTGCAAACTTTTGGACATTATTACCTCAAATAACTTTTCTGTCTCCCATTTTCTCTTCTCATTTGGGGGCTTCAATTATACATATGTTAGTCTACATTAATCTTCTCTGTAAGTCCCCAGTGATCTGTTTATTTTTTCTTTACTCTTTTTTTCTCATGGTACTTTATTATGGACAGTTTCTATTCTCATGTCTTAGTTTACTGATTTTATCTTCTGTACTATCAAATCTGTTCTTGATCTCATCCTATATATATGAGTTATATATATATGTATACAGGTAGAAGATATATATATGTATATATGTAGAAGATATATATGTATATATGTAGAATACATATACCTATATAACATAATATATGTATGTATGTGAATATGTTTATATTACTTATATATTATATACAAGTGTGTATATTCATTATACAAAATTATATACCATATGCACATGTGTACATATATATGACACAAACATATATTTATATTATGTGTATATATGATATATAATATACATATGATATGTATACATATGATGATACATGATATACTATGATATATATCATATATACCATAAAAACACATGTATTTTATATGATATATGTCCATGTGTATTTATTATATATACACTTGTGTATATAGAGTATATATGATATATATCTCATATATATGCATACATAGTATATATGACATATATATAAACACATTTCAGATATATTTTTCATCTCTTGAATCTCTATTTAAATTGCTTTCATATCTTCATTTTTCTTCTCATTGTGGTCATTCTTTCTGCTACTTATTTGACTATGTATACCATATTTATAATGGTTGCTTTAGTGTCCTTGTTTGCTAATTCCATCATGTCTTATTTCTTGATATGGTTCTATTGGTTGATTTTTTTCTCTTGTTTATGAGTTCTATTTTTCTGCTCTTTGCATACCTGACAATTTTTTCTTCTTCTTCTTCTGGATACCAAACACTGAATTTTACTTTGTTGGTTCCTAGATTTTGTTGTATTTCTATAAATAGTGTTGGATTTTTGTTTTGGTTTTAAGTGTTTAGAATGGGCCTGGGGCAACCTTTAGCCTGGGACTTATTTTTCCCCAGGTGGTGTGCTTTGAAGGACTCTACTTGATTCCCCATATATTATGAGGTCTTTCCATTTTGACAGGTGGGAATGTAAAATATTACTAGTTCTGGTTGATCCCCAGAAAATTTCCTGTCTACTTATTTCTACTTATTTTCTTTTTTTCTTTTTCTTTTTTTTCCTTTCTATTTTTTTTTTTTTTTTCGTCTTAGATATTTCCCTCCCATGCAGTGCATATCAGCACTCAGTGTCCCAGGGCATTCTGATTCTTTCTCTTGGTGCATCTACCTTCTCTCTTCTATTTTTTCCCACAATTTCTCACTGCCAACTCTTCCAGATCGCTGATCTCAGCCCAGGAAAATGGCTAGATTCTGTTTGGATCCCCCCTCCCTGAAATGTAACCTGAAAACTTTAGGAATCACAGCTCTGTGCTGACTGTAGTCCACATCTGCAAACTATTGTTTCATATGTTTTGGCTATGTTTACAGTTAAGTCAGGATGGTAAATCCAGTTTCTTTATTCCATTTTGACCCAGATAAGAATATTCTCTCTCTCGTCTACTTTTTAACTTTCCTTATTTTCTCTTTCTCCATATGTCACTAAGAGAAAATACAAAAAACACATAGTAGTAGTTACTTCAAATGGAAACATTAAGCTATGGTATGTAAAAGCCATTGCAATGATGTTACTCAGCCTTTCCCATCCTGAAGGAATTGCCTCAATGAAAAGTTTATAAATTTGCTATAAACTAATCAGAATTCTCAATTATTGTTTCAGTTTAGTGGGAATTCAAATACATGTCAAGTTATTTAGAAAAACAGGGCGAAACTGCATTTCTAAGTATGTACTCTGTTGAATGCTAGTTTTAAGGAATGTTAGAAAATAACAGTCTTGTAGAAAGAGTTTGGGAAGCCTCAGTTAAATTAAAATCATGTTTCTTTATTGTTGCACTTCTAAATTAAATATACTTTTTATGCTTATGTGAATTGCAGATTTTGATTGTTCTCCAAAATAATATGCTCTTAGCACACTCCTATTGAGCAATATACTTAAAGAATTAACAGTTTTGAGAATGCCAAGATGAAGAAGAGTTTAATATTATAAACTTAGAAAGGTATAAATTATTACATTATGCTTCAATCAAGATATGCATTTTGGCTGAGTACGGTGGCTCACACCTGTAATCTCAGCACTTTGGGAAGCTGAGGCAGGCGGATCACTAGGTCAAAAGATTGAGACCATCCTGGCCAATATGGTGAAACTCCATCTCTACTAAAAATACAAAAATTCACTGGGCATGGTGGTGGGTGGCTGTAATTCTACTTGAGGCTGAGGCTGGAGAATCATTTGAACCCAAGAGAGAGAAGTTGTAGTGATCTGATATTGTGCCACTGCACTCCAAACCTCATGGTAAAATTTGACCCCTTGGAGATGGGGCTAATGGGAGGTGTTTGGGTTATGGGGTGAATCCCTCATGAATGGCTTGGTGCCATCCTCATAGTATTGAGTTTTCGCTCTATTAGTTCCTGTTAGAGCTGGTCACTAAAAAGAGCCTAGACCTCCCCTCTCTCTCTTCCTCCCCTCTTCCTCTTTGGCCATGTGATCTCTGCACTCCAGCTCCCCTTTGCCTTCTGCCATGAGTGGAATCAGCCTGAGGCCTTCACCAGGTGCCCAATCTTCCAGCCAGCAGAATCATGAGCCAAATAAGTCTTTATAAATTATCTAGTCTTAGACATTCCTTTATAGTAACGCAAATGGACAAAGCAATGGTATTGTATTTTTAATTTTGATTTCCACATATTTGTTGTATTAAAAGGTGAATGTTTTTGTGTGTTGATCTGTACCTTGTGAACTTGTTGGACTCACATATTGATTTTAGAGAAGTTTTTGTAGATTCTTTATGATTTTCCTCATTGGGTCATCAGCAATTAGTGACAGTTTTCTTGTTTTTCCAATTTTTATGCTTTGCCCCTTGTATTGCTCTAGTAGAACATCCAGTGCTATGCTGAATAAGAATAGTGAGAACAGACATCCTTGTTTTCTTTCTGATCTGAGGAGAAAAACATTCAGCCTTTCACTGTTAAATTTCACTCAGTTTCTTATACCTATAGGTTTATGTTTTTAAAAAATTTGGGACGTGTTTGGACATTATTTCACTGTTTTTTCAGTCCCACTAATTATCACCTTTCTTTCTGGGACTTGAATGATATTAAGTTCTCTTGTGAATGTTCCATAGGAACCCAGGTGATATGGTTTGGCCCTGTTTCCCCACTCAAACCTCATCTCAAATTGTAATTCCCACATGTCGAAGGAGGGACATGTAATGTTAAGGGAGGTTTCCCCCATGCTGTTTTCGTGATAGTTGAGTGAGTTTTCATGAGATCTGATGGTTTTATAAGTGTTTGACAGCTCCTCCTTCACACACCCTGTCTCACCTGCTGCCATGTAAGACGTGCCTGCTTCCCCTTCCACCAGGATTGTAAGTTTCCTGAGGCCTCCCCAGCCGTGCAGAACTGTGAGTCAATTAAACCT
Source organism: Homo sapiens (assembly GCF_000001405.40). NCBI lineage: Eukaryota > Metazoa > Chordata > Mammalia > Primates > Hominidae > Homo > Homo sapiens. Next base: position 107,486,661 of record NC_000002.12, read on the forward strand.
CTTTTTTAAATAAATTACCCACTCTCGGGTATTTCTTTATAGCAGTGTGAAAATGAACTAATACACCATGTCTCTGTTTAATAATTTTGTATTTCAGTCTATTTTCTCTATGTTGTTCAAATTGAATAAATTAAATTGATTTGTCCTCAAATTCACAGATTCTATCACCTGCCATGTCTACTCTACTAATGAGCTAATCCATCAAGTGTTTTATTTTGCTGTAGTTTTCGGTCCTATAATTTTTATTTAGTTATTTTTGGTAGTTTCTATTTCTTTGTGGAAATTAGGTTTTTTTTCCATTTGTTTCCAGATAATTTTAAGTTTCTTGTTATTTTTGGTAGTTTCTATTTCTTTGCTGAAATTGGTTTTTTTTCCCCCATTTGCTTCCAGATAATTTTAAGTTTCTTATTAAAGTAGTTTTACACTGTTTGCTTTAAAACTCTTTTCAGATAGGCTGGGTGCGGTGGCTTATGCCTGTAATCCCCACACTTTGGGAGGCTGAGGAGGGTGGATCATGAAGTCAGGAGATCAAAACCATCCTGGCTAACACAGTGAAACCCTGTCTCTACTAAAAAATACAAAAAAAAATAGGTGAGTGTGGTGGTGGGCACCTGTAGTCCCAGCTACTCGGGAGGCTGAGGCAGGAAAATGGCATGAACCCGGAAGGTGGAGTTTGCAGTGAGCCAAGATTGCACCACTGCACTCCAGCTTGGGTGACAGAACAAGACTTGGTCTCAAAAAAAAAAAAAAAAAAACTCTTTCCAGATAATTCCAATATAGAAGTCTCCTCTTATCCACAGTTCTGCTTTCTATAGTTTCAGTTACCCTTACCCACGGTCAGCCGTGCTCTGAAAATATTAAATGGAAAATTCCAACAATAAACAACTCATAAGTTTTAAATTGCACACCATTCTAAGTAATGTAATAAAATCTTGTACTGTATTGCTCCTCCCTGCCCTGGACATGAATCATCCCTTTTTCTAGTGTATTCATGCTGCATACACTACCTGTCTGCAGATCTTGGTATCAGATTGAAAATCCATAGTATATATAGGGCTTGGTACTATGTGAGGTTTCAGGCATCCACTGAGGGTCATGGAACATGTCTCATGGACATAGTGAGACTACTCTATCTGATTTTTCTCAGTGTTGTCACTTGTTAATTGACTTTTCTCATTCAAATTGTGTTGGTTCTTGATATGATGAGTGGTTTACATTGTATACTGAACTTCAAATACTATTCAATTAATTAAGTAGTCAACCAAACAATACCCTCGTTGAAGTATAGTTAAAAAACATGGTATGTGAGCATGTTCTGCTTTTCATTGGGCTCCATAGATACCAGCACAGAGCACCAACTCACACTGCCTGATTGCAGATGCGTGGAGTGAAAGTTATCCCAAGGCTTCACTGACACTTTATCTTTCCAGCAAAAATGAGCACCAACTGGTACTGCTTGTTGTCTCCCAGGGGGAGTGTGTCCTCTGCTTCCTGCTGTGTTTCACTGATGCCAATGAGGGAGGAAGCTGAAGACTCAAAAAACACTTTTTTTTTTTTTGCTGCAGGTATGAGGAAGAAGCTTAGCTCCTCACTGGAGCCCACTGATGACATGGATAGGGAGATGGGACAGTGAAGTCAACCAGCTTCATCTCACACCACCTCTTCCCCTTTTTTTTTTTTTTTTTTTTTTTGAGACGGAGTCCCGCTGTTTAGCCCAGGCCGGATTGCAGTGGCGCAGTCTCGGCTCACTGCAAGCTCCGCCTCCCAGGTTCACGCCATTCTCCTGCCTCAGCCTCCCGAGTAGCTGGGACTACAGGCGCCCGCCACCGCGCCCGGCTAATTTTTTGTATTTTTAGTAGAAACGGGGTTTCACCGTGTTAGCCAAGATGGTCTTGATCTCCTGACCTTGACCTCTTCCCCTTTTTAGTGCCAGGTGGGTGAGAGCACGTTCAGCTTCCCACTGGGTCCTTGGGTGGAGTGCTGGTCAGCCTGGCCTTCCTCCACCAGGCTAAATTTCTTGCTGTTTGTAGAGGGTGGAGCCTCCTCCACTCTCTGCTGAATCCTACTGACCCCACCCCCATGGGAAAATCAAAATACTGCCTGCCTCTGCAGGGAGGGGGTGTTGGAGGGCTGCTGCTTGCATAGGTGGATGGGAGGTGGGGTGGGAAATAAGCTCTTTTCAGCCCTTCTGAAGCCTGGGGTCTGCGAGGGTTCTGTTGGTGTTTGCCTAAAGTATGGCAAATATTGTCAACGAACATTTCCATTCTGTTAGGACACCCTTTTCCAAGTTCTTTGGCTAAGGTAACAGGCTTTTCTTGGACCTTTTCTTTGTGTGTGTCTATTAGTAGTTCTGGAGATTCCACAGTACCTTCTCCAGAACATAAGAGTGGGAAAAGGAAGATCCAGGGAATTTGCCATGGTGTCTTTTCCCAAGTCCTCAGTTCACCAGGCAGCCTAACTTCTTCTTTCTACCATCCAGGCTCTTTCTATGCTTGCTCATTCTGATCTAATCCATTTTATACTTGTAAGTGGGAGAACCTGTGAGTAAAGGGGCTACTCCATCTTTTATCCCATCTTTGCTAGAACCATAGGGCAAGATATACTTAAAAATATTTTATGAATACATGATACTTGTACATATTTATAAGGTGCATGTGATACTTTGATAAAAGCATGCAATTGGTAATAATGAAATCTGGGTAATGAGGATATCCATCATCTCAAACATTTATCATTTATTTGTGTTAGGAACATTCCAAAGTTAGATAGAAGGAATAAGTCTCAGTGTTCAATAGCACAAGAGGATGACTATAGTTAACAATAACTTAGGATATATTTCAAAATAGCTAGAAGAAAAGATTTGGAGTGTTCCCAACATAACTATTTTCAAAAAAGCTCTTTTGTCAATAGTAAGACGCCAGTGCTTGGAGGAAAAAGTTACAAATTGTATTCAAATCT